>NC_000006.12:58853888-59153888 GCF_000001405.40 Homo sapiens
TAAAAACTAGACAGAATAATTCTCAGAATCTGCTTTGCGATGTGTGCGTTCAACCCACAGAGTAAAACTTTTCTTTTGATAGAGCAGTTTTGAAACACTCTTTTTGTAGTATTTGCATGTGTATATTTAGAGCGCATTGAAGCCCACAGTAGAAAAGGAAATAACTTCACCTAAAACCTAGACAGAAGCAATCTCAGAAACTACTTTGTGATGTGTACATTCAACTCACAGAGTGGAACTTTCCTCTTTATAGAGCAGTGTTGAAACACTCTTTTTGTAGAAACTGCAAGTGGATATTTGGACCTCTTTGAGGCCTTCGTTGGAAACGGGATTTCTTCCTATAACCCTAGACAGAAGAATTTTCAGAAACCTCATTGTGATGTGTGCGTTCATCTCACAGAGTGGAGTCTTCCGTTTGATAGAGAAGTTTTGAAACCCTGTTCTTGTAGGATTTCCAAGTGGATATTTAGACCACTTTGAAGCCTATGATAGAAAAGGAAACATGTTCATGGAAGACATAGATAGAATCATTCTCAGAAACAACTTTGTGATGTGTGCGTTGAACTCACCGTCTTTAACCTTTCTTTTGGTAGAGAAGTTTTGAAACACTCTCTTTGTAAAGTCTACAAGTGGATATTTTGAGCCCTTGGAGGCATTCTTTGGAAAAGGGAATGTCTTCACATAAAAGGCAGACAGAAGTGTTCTCAGAAACTGCTTTGTGATGTCTGTGTTCAACTCACAGAGTTTAACATTTCCTTTGAGAGAGCGGTTTAGTAACACTCTCTTTGTAGAATTTGGAAGTGTATACTAAGAGCGCTTTGAGGCCTATGGTAGAAAAGGAAATATCTTTCCATAAAAGCTAGACAGAAGCAATCTCAGAAACTCCTTTGTGATGTCTGCATTCAACTCACCGAGTGGAACATTCCTCTTGATAGAGCAGTTTGGAAACACTCTTTCTGTAGAATCAGCTTGTTTGTATTTGGACCTCCTTGAGGCCTTCGTTGGAAACGGGTTTTCATCTTATAAACCCAGACAGAAGAATTCTCAGAGTCTTCTTTGTGATGTGTGTTTTCAACTCACCGAGATAAAGATTTCTCTTGATAGAGCAATTTGGAAACACTCTTTTTGTAGAATTTGCAAGGGTACATTGAGAGCGCTTTCAGGCCTATGGTAGAAAAGGGAATATCTTTCCATAAAAGGTAGACAGAAGCAATCTCAGAAACTACTTTGTGATGTGTGCATTCAACTCACCGAGTGCAACATTCCTCTTGACCGAGCAGTTAGGAAATATTGTTTCTGTAGAATCTGCAAGTGGATATTTGGACCTCTTTGAGGCCTTCTTTGGAAACGGGATTTCTTCCTATAAACCCAGACAGAAGAATTCTCAGAGATTTCTTTGTGATGTGTGAATTCAACTCACAGTGTGGATCCTTCCTTTTGATAGAGCAGTTTTGAAACACTGTTTTTGTAGTATTTCCAAGCGGATATTTGGAACGCCTTGAAGCGTATGGTAGAAAAGGAAATATCTTCCCATAAAACCTAGACAGAACCCATCTCAGAAACGACTTTGTGATGTCTGCATTCAACTCACAGAGTTGAACATTTCTCTTGATAGAGCAGTTTTGAAACCCTCTTTCTGAAGGATCTGCAAGTGGATATTTGGAACTCCTTTGGGTCTTCGTTGGAAACGGGATTTCTTCGTATAAATCCAGACAGAAGAATTCTCCGAAACTTCTTTGGTTGTGTGCATTCAAGTCACAGAGTGGAACCTTCCTTTGGATAGAGCAGTTTGAAACGCTGTGGTTGTAGTATTTCCAAGCGGATATTAGAGCGCCTTGAAGCCTATGGTAGAAAAGGAAATATCTTCCCATAAAACCTAGACGGAAGCAATCTCAGAAACTACTGTGTGATGGCTGCATTGCACACACACGGTGGAACATTTCTCTTGATAGAGCAGTTTTGAAACACTCTTTCTGTAGAATCTGCAAGTGGATAATTGGACCGCCTTGAGGCCTTCGTTGGAAACGGGATTTCTTCATGTTACTCTAGACAGAAGAATTCTCAAACACTGCTATGTGATGTTTGCATTCAAGTCACAGAGTGCAACATTCCTCTTGATAGAGCAGTTGGGAAACACTCCTTTTGTAGAATTTGCAATGGGATATTTGGACTTCTTTGAGGCCTTCGTTGGAAACGGGATTTCTTCGTATGAATCTAGACAGAAGAATTCTCAGAAACTTCCTTGTGATGTGTGCATTCAACTCAGCGAGTGGCACCTTCCTTTGGATACAGCAGTTTTGAATCACTGTTTTTGTGCTATTTCCAAGCGGATATTTAGAGCGCCTTGAAGCCTATGCTAGAAATGGAAATATCTCCCCATAAAACCAAGACAGAAGCAATCTCAGAAACTAATGTGTGATGGCTGCATTCCACACACACGGTGGACCATTTCTCTTGATAGAGCAGTTTTGAAACACTCTTTCTGTAGAATCTGCAAGTGGATAATTGGACCTCCTAGAGGCCTTCGTTGGAAACGGGATTTCTTCATCTAAACCTACAGAGAAGAATTCTCAGTAACTTCTTCGGATGTGTGCATTCGACTCACAGAATGGAACATTCCCTTTGATAGAGCAGTTTTGAGACACCGTTTTTGTAGAATTCCCAAGTGGATATTTAGAGCACTTTGAAGTCTCTGCTAGAAAAGGAAACATCTTCATGTAAAAAGTAGATAGAATCGTTCTCAGAAAGTGCTTAGTGACGTGTGTGTTCAACTCACAGAGTTTAACGTTTCTTTTGATAGAGCGTTTCTGAAACACCCTTCTTGTAGTAGCTGCAAGTGGATATTTGGACCTATTTGAGGCCTTCTTTGGAAACGGGATTTCTTCATGTAACTCTAGATTGAAGAATTTTCAGAAACTCCTTTGTGATGTGTGCATTCAATTCAAAGAGTGAAACCTCCCTTTTCACAGAGCAGTTTTGAAACACTGTTTTTGTAGGACTTCCAAGGGGATATTTATAGCGCATTGATCCTATGGCAGAAAAAGAAACATCTTCCTATAAAAACTAGACAGAATAATTCTCAGAATCTGCTTTGCGATGTGTGCGTTCAACCCACAGAGTAAAACTTTTCTTTTGATAGAGCAGTTTTGAAACACTCTTTTTGTAGTATTTGCATGTGTATATTTAGAGCGCATTGAAGCCCACAGTAGAAAAGGAAATAACTTCACCTAAAACCTAGACAGAAGCAATCTCAGAAACTACTTTGTGATGTGTACATTCAACTCACAGAGTGGAACTTTCCTCTTTATAGAGCAGTGTTGAAACACTCTTTTTGTAGAAACTGCAAGTGGATATTTGGACCTCTTTGAGGCCTTCGTTGGAAACGGGATTTCTTCCTATAACCCTAGACAGAAGAATTTTCAGAAACCTCATTGTGATGTGTGCGTTCATCTCACAGAGTGGAGTCTTCCGTTTGATAGAGAAGTTTTGAAACCCTGTTCTTGTAGGATTTCCAAGTGGATATTTAGACCACTTTGAAGCCTATGATAGAAAAGGAAACATCTTCATGGAAAACATAGATAGAATCATTCTCAGAAACAACTTTGTGATGTGTGCGTTGAACTCACCATCTTTAACCTTTCTTTTGGTAGAGAAGTTTTGAAACACTCTCTTTGTAAAGTCTACAAGTGGATATTTTGAGCCCTTGGAGGCATTCTTTGGAAAAGGGAATGTCTTCACATAAAAGGCAGACAGAAGTGTTCTCAGAAACTGCTTTGTGATGTCTGTGTTCAACTAACAGAGTGTAACATTTCCTTTGAGAGAGCGGTTTAGTAACACTCTCTTTGTAGAATTTGGAAGTGTATACTAAGAGCGCTTTGAGGCCTATGGTAGAAAAGGAAATATCTTTCCATAAAAGCTAGACAGAAGCAATCTCAGAAACTCCTTTGTGATGTCTGCATTCAACTCACCGAGTGGAACATTCCTCTTGATAGAGCAGTTTGGAAACACTCTTTCTGTAGAATCAGCTTGTTTGTATTTGGACCTCCTTGAGGCCTTCGTTGGAAACGGGTTTTCATCTTATAAACCCAGACAGAAGAATTCTCAGAGTCTTCTTTGTGATGTGTGCTTTCAACTCACCGAGATAAAGATTTCTCTTGATAGAGCAATTTGGAAACACTCTTTTTGTAGAATTTGCAAGGGTACATTAAGAGCGCTTTCAGGCCTATGGTAGAAAAGGTAGACAGAAGCAATCTCAGAAACTACTTTGTGATGTGTGCATTCAACTCACCGAGTGCAACATTCCTCTTGATAGAGCAGTTTGGAAACATTGTTTCTGTAGAATCTGCAAGTGGATATATGGACCGCTTTGAGGCCTTCGTTGGAAACGGGATTTCTTCCTATAAACCCAGACAGAAGAATTCTCAGAGATTTCTTTGTGATGTGTGAATTCAACTCACAGTGTGGATCCTTCCTTTTGATAGAGCAGTTTTGAAACACTGTTTTTGTAGTATTTCCAAGCGGATATTTGGAACGCCTTGAAGCGTATGGTAGAAAAGGAAATATCTTCCCATAAAACCTAGACAGAACCCATCTCAGAAACGACTTTGTGATGTCTGCATTCAACTCACAGAGTTGAACATTTCTCTTGATAGAGCAGTTTTGAAACCCTCTTTCTGAAGGATCTGCAAGTGGATATTTGGAACTCCTTTGGGTCTTCGTTGGAAACGGGATTTCTTCGTATAAATCCAGACAGAAGAATTCTCCGAAACTTCTTTGGTTGTGTGCATTCAAGTCACAGAGTGGAACCTTCCTTTGGATAGAGCAGTTTGAAACGCTGTGGTTGTAGTATTTCCAAGCGGATATTAGAGCGCCTTGAAGCCTATGGTAGAAAAGGAAATATCTTCCCATAAAACCTAGACGGAAGCAATCTCAGAAACTACTGTGTGATGGCTGCATTCCACACACACGGTGGAACATTTCTCTTGATAGAGCAGTTTTGAAACACTCTTTCTGTAGAATCTGCAAGTGGATAATTGGACCGCCTTGAGGCCTTCGTTGGAAACGGGATTTCTTCATGTTACTCTAGACAGAAGAATTCTCAAACACTGCTATGTGATGTTTGCATTCAAGTCACAGAGTGCAACATTCCTCTTGATAGAGCAGTTGGGAAACACTCCTTTTGTAGAATTTGCAATGGGATATTTGGACTTCTTTGAGGCCTTCGTTGGAAACGGGATTTCTTCGTATGAATCTAGACAGAAGAATTCTCAGAAACTTCCCTTGTGATGTGTGCATTCAACTCAGCGAGTGGCACCTTCCCTTTGGATACAGCAGTTTTGAAACACTGTTTTTGTAGTATTTCCAAGCGGATATTTAGAGCGCCTTGAAGCCTATGCTAGAAATGGAAATATCTCCCCATAAAACCAAGACAGAAGCAATCTCAGAAACTAATGTGTGATGGCTGCATTCCACACACACGGTGGACCATTTCTCTGGATAGAGCAGTTTTGAAACACTCTTTCTGTAGAATCTGCAAGTGGATAATTGGACCTCCTAGAGGCCTTCGTTGGAAACGGGATTTCTTCATCTAAACCTACAGAGAAGAATTCTCAGTAACTTCTTCGGATGTGTGCATTCGACTCACAGAATGGAACATTCCCTTTGATAGAGCAGTTTTGAGACACCGTTTTTGTAGAATTCCCAAGTGGATATTTAGAGCACTTTGAAGTCTCTGCTAGAAAAGGAAACATCTTCATGTAAAAAGTAGATAGAATCGTTCTCAGAAAGTGCTTAGTGACGTGTGCGTTCAACTCACAGAGTTTAACGTTTCTTTTGATAGAGCGTTTCTGAAACACCCTTCTTGTAGTAGCTGCAAGTGGATATTTGGACCTATTTGAGGCCTTCTTTGGAAACGGGATTTCTTCATGTAACTCTAGATTGAAGAATTTTCAGAAACTCCTTTGTGATGTGTGCATTCAATTCAAAGAGTGAAACCTCCCTTTTCACAGAGCAGTTTTGAAACACTGTTTTTGTAGGATTTCCAAGGGGATATTTATAGCGCATTGAGCCTATGGCAGAAAAAGAAACATCTTCCTATAAAAACTAGACAGAATAATTCTCAGAATCTGCTTTGCGATGTGTGCGTTCAACTCACAGAGTAAAACTTTTCTTTTGATAGAGCAGTTTTGAAACACTCTTTTTGTAGTATTTGCATGTGTATATTTAGAGCGCATTGAAGCCCACAGTAGAAAAGGAAATAACTTCACCTAAAACCTAGACAGAAGCAATCTCAGAAACTACTTTGTGATGTGTACATTCAACTCACAGAGTGGAACTTTCCTCTTTATAGAGCAGTGTTGAAACACTCTTTTTGTAGAAACTGCAAGTGGATATTTGGACCTCTTTGAGGCCTTCGTTGGAAACGGGATTTCTTCCTATAACCCTAGACAGAAGAATTTTCAGAAACCTCATTGTGATGTGTGCGTTCATCTCACAGAGTGGAGTCTTCCGTTTGATAGAGAAGTTTTGAAACCCTGTTCTTGTAGGATTTCCAAGTGGATATTTAGACCACTTTGAAGCCTATGATAGAAAAGGAAACATCTTCATGGAAAACATAGATAGAATCATTCTCAGAAACAACTTTGTGATGTGTGCGTTGAACTCACCGTCTTTAACCTTTCTTTTGGTAGAGAAGTTTTGAAACACTCTCTTTGTAAAGTCTACAAGTGGATATTTTGAGCCCTTGGAGGCATTCTTTGGAAAAGGGAATGTCTTCACATAAAAGGCAGACACAAGTGTTCTCAGAAACTGCTTTGTGATGTCTGTGTTCAACTCACAGAGTTTAACATTTCCTTTGAGAGAGCGGTTTAGTAACACTCTCTTTGTAGAATTTGGAAGTGTATACTAAGAGCGCTTTGAGGCCTATGGTAGAAAAGGAAATATCTTTCCATAAAAGCTAGACAGAAGCAATCTCAGAAACTCCTTTGTGATGTCTGCATTCAACTCACCGAGTGGAACATTCCTCTTGATAGAGCAGTTTGGAAACACTCTTTCTGTAGAATCAGCTTGTTTGTATTTGGACCTCCTTGAGGCCTTCGTTGGAAACGGGTTTTCATCTTATAAACCCAGACAGAAGAATTCTCAGAGTCTTCTTTGTGATGTGTGCTTTCAACTCACCGAGATAAAGATTTCTCTTGATAGAGCAATTTGGAAACACTCTTTTTGTAGAATTTGCAAGGGTACATTGAGAGCGCTTTCAGGCCTATGGTAGAAAAGGGAATATCTTTCCATAAAAGGTAGACAGAAGCAATCTCAGAAACTACTTTGTCATGTGTGCATTCAACTCACCGAGTGCAACATTCCTCTTGACCGAGCAGTTTGGAAACATTGTTTCTGTAGAATCTGCAAGTGGATATATGGACCGCTTTGAGGCCTTCGTTGGAAACGGGATTTCTTCCTATAAACCCAGACAGAAGAATTCTCAGAGATTTCTTTGTGATGTGTGAATTCAACTCACAGTGTGGATCCCTCCTTTTGATAGAGCAGTTTTGAAACACTGTTTTTGTAGTATTTCCAAGCGGATATTTGGAACGCCTTGAAGCGTATGGTAGAAAAGGAAATATCTTCCCATAAAACCTAGACAGAACCCATCTCAGAAACGACTTTGTGATGTCTGCATTCAACTCACAGAGTTGAACATTTCTCTTGATAGAGCAGTTTTGAAACCCTCTTTCTGAAGGATCTGCAAGTGGATATTTGGAACTCCTTTGGGTCTTCGTTGGAAACGGGATTTCTTCGTATAAATCCAGACAGAAGAATTCTCCGAAACTTCTTTGGTTGTGTGCATTCAAGTCACAGAGTGGAACCTTCCTTTGGATAGAGCAGTTTGAAACGCTGTGGTTGTAGTATTTCCAAGCGGATATTAGAGCGCCTTGAAGCCTATGGTAGAAAAGGAAATATCTTCCCATAAAACCTAGACGGAAGCAATCTCAGAAACTACTGTGTGATGGCTGCATTCCACACACACGGTGGAACATTTCTCTTGATAGAGCAGTTTTGAAACACTCTTTCTGTAGAATCTGCAAGTGGATAATTGGACCGCCTTGAGGCCTTCGTTGGAAACGGGATTTCTTCATGTTACTCTAGACAGAAGAATTCTCAAACACTGCTATGTGATGTTTGCATTCAAGTCACAGAGTGCAACATTCCTCTTGATAGAGCAGTTGGGAAACACTCCTTTTGTAGAATTTGCAATGGGATATTTGGACTTCTTTGAGGCCTTCGTTGGAAACGGGATTTCTTCGTATGAATCTAGACAGAAGAATTCTCAGAAACTTCCTTGTGATGTGTGCATTCAACTCAGCGAGTGGCACCTTCCTTTGGATACAGCAGTTTTGAAACACCGTTTTTGTACTATTTCCAAGCGGATATTTAGAGCGCCTTGAAGCCTATGCTAGAAATGGAAATATCTCCCCATAAAACCAAGACAGAAGCAATCTCAGAAACTAATGTGTGATGGCTGCATTCCACACACACGGTGGACCATTTCTCTTGATAGAGCAGTTTTGAAACACTCTTTCTGTAGAATCTGCAAGTGGATAATTGGACCTCCTAGAGGCCTTCGTTGGAAACGGGATTTCTTCATCTAAACCTACAGAGAAGAATTCTCAGTAACTTCTTCGGATGTGTGCATTCGACTCACAGAATGGAACATTCCCTTTGGTAGAGCAGTTTTGAGACACCGTTTTTGTAGAATTCCCAAGTGGATATTTAGAGCACTTTGAAGTCTCTGCTAGAAAAGGAAACATCTTCATGTAAAAAGTAGATAGAATCGTTCTCAGAAAGTGCTTAGTGACGTGTGTGTTCAACTCACAGAGTTTAACGTTTCTTTTGATAGAGCGTTTCTGAAACACCCTGCTTGTAGTAGCTACAAGTGGATATTTGGACCTATTTGAGGCCTTCTTTGGAAACGGGATTTCTTCATGTAACTCTAGTTTCAAGAATTTTCAGAAACTCCTTTGTGATGTGTGCATTCAATTCAAAGAGTGAAACCTCCCTTTTCACAGAGCAGTTTTGAAACACTGTTTTTGTAGGATTTCCAAGGGGATATTTATAGCGCATTGAGCCTATGGCAGAAAAAGAAACATCTTCCTATAAAAACTAGACAGAATAATTCTCAGAATCTGCTTTGCGATGTGTGCGTTCAACTCACAGAGTAAAACTTTTCTTTTGATAGAGCAGTTTTGAAACACTCTTTTTGTAGTATTTGCATGTGTATATTTAGAGCGCATTGAAGCCCACAGTAGAAAAGGAAATAACTTCACCTAAAACCTAGACAGAAGCAATCTCAGAAACTACTTTGTGATGTGTACATTCAACTCACAGAGTGGAACTTTTCTCTTTATAGAGCAGTGTTGAAACACTCTTTTTGTAGAAACTGCAAGTGGATATTTGGACCTCTTTGAGGCCTTCGTTGGAAACGGGATTTCTTCCTATAACCCTAGACAGAAGAATTTTCAGAAACCTCATTGTGATGTGTGCGTTCATCTCACAGAGTGGAGTCTTCCGTTTGATAGAGAAGTTTTGAAACCCTGTTCTTGTAGGATTTCCAAGTGGATATTTAGACCACTTTGAAGCCTATGATAGAAAAGGAAACATCTTCATGGAAAACATAGATAGAATCATTCTCAGAAACAACTTTGTGATGTGTGCGTTGAACTCACCGTCTTTAACCTTTCTTTTGGTAGAGAAGTTTTGAAACACTCTCTTTGTAAAGTCTACAAGTGGATATTTTGAGCCCTTGGAGGCATTCTTTGGAAAAGGGAATGTCTTCACATAAAAGGCAGACAGAAGTGTTCTCAGAAACTGCTTTGTGATGTCTGTGTTCAACTCACAGAGTTTAACATTTCCTTTGAGAGAGCGGTTTAGTAACACTCTCTTTGTAGAATTTGGAAGTGTATACTAAGAGCGCTTTGAGGCCTATGGTAGAAAAGGAAATATCTTTCCATAAAAGCTAGACAGAAGCAATCTCAGAAACTCCTTTGTGATGTCTGCATTCAACTCACCGAGTGGAACATTCCTCTTGATAGAGCAGTTTGGAAACACTCTTTCTGTAGAATCAGCTTGTTTGTATTTGGACCTCCTTGAGGCCTTCGTTGGAAACGGGTTTTCATCTTATAAACCCAGACAGAAGAATTCTCAGAGTCTTCTTTGTGATGTGTGCTTTCAACTCACCGAGATAAAGATTTCTCTTGATAGAGCAATTTGGAAACACTCTTTTTGTAGAATTTGCAAGGGTACATTGAGAGCGCTTTCAGGCCTATGGTAGAAAAGGGAATATCTTTCCATAAAAGGTAGACAGAAGCAATCTCAGAAACTACTTTGTGATGTGTGCATTCAACTCACCGAGTGCAACATTCCTCTTGATAGAGCAGTTTGGAAACATTGTTTCTGTAGAATCTGCAAGTGGATATATGGACTACTTTGAGGCCTTCGTTGGAAACGGGATTTCTTCCTATAAACCCAGACAGAAGAATTCTCAGAGATTTCTTTGTGATGTGTGAATTCAACTCACAGTGTGGATCCTTCCTTTTGATAGAGCAGTTTTGAAACACTGTTTTTGTAGTATTTCCAAGCAGATATTTGGAACGCCTTGAAGCGTATGGTAGAAAAGGAAATAACTTCCCATAAAACCTAGACAGAACCCATCTCAGAAACGACTTTGTGATGTCTGCATTCAACTCACAGAGTTGAACATTTCTCTTGATAGAGCAGTTTTGAAACCCTCTTTCTGAAGGATCTGCAAGTGGATATTTGGAACTCCTTTGGGTCTTCGTTGGAAACGGGATTTCTTCGTATAAATCCAGACAGAATAATTCTCCGAAACTTCTTTGGTTGTGTGCATTCAAGTCACAGAGTGGAACCTTCCTTTGGATAGAGCAGTTTGAAACGCTGTGGTTGTAGTATTTCCAAGCGGATATTAGAGCGCCTTGAGGCCTATGGTAGAAAAGGAAATATCTTCCCATAAAACCTAGACGGAAGCAATCTCAGAAACTACTGTGTGATGGCTGCATTCCACACACACGGTGGAACATTTCTCTTGATAGAGCAGTTTTGAAACACTCTTTCTGTAGAATCTGCAAGTGGATAATTGGACCGCCTTGAGGCCTTCGTTGGAAACGGGATTTCTTCATGTTACTCTAGACAGAAGAATTCTCAAACACTGCTGTGTGATGTTTGCATGCAAGTCACAGAGTGCAACATTCCTCTTGATAGAGCAGTTGGGAAACACTCCTTTTGTAGAATTTGCAATGGGATATTTGGACTTCTTTGAGGCCTTCGTTGGAAACGGGATTTCTTCGTATGAATCTAGACAGAAGAATTCTCAGAAACTTCCTTGTGATGTGTGCATTCAACTCAGCGAGTGGCACCTTCCTTTGGATACAGCAGTTTTGAAACACTGTTTTTGTAGTATTTCCAAGCGGATATTTAGAGCGCCTTGAAGCCTATGCTAGAAATGGAAATATCTCCCCATAAAACCAAGACAGAAGCAATCTCAGAAACTAATGTGTGATGGCTGCATTCCACACACACGGTGGACCATTTCTCTTGATAGAGCAGTTTTGAAACACTCTTTCTGTAGAATCTGCAAGTGGATAATTGGACCTCCTAGAGGCCTTCGTTGGAAACGGGATTTCTTCATCTAAACCTACAGAGAAGAATTCTCAGTAACTTCTTCGGATGTGTGCATTCGACTCACAGAATGGAACATTCCCTTTGATAGAGCAGTTTTGAGACACCGTTTTTGTAGAATTCCCAAGTGGATATTTAGAGCACTTTGAAGTCTCTGCTAGAAAAGGAAACATCTTCATGTAAAAAGTAGATAGAATCGTTCTCAGAAAGTGCTTAGTGACGTGTGTGTTCAACTCACAGAGTTTATCGTTTCTTTTGATAGAGCGTTTCTGAAACACCCTTCTTGTAGTAGCTGCAAGTGGATATTTGGACCTATTTGAGGCCTTCTTTGGAAACGGGATTTCTTCATGTAACTCTAGATTGAAGAATTTTCAGAAACTCCTTTGTGATGTGTGCATTCAATACAAAGAGTGAAACCTCCCTTTTCACAGAGCAGTTTTGAAACACTGTTTTTGTAGGATTTCCAAGGGGATATTTATAGCGCATTGATCCTATGGCAGAAAAAGAAACATCTTCCTATAAAAACTAGACAGAATAATTCTCAGAATCTGCTTTGCGATGTGTGCGTTCAACTCACAGAGTAAAATTTTTCTTTTGATAGAGCAGTTTTGAAACACTCTTTTTGTAGTATTTGCATGTGTATATTTAGAGCGCATTGAAGCCCACAGTAGAAAAGGAAATAACTTCACCTAAAACCTAGACAGAAGCAATCTCAGAAACTACTTTGTGATGTGTACATTCAACTCACAGAGTGGAACTTTCCTCTTTATAGAGCAGTGTTGAAACACTCTTTTTGTAGAAACTGCAAGTGGATATTTGGACCTCTTTGAGGCCTTCGTTGGAAACGGGATTTCTTCCTATAACCCTAGACAGAAGAATTTTCAGAAACCTCATTGTGATGTGTGCGTTCATCTCACAGAGTGGAGTCTTCCGTTTGATAGAGAAGTTTTGAAACCCTGTTCTTGTAGGATTTCCAAGTGGATATTTAGACCACTTTGAAGCCTATGATAGAAAAGGAAACATCTTCATGGAAAACATAGATAGAATCATTCTCAGAAACAACTTTGTGATGTGTGCGTTGAACTCACCGTCTTTAACCTTTCTTTTGGTAGAGAAGTTTTGAAACACTCTCTTTGTAAAGTCTACGAGTGGATATTTTGAGCCCTTGGAGGCATTCTTTGGAAAAGGGAATGTCTTCACATAAAAGGCAGACAGAAGTGTTCTCAGAAACTGCTTTGTGATGTCTGTGTTCAACTCACAGAGTTTAACATTTCCTTTGAGAGAGCGGTTTAGTAACACTCTCTTTGTAGAATTTGGAAGTGTATACTAAGAGCGCTTTGAGGCCTATGGTAGAAAAGGAAATATCTTTCCATAAAAGCTAGACAGAAGCAATCTCAGAAACTCCTTAGTGATGTCTGCATTCAACTCACCGAGTGGAACATTCCTCTTGATAGAGCAGTTTGGAAACACTCTTTCTGTAGAATCAGCTTGTTTGTATTTGGACCTCCTTGAGGCCTTCGTTGGAAACGGGTTTTCATCTTATAAACCCAGACAGAAGAATTCTCAGAGTCTTCTTTGTGATGTGTGCTTTCAACTCACCGAGATAAAGATTTCTCTTGATAGAGCAATTTGGAAACACTCTTTTTGTAGAATTTGCAAGGGTACATTGAGAGCGCTTTCAGGCCTATGGTAGAAAAGGGAATATCTTTCCATAAAAGGTAGACAGAAGCAATCTCAGAAACTACTTTGTGATGTGTGCATTCAACTCACCGAGTGCAACATTCCTCTTGATAGAGCAGTTTGGAAACATTGTTTCTGTAGAATCTGCAAGTGGATATATGGACCGCTTTGAGGCCTTCGTTGGAAACGGGATTTCTTCCTATAAACCCAGACAGAAGAATTCTCAGAGATTTCTTTGTGATGTGTGAATTCAACTCACAGTGTGGATCCTTCCTTTTGATAGAGCAGTTTTGAAACACTGTTTTTGTAGTATTTCCAAGCGGATATTTGGAACGCCTTGAAGCGTAAGGTAGAAAAGGAAATATCTTCCCATAAAACCTAGACAGAACCCATCTCAGAAACGACTTTGTGATGTCTGCATTCAACTCACAGAGTTGAACATTTCTCTTGATAGAGCAGTTTTGAAACCCTCTTTCTGAAGGAGCTGCAAGTGGATATTTGGAACTCCTTTGGGTCTTCGTTGGAAACGGGATTTCTTCGTATAAATCCAGACAGAAGAATTCTCCGAAACTTCTTTGGTTGTGTGCATTCAAGTCACAGAGTGGAACCTTCCTTTGGATAGAGCAGTTTGAAACGCTGTGGTTGTAGTATTTCCAAGCGGATATTAGAGCGCCTTGAAGCCTATGGTAGAAAAGGAAATATCTTCCCATAAAACCTAGACGGAAGCAATCTCAGAAACTACTGTGTGATGGCTGCATTCCACAAACACGGTGGAACATTTCTCTTGATAGAGCAGTTTTGAAACACTCTTTCTGTAGAATCTGCAAGTGGATAATTGGACCGCCTTGAGGCCTTCGTTGGAAACGGGATTTCTTCATGTTACTCTAGACAGAAGAATTCTCAAACACTGCTATGTGATGTTTGCATTCAAGTCACAGAGTGCAACATTCCTCTTGATAGAGCAGTTGGGAAACACTCCTTTTGTAGAATTTGCAATGGGATATTTGGACTTCTTTGAGGCCTTCGTTGGAAACGGGATTTCTTCGTATGAATCTAGACAGAAGAATTCTCAGAAACTTCCTTGTGATGTGTGTATTCAACTCAGCGAGTGGCACCTTCCTTTGGATACAGCAGTTTTGAAACACTGTTTTTGTAGTATTTCCAAGCGGATATTTAGAGCGCCTTGAAGCCTATGCTAGAAATGGAAATATCTCCCCATAAAACCAAGACAGAAGCAATCTCAGAAACTAATGTGTGATGGCTGCATTCCACACACACGGTGGACCATTTCTCTTGATAGAGCAGTTTTGAAACACTCTTTCTGTAGAATCTGCAAGTGGATAATTGGACCTCCTAGAGGCCTTCGTTGGAAACGGGATTTCTTCATCTAAACCTACAGAGAAGAATTCTCAGTAACTTCTTCGGATGTGTGCATTCGACTCACAGAATGGAACATTCCCTTTGATAGAGCAGTTTTGAGACACCGTTTTTGTAGAATTCCCAAGTGGATATTTAGAGCACTTTGAAGTCTCTGCTAGAAAAGGAAACATCTTCATGTAAAAAGTAGATAGAATCGTTCTCAGAAAGTGCTTAGTGACGTGTGCGTTCAACTCACAGAGTTTAACGTTTCTTTTGATAGAGCGTTTCTGAAACACCCTTCTTGTAGTAGCTGCAAGTGGATATTTGGACCTATTTGAGGCCTTCTTTGGAAACGGGATTTCTTCATGTAACTCTAGTTTGAAGAATTTTCAGAAACTCCTTTGTGATGTGTGCATTCAATTCAAAGAGTGAAACCTCCCTTTTCACAGAGCAGTTTTGAAACACTGTTTTTGTAGGATTTCCAAGGGGATATTTATAGCGCATTGAGCCTACGGCAGAAAAAGAAACATCTTCCTATAAAAACTAGACAGAATAATTCTCAGAATCTGCTTTGCGATGTGTGCGTTCAACCCACAGAGTAAAACTTTTCTTTTGATAGAGCAGTTTTGAAACACTCTTTTTGTAGTATTTGCATGTGTATATTTAGAGCGCATTGAAGCCCACAGTAGAAAAGGAAATAACTTCACCTAAAACCTAGACAGAAGCAATCTCAGAAACTACTTTGTGATGTGTACATTCAACTCACAGAGTGGAACTTTCCTCTTTATAGAGCAGTGTTGAAACACTCTTTTTGTAGAAACTGCAAGTGGATATTTGGACCTCTTTGAGGCCTTCGTTGGAAACGGGATTTCTTCCTATAACCCTAGACAGAAGAATTTTCAGAAACCTCATTGTGATGTGTGCGTTCATCTCACAGAGTGGAGTCTTCCGTTTGATAGAGAAGCTTTGAAACCCTGTTCTTGTAGGATTTCCAAGTGGATATTTAGACCACTTTGAAGCCTATGATAGAAAAGGAAACATCTTCATGGAAAACATAGATAGAATCATTCTCAGAAACAACTTTGTGATGTGTGCGTTGAACTCACCGTCTTTAACCTTTCTTTTGGTAGAGAAGTTTTGAAACACTCTCTTTGTAAAGTCTACAAGTGGATATTTTGAGCCCTTGGAGGCATTCTTTGGAAAAGGGAATGTCTTCACATAAAAGGCAGACAGAAAGTGTTCTCAGAAACTGCTTTGTGATGTCTGTGTTCAACTCACAGAGTTTAACATTTCCTTTGAGAGAGCGGTTTAGTAACACTCTCTTTGTAGAATTTGGAAGTGTATACTAAGAGCGCTTTGAGGCCTATCGTAGAAAAGGAAATATCTTTCCATAAAAGCTAGACAGAAGCAATCTCAGAAACTCCTTTGTGATGTCTGCATTCAACTCACCGAGTGGAACATTCCTCTTGATAGAGCAGTTTGGAAACACTCTTTCTGTAGAATCAGCTTGTTTGTATTTGGACCTCCTTGAGGCCTTCGTTGGAAACGGGTTTTCATCTTATAAACCCAGACAGAAGAATTCTCAGATTCTTCTTTGTGATGTGTGCTTTCAACTCACCGAGATAAAGATTTCTCTTGATAGAGCAATTTGGAAACACTCTTTTTGTAGAATTTGCAAGGGTACATTGAGAGCGCTTTCAGGCCTATGGTAGAAAAGGGAATATCTTTCCATAAAAGGTAGACAGAAGCAATCTCAGAAACTACTTTGTGATGTGTGCATTCAACTCACCGAGTGCAACATTCCTCTTGATAGAGCAGTTTGGAAACATTGTTTCTGTAGAATCTGCAAGTGGATATATGGACCGCTTTGAGGCCTTCGTTGGAAACGGGATTTCTTCCTATAAACCCAGACAGAAGAATTCTCAGAGACTTCTTTGTGATGTGTGAATTCAACTCACAGTGTGGATCCTTCCTTTTGATAGAGCAGTTTTGAAACACTGTTTTTGTAGTATTTCCAAGCGGATATTTGGAACGCCTTGAAGCGTATGGTAGAAAAGGAAATATCTTCCCATAAAACCTAGACAGAACCCATCTCAGAAACGACTTTGTGATGTCTGCATTCAACTCACAGAGTTGAACATTTCTCTTGATAGAGCAGTTTTGAAACCCTCTTTCTGAAGGATCTGCAAGTGGATATTTGGAACTCCTTTGGGTCTTCGTTGGAAACGGGATTTCTTCGTATAAATCCAGACAGAAGAATTCTCCGAAACTTCTTTGGTTGTGTGCATTCAAGTCACAGAGTGGAACCTTCCTTTGGATAGAGCAGTTTGAAACGCTGTGGTTGTAGTATTTCCAAGCGGATATTAGAGCGCCTTGAGGCCTATGGTAGAAAAGGAAATATCTTCCCATAAAACCTAGACGGAAGCAATCTCAGAAACTACTGTGTGATGGCTGCATTCCACACACACGGTGGAACATTTCTCTTGATAGAGCAGTTTTGAAACACTCTTTCTGTAGAATCTGCAAGTGGATAATTGGACCGCCTTGAGGCCGTCGTTGGAAACGGGATTTCTTCATGTTACTCTAGACAGAAGAATTCTCAAACACTGCTATGTGATGTTTGCATTCAAGTCACAGAGTGCAACATTCCTCTTGATAGAGCAGTTGGGAAACACTCCTTTTGTAGAATTTGCAATGGGATATTTGGACTTCTTTGAGGCCTTCGTTGGAAACGGGATTTCTTCGTATGAATCTAGACAGAAGAATTCTCAGAAACTTCCTTGTGATGTGTGCATTCAACTCAGCGAGTGGCACCTTCCTTTGGATACAGCAGTTTTGAAACACTGTTTTTGTAGTATTTCCAAGCGGATATTTAGAGCGCCTTGAAGCCTATGCTAGAAATGGAAATATCTCCCCATAAAACCAAGACAGAAGCAATCTCAGAAACTAATGTGTGATGGCTGCATTCCACACACACGGTGGACCATTTCTCTTGATAGAGCAGTTTTGAAACACTCTTTCTGTAGAATCTGCAAGTGGATAATTGGACCTCCTAGAGGCCTTCGTTGGAAACGGGATTTCTTCATCTAAACCTACAGAGAAGAATTCTCAGTAACTTCTTCGGATGTGTGCATTCGACTCACAGAATGGAACATTCCCTTTGATAGAGCAGTTTTGAGACACCGTTTTTGTAGAATTCCCAAGTGGATATTTAGAGCACTTTGAAGTCTCTGCTAGAAAAGGAAACATCTTCATGTAAAAAGTAGATAGAAATCGTTCTCAGCAAAGTGCTTAGTGACGTGTGCGTTCAACTCACAGAGTTTAACGTTTCTTTTGATAGAGCGTTTCTGAAACACCCTTCTTGTAGTAGCTGCAAGTGGATATTTGGACCTATTTGAGGCCTTCTTTGGAAACGGGATTTCTTCATGTAACTCTAGTTTGAAGAATTTTCAGAAACTCCTTTGTGATGTGTGCATTCAATTCAAAGAGTGAAACCTCCCTTTTCACAGAGCAGTTTTGAAACACTGTTTTTGTAGGATTTCCAAGGGGATATTTATAGCGCATTGAGCCTATGGCAGAAAAAGAAACATCTTCCTATAAAAACTAGACAGAATAATTCTCAGAATCTGCTTTGCGATGTGTGCGTTCAACCCACAGAGTAAAACTTTTCTTTTGATAGAGCAGTTTTGAAACACTCTTTTTGTAGTATTTGCATGTGTATATTTAGAGCGCATTGAAGCCCAAAGTAGAAAAGGAAATAACTTCACCTAAAACCTAGACAGAAGCAATCTCAGAAACTACTTTGTGATGTGTACATTCAACTCACAGAGTGGAACTTTCCTCTTTATAGAGCAGTGTTGAAACACTCTTTTTGTAGAAACTGCAAGTGGATATTTGGACCTCTTTGAGGCCTTCGTTGGAAACGGGATTTCTTCCTATAACCCTAGACAGAAGAATTTTCAGAAACCTCATTGTGATGTGTGCGTTCATCTCACAGAGTGGAGTCTTCCGTTTGATAGAGAAGTTTTGAAACCCTGTTCTTGTAGGATTTCCAAGTGGATATTTAGACCACTTTGAAGCCTATGATAGAAAAGGAAACATCTTCATGGAAAACATAGATAGAATCATTCTCAGAAACAACTTTGTGATGTGTGCGTTGAACTCACCGTCTTTAACCTTTCTTTTGGTAGAGAAGTTTTGAAACACTCTCTTTGTAAAGTCTACGAGTGGATATTTTGAGCCCTTGGAGGCATTCTTTGGAAAAGGGAATGTCTTCACATAAAAGGCAGACAGAAGTGTTCTCAGAAACTGCTTTGTGATGTCTGTGTTCAACTCACAGAGTTTAACATTTCCTTTGAGAGAGCGGTTTAGTAACACTCTCTTTGTAGAATTTGGAAGTGTATACTAAGAGCGCTTTGAGGCCTATGGTAGAAAAGGAAATATCTTTCCATAAAAGCTAGACAGAAGCAATCTCAGAAACTCCTTTGTGATGTCTGCATTCAACTCACCGAGTGGAACATTCCTCTTGATAGAGCAGTTTGGAAACACTCTTTCTGTAGAATCAGCTTGTTTGTATTTGGACCTCCTTGAGGCCTTCGTTGGAAACGGGTTTTCATCTTATAAACCCAGACAGAAGAATTCTCAGAGTCTTCTTTGTGATGTGTGCTTTCAACTCACCGAGATAAAGATTTCTCTTGATAGAGCAATTTGGAAACACTCTTTTTGTAGAATTTGCAAGGGTACATTGAGAGCGCTTTCAGGCCTATGGTAGAAAAGGGAATATCTTTCCATAAAAGGTAGACAGAAGCAATCTCAGAAACTACTTTGTGATGTGTGCATTCAACTCACCGAGTGCAACATTCCTCTTGATAGAGCAGTTTGGAAACATTGTTTCTGTAGAATCTGCAAGTGGATATATGGACCGCTTTGAGGCCTTCGTTGGAAACGGGATTTCTTCCTATAAACCCAGACAGAAGAATTCTCAGAGATTTCTTTGTGATGTGTGAATTCAACTCACAGTGTGGATCCTTCCTTTTGATAGAGCAGTTTTGAAACACCGCTTTTGTAGTATTTCCAAGCGGATATTTGGAACGCCTTGAAGCGTATGGTAGAAAAGGAAATATCTTCCCATAAAACCTAGACAGAACCAATCTCAGAAACGACTTTGTGATGTCTGCATTCAACTCACAGAGTTGAACATTTCTCTTGATAGAGCAGTTTTGAAACCCTCTTTCTGAAGGATCTGCAAGTGGATATTTGGAACTCCTTTGGGTCTTCGTTGGAAACGGGATTTCTTCGTATAAATCCAGACAGAAGAATTCTCCGAAACTTCTTTGGTTGTGTGCATTCAAGTCACAGAGTGGAACCTTCCTTTGGATAGAGCAGTTTGAAACGCTGTGGTTGTAGTATTTCCAAGCGGATATTAGAGCGCCTTGAAGCCTATGGTAGAAAAGGAAATATCTTCCCATAAAACCTAGACGGAAGCAATCTCAGAAACTACTGTGTGATGGCTGCATTCCACACACACGGTGGAATATTTCTCTTGATAGAGCAGTTTTGAAACACTCTTTCTGTAGAATCTGCAAGTGGATAATTGGACCGCCTTGAGTCCTTCGTTGGAAACGGGATTTCTTCATGTTACTCTAGACAGAAGAATTCTCAAACACTGCTATGTGATGTTTGCATTCAAGTCACAGAGTGCAACATTCCTCTTGATAGAGCAGTTGGGAAACACTCCTTTTGTAGAATTTGCAATGGGATATTTGGACTTCTTTGAGGCCTTCGTTGGAAACGGGATTTCTTCGTATGAATCTAGACAGAAGAATTCTCAGAAACTTCCTTGTGATGTGTGCATTCAACTCAGCGAGTGGCACCTTCCTTTGGATACAGCAGTTTTGAAACACTGTTTTTGTAGTATTTCCAAGCGGATATTTAGAGCGCCTTGAAGCCTATGCTAGAAATGGAAATATCTCCCCATAAAACCAAGACAGAAGCAATCTCAGAAACTAATGTGTGATGGCTGCATTCCACACACACGGTGGACCATTTCTCTTGATAGAGCAGTTTTGAAACACTCTTTCTGTAGAATCTGCAAGTGGATAATTGGACCTCCTAGAGGCCTTCGTTGGAAATGGGATTTCTTCATCTAAACCTACAGAGAAGAATTCTCAGTAACTTCTTCGGATGTGTGCATTCGACTCACAGAATGGAACATTCCGTTTGATAGAGCAGTTTTGAGACACCGTTTTTGTAGAATTCCCAAGTGGATATTTAGAGCACTTTGAAGTCTCTGCTAGAAAAGGAAACACCTTCATGTAAAAAGTAGATAGAATCGTTCTCAGAAAGTGCTTAGTGACGTGTGCGTTCAACTCACAGAGTTTAACGTTTCTTTTGATAGAGCGTTTCTGAAACACCCTTCTTGTAGTAGCTGCAAGTGGATATTTGGACCTATTTGAGGCCTTCTTTGGAAACGGGATTTCTTCATGTAACTCTCGTTTGAAGAATTTTCAGAAACTCCTTTGTGATGTGTGCATTCAATTCAAAGAGTGAAACCTCCCTTTTCACAGAGCAGTTTTGAAACACTGTTTTTGTAGGATTTCCAAGGGGATATTTATAGCGCATTGAGCCTACGGCAGAAAAAGAAACATCTTCCTATAAAAACTAGACAGAATGATTCTCAGAATCTGCTTTGCGATTTGTGCGTTCAACCCACAGAGTAAAACTTTTCTTTTGATAGAGCAGTTTTGAAACACTCTTTTTGTGGTATTTGCATGTGTATATTTAGAGCGTGTTGAAGCCCACAGTAGAAAAGGAGATAACTTCACCTAAAACCTAGACAGAAGCAATCTCAGAAACTACTTTGTGATGTGTACATTCAACTCACAGAGTGGAACTTTCCTCTTTATAGAGCAGTGTTGAAACACTCTTTTTGTAGAAACTGCAAGTGGATATTTGGACCTCTTTGAGGCCTTCGTTGGAAACGGGATTTCTTCCTATAACCCTAGACAGAAGAATTTTCAGAAACCTCATTGTGATGTGTGCGTTCATCTCACAGAGTGGAGTCTTCCGTTTGATAGAGAAGTTTTGAAACCCTGTTCTTGTAGGATTTCCAAGTGGTTATTTAGACCACTTTGAAGCCTATGATAGAAAAGGAAACATCTTCATGGAAATCATAGATAGAATCATTCTCAGAAACAACTTTGTGATGTGTGCGTTGAACTCACCGTCTTTAACCTTTCTTTTGGTAGAGAAGTTTTGAAACACTCTCTTTGTAAAGTCTACAAGTGGATATTTTGAGCCCTTGGAGGCATTCTTTGGAAAAGGGAATGTCTTCACATAAAAGGCAGACAGAAGTGTTCTCAGAAACTGCTTTGTGATGTCTGTGTTCAACTCACAGAGTTTAACATTTCCTTTGAGAGAGCGGTTTAGTAACACTCTCTTTGTAGAATTTGGAAGTGTATACTAAGAGCGCTTTGAGGCCTATGGTAGAAAAGGAAATATCTTTCCATAAAAGCTAGACAGAAGCAATCTCAGAAACTCCTTTGTGATGTCTGCATTCAACTCACCGAGTGGAACATTCCTCTTGATAGAGCAGTTTGGAAACACTCTTTCTGTAGAATCAGCTTGTTTGTATTTGGACCTCCTTGAGGCCTTCGTTGGAAACGGGTTTTCATCTTATAAACCCAGACAGAAGAATTCTCAGAGTCTTCTTTGTGATGTGTGCTTTCAACTCACCGAGATAAAGATTTCTCTTGATAGAGCAATTTGGAAACACTCTTTTTGTAGAATTTGCAAGGGTACATTGAGAGCGCTTTCAGGCCTATGGTAGAAAAGGGAATATCTTTCCATAAAAGGTAGACAGAAGCAATCTCAGAAACTACTTTGTGATGTGTGCATTCAACTCACCGAGTGCAACATTCCTCTTGACCGAGCAGTTTGGAAACATTGTTTCTGTAGAATCTGCAAGTGGATATTTGGACCTCTTTGAGGCCTTCGTTGGAAACGGGATTTCTTCCTATAAACCCAGACAGAAGAATTCTCAGAGACTTCTTTGTGATGTGTGAATTCAACTCACAGTGTGGATCCTTCCTTTTGATAGAGCAGTTTTGAAACACTGTTTTTGTAGTATTTCCAAGCGGATATTTGGAACGCCTTGAAGCGTATGGTAGAAAAGGAAATATCTTCCCATAAAACCTAGACAGAACCAATCTCAGAAACGACTTTGTGATGTCTGCATTCAACTCACAGAGTTGAACATTTCTCTTGATAGAGCAGTTTTGAAACCCTCTTTCTGAAGGATCTGCAAGTGGATATTTGGAACTCCTTTGGGTCTTCGTTGGAAACGGGATTTCTTCGTATAAATCCAGACAGAAGAATTCTCCGAAACTTCTTTGGTTGTGTGCATTCAAGTCACAGAGTGGAACCTTCCTTTGGATAGAGCAGTTTGAAACGCTGTGGTTGTAGTATTTCCAAGCGGATATTAGAGCGCCTTGAAGCCTATGGTAGAAAAGGAAATATCTTCCCATAAAACCTAGACGGAAGCAATCTCAGAAACTACTGTGTGATGGCTGCATTCCACACACACGGTGGAACATTTCTCTTGATAGAGCAGTTTTGAAACACTCTTTCTGTAGAATCTGCAAGTGGATAATTGGACCGCCTTGAGGCCTTCGTTGGAAACGGGATTTCTTCATGTTACTCTAGACAGAAGAATTCTCAAACACTGCTATGTGATGTTTGCATTCAAGTCACAGAGTGCAACATTCCTCTTGATAGAGCAGTTGGGAAACACTCCTTTTGTAGAATTTGCAATGGGATATTTGGACTTCTTTGAGGCCTTCGTTGGAAACGGGATTTCTTCGTATGAATCTAGACAGAAGAATTCTCAGAAACTTCCTTGTGATGTGTGCATTCAACTCAGCGAGTGGCACCTTCCTTTGGATACAGCAGTTTTGAAACACTGTTTTTGTAGTATTTCCAAGCGGATATTTAGAGCGCCTTGAAGCCTATGCTAGAAATGGAAATATCTCCCCATAAAACCAAGACAGAAGCAATCTCAGAAACTAATGTGTGATGGCTGCATTCCACACACACGGTGGACCATTTCTCTTGATAGAGCAGTTTTGAAACACTCTTTCTGTAGAATCTGCAAGTGGATAATTGGACCTCCTAGAGGCCTTCGTTGGAAACGGGATTTCTTCATCTAAACCTACAGAGAAGAATTCTCAGTAACTTCTTCGGATGTGTGCATTCGACTCACAGAATGGAACATTCCCTTTGGTAGAGCAGTTTTGAGACACCGTTTTTGTAGAATTCCCAAGTGGATATTTAGAGCACTTTGAAGTCTCTGCTAGAAAAGGAAACATCTTCATGTAAAAAGTAGATAGAATCGTTCTCAGAAAGTGCTTAGTGACGTGTGCGTTCAACTCACAGAGTTTAACGTTTCTTTTGATAGAGCGTTTCTGAAACACCCTTCTTGTAGTAGCTGCAAGTGGATATTTGGACCTATTTGAGGCCTTCTTTGGAAACGGGATTTCTTCATGTAACTCTAGATTGAAGAATTTTCAGAAACTCCTTTGTGATGTGTGCATTCAATTCAAAGAGTGAAACCTCCCTTTTCACAGAGCAGTTTTGAAACACTGTTTTTGTAGGATTTCCAAGGGGATATTTATAGCGCATTGAGCCTATGGCAGAAAAAGAAACATCTTCCTATAAAAACTAGACAGAATAATTCTCAGAATCTGCTTTGCGATGTGTGCGTTCAACTCACAGAGTAAAACTTTTCTTTTGATAGAGCAGTTTTGAAACACTCTTTTTGTAGTATTTGCATGTGTATATTTAGAGCGCATTGAAGCCCACAGTAGAAAAGGAAATAACTTCACCTAAAACCTAGACAGAAGCAATCTCAGAAACTACTTTGTGATGTGTACATTCAACTCACAGAGTGGAACTTTTCTCTTTATAGAGCAGTGTTGAAACACTCTTTTTGTAGAAACTGCAAGTGGATATTTGGACCTCTTTGAGGCCTTCGTTGGAAACGGGATTTCTTCCTATAACCCTAGACAGAAGAATTTTCAGAAACCTCATTGTGATGTGTGCGTTCATCTCACAGAGTGGAGTCTTCCGTTTGATAGAGAAGTTTTGAAACCCTGTTCTTGTAGGATTTCCAAGTGGATATTTAGACCACTTTGAAGCCTATGATAGAAAAGGAAACATCTTCATGGAAAACATAGATAGAATCATTCTCAGAAACAACTTTGTGATGTGTGCGTTGAACTCACCGTCTTTAACCTTTCTTTTTTTAGAGAAGTTTTGAAACACTCTCTTTGTAAAGTCTACAAGTGGATATTTTGAGCCCTTGGAGGCATTCTTTGGAAAAGGGAATGTCTTCACATAAAAGGCAGACAGAAGTGTTCTCAGAAACTGCTTTGTGATGTCTGTGTTCAACTCACAGAGTTTAACATTTCCTTTGAGAGAGCGGTTTAGTAACACTCTCTTTGTAGAATTTGGAAGTGTATACTAAGAGCGCTTTGAGGCCTATGGTAGAAAAGGAAATATCTTTCCATAAAAGCTAGACAGAAGCAATCTCAGAAACTCCTTTGTGATGTCTGCATTCAACTCACCGAGTGGAACATTCCTCTTGATAGAGCAGTTTGGAAACACTCTTTCTGTAGAATCAGCTTGTTTGTATTTGGACCTCCTTGAGGCCTTCGTTGGAAACGGGTTTTCATCTTATAAACCCAGACAGAAGAATTCTCAGAGTCTTCTTTGTGATGTGTGCTTTCAACTCACCGAGATAAAGATTTCTCTTGATAGAGCAATTTGGAAACACTCTTTTTGTAGAATTTGCAAGGGTACATTGAGAGCGCTTTCAGGCCTATGGTAGAAAAGGGAATATCTTTCCATAAAAGGTAGACAGAAGCAATCTCAGAAACTACTTTGTGATGTGCGCATTCAACTCACCGAGTGCAACATTCCTCTTGATAGAGCAGTTTGGAAACATTGTTTCTGTAGAATCTGCAAGTGGATATTTGGACCTCTTTGAGGCCTTCGTTGGAAACGGGATTTCTTCCTATAAACCCAGACAGAAGAATTCTCAGAGACTTCTTTGTGATGTGTGAATTCAACTCACAGTGTGGATCCTTCCTTTTGATAGAGCAGTTTTGAAACACTGTTTTTGTAGTATTTCCAAGCGGATATTTGGAACGCCTTGAAGCGTATGGTAGAAAAGGAAATATCTTCCCATAAAACCTAGACAGAACCCATCTCAGAAACGACTTTGTGATGTCTGCATTCAACTCACAGAGTTGAACATTTCTCTTGATAGAGCAGTTTTGAAACCCTCTTTCTGAAGGATCTGCAAGTGGATATTTGGAACTCCTTTGGGTCTTCGTTGGAAACGGGATTTCTTCGTATAAATCCAGACAGAAGAATTCTCCCGAACCTTCTTTGGTTGTGTGCATTCAAGTCACAGAGTGGAACCTTCCTTTGGATAGAGCAGTTTGAAACGCTGTGGTTGTAGTATTTCCAAGCGGATATTAGAGCGCCTTGAGGCCTATGGTAGAAAAGGAAATATCTTCCCATAAAACCTAGACGGAAGCAATCTCAGAAACTACTGTGTGATGGCTGCATTCCACACACACGGTGGAACATTTCTCTTGATAGAGCAGTTTTGAAACACTCTTTCTGTAGAATCTGCAAGTGGATAATTGGACCACCTTGAGGCCTTCGTTGGAAACGGGATTTCTTCATGTTACTCTAGACAGAAGAATTCTCAAACACTGCTATGTGATGTTTGCATTCAAGTCACAGAGTGCAACATTCCTCTTGATAGAGCAGTTGGGAAACACTCCTTTTGTAGAATTTGCAATGGGATATTTGGACTTCTTTGAGGCCTTCGTTGGAAACGGGATTTCTTCGTATGAATCTAGACAGAAGAATTCTCAGAAACTTCCTTGTGATGTGTGTATTCAACTCAGCGAGTGGCACCTTCCTTTGGATACAGCAGTTTTGAAACACTGTTTTTGTAGTATTTCCAAGCGGATATTTAGAGCGCCTTGAAGCCTATGCTAGAAATGGAAATATCTCCCCATAAAACCAAGACAGAAGCAATCTCAGAAACTAATGTGTGATGGCTGCATTCCACACACACGGTGGACCATTTCTCTTGATAGAGCAGTTTTGAAACACTCTTTCTGTAGAATCTGCAAGTGGATAATTGGACCTCCTAGAGGCCTTCGTTGGAAACGGGATTTCTTCATCTAAACCTACAGAGAAGAATTCTCAGTAACTTCTTCGGATGTGTGCATTCGACTCACAGAATGGAACATTCCGTTTGATAGAGCAGTTTTGAGACACCGTTTTTGTAGAATTCCCAAGTGGATATTTAGAGCACTTTGAAGTCTCTGCTAGAAAAGGAAACATCTTCATGTAAAAAGTAGATAGAATCGTTCTCAGAAAGTGCTTAGTGACTTGTGCGTTCAACTCACAGAGTTTAACGTTTCTTTTGATAGAGCGTTTCTGAAACACCCTTCTTGTAGTAGCTGCAAGTGGATATTTGGACCTATTTGAGGCCTTCTTTGGAAACGGGATTTCTTCATGTAACTCTAGTTTGAAGAATTTTCAGAAACTCCTTTGTGATGTGTGCATTCAATTCAAAGAGTGAAACCTCCCTTTTCACAGAGCAGTTTTGAAACACTGTTTTTGTAGGATTTCCAAGGGGATATTTATAGCGCATTGAGCCTATGGCAGAAAAAGAAACATCTTCCTATAAAAACTAGACAGAATAATTCTCAGAATCTGCTTTGCGATGTGTGCGTTCAACTCACAGAGTAAAACTTTTCTTTTGATAGAGCAGTTTTGAAACACTCTTTTTGTAGTATTTGCATGTGTATATTTAGAGCGCATTGAAGCCCACAGTAGAAAAGGAAATAACTTCACCTAAAACCTAGACAGAAGCAATCTCAGAAACTACTTTGTGATGTGTACATTCAACTCACAGAGTGGAACTTTCCTCTTTATAGAGCAGTGTTGAAACACTCTTTATGTAGAAACTGCAAGTGGATATGTGGACCTCTTTGAGGCCCTCGTTGGAAACGGGATTTCTTCCTATAACCCTAGACAGAAGAATTTTCAGAAACCTCATTGTGATGTGTGCGTTCATCTCACAGAGTGGAGTCTTCCGTTTGATAGAGAAGTTTTGAAACCCTGTTCTTGTAGGATTTCCAAGTGGATATTTAGACCACTTTGAAGCCTATGATAGAAAAGGAAACATCTTCATGGGAAAACATAGATAGAATCATTCTCAGAAACAACTTTGTGATGTGTGCGTTGAACTCACCGTCTTTAACCTTTCTTTTGGTAGAGAAGTTTTGAAACACTCTCTTTGTAAAGTCTACAAGTGGATATTTTGAGCCCTTGGAGGCATTCTTTGGAAAAGGGAATGTCTTCACATAAAAGGCAGACAGAAGTGTTCTCAGAAACTGCTTTGTGATGTCTGTGTTCAACTCACAGAGTTTAACATTTCCTTTGAGAGAGCGGTTTAGTAACACTCTCTTTGTAGAATTTGGAAGTGTATACTAAGAGCGCTTTGAGGCCTATGGTAGAAAAGGAAATATCTTTCCATAAAAGCTAGACAGAAGCAATCTCAGAAACTCCTTTGTGATGTCTGCATTCAACTCACCGAGTGGAACATTCCTCTTGATAGAGCAGTTTGGAAACACTCTTTCTGTAGAATCAGCTTGTTTGTATTTGGACCTCCTTGAGGCCTTCGTTGGAAACGGGTTTTCATCTTATAAACCCAGACAGAAGAATTCTCAGAGTCTTCTTTGTGATGTGTGCTTTCAACTCACCGAGATAAAGATTTCTCTTGATAGAGCAATTTGGAAACACTCTTTTTGTAGAATTTGCAAGGGTACATTGAGAGCGCTTTCATGCCTATGGTAGAAATGGTAGACAGAAGCAATCTCAGAAACTACTTTGTGATGTGTGCATTCAACTCACCGAGTGCAACATTCCTCTTGATAGAGCAGTTTGGAAACATTGTTTCTGTAGAATCTGCAAGTGGATATATGGACCGCTTTGAGGCCTTCGTTGGAAACGGGATTTCTTCCTATAAACCCAGACAGAAGAATTCTCAGAGATTTCTTTGTGATGTGTGAATTCAACTCACAGTGTGGATCCTTCCTTTTGATAGAGCAGTTTTGAAACACTGTTTTTGTAGTATTTCCAAGCGGATATTTGGAACGCCTTGAAGCGTATGGTAGAAAAGGAAATATCTTCCCATAAAACCTAGACAGAACCCATCTCAGAAACGACTTTGTGATGTCTGCATTCAACTCACAGAGTTGAACATTTCTCTTGATAGAGCAGTTTTGAAACCCTCTTTCTGAAGGATCTGCAAGTGGATATTTGGAACTCCTTTGGGTCTTCGTTGGAAACGGGATTTCTTCGTATAAATCCAGACAGAAGAATTCTCCGAAACTTCTTTGGTTGTGTGCATTCAAGTCACAGAGTGGAACCTTCCTTTGGATAGAGCAGTTTGAAACGCTGTGGTTGTAGTATTTCCAAGCGGATATTAGAGCGCCTTGAAGCCTATGGTAGAAAAGGAAATATCTTCCCATAAAACCTAGACGGAAGCAATCTCAGAAACTACTGTGTGATGGCTGCATTCCACACACACGGTGGAACATTTCTCTTGATAGAGCAGTTTTGAAACACTCTTTCTGTAGAATCTGCAAGTGGATAATTGGACCGCCTTGAGGCCTTCGTTGGAAACGGGATTTCTTCATGTTACTCTAGACAGAAGAATTCTCAAACACTGCTATGTGATGTTTGCATTCAAGTCACAGAGTGCAACATTCCTCTTGATAGAGCAGTTGGGAAACACTCCTTTTGTAGAATTTGCAATGGGATATTTGGACTTCTTTGAGGCCTTCGTTGGAAACGGGATTTCTTCGTATGAATCTAGACAGAAGAATTCTCAGAAACTTCCTTGTGATGTGTGCATTCAACTCAGCGAGTGGCACCTTCCTTTGGATACAGCAGTTTTGAAACACTGTTTTTGTACTATTTCCAAGCGGATATTTAGAGCGCCTTGAAGCCTATGCTAGAAATGGAAATATCTCCCCATAAAACCAAGACAGAAGCAATCTCAGAAACTAATGTGTGATGGCTGCATTCCACACACACGGTGGACCATTTCTCTTGATAGAGCAGTTTTGAAACACTCTTTCTGTAGAATCTGCAAGTGGATAATTGGACCTCCTAGAGGCCTTCGTTGGAAACGGGATTTCTTCATCTAAACCTACAGAGAAGAATTCTCAGTAACTTCTTCGGATGTGTGCATTCGACTCACAGAATGGAACGTTCCCTTTGATGGAGCAGGTTTGAGACACCGTTTTTGTAGAATTCCCAAGTGGATATTTAGAGCACTTTGAAGTCTCTGCTAGAAAAGGAAACATCTTCATGTAAAAAGTAGATAGAATCGTTCTCAGAAAGTGCTTAGTGACGTGTGCGTTCAACTCACAGAGTTTAACGTTTCTTTTGATAGAGCGTTTCTGAAACACCCTGCTTGTAGTAGCTGCAAGTGGATATTTGGACCTATTTGAGGCCTTCTTTGGAAACGGGATTTCTTCATGTAACTCTAGATTGAAGAATTTTCAGAAACTCCTTTGTGAAGTGTGCATTCAATTCAAAGAGTGAAACCTCCCTTTTCACAGAGCAGTTTTGAAACACTGTTTTTGTAGGATTTCCAAGGGGATATTTATAGCGCATTGAGCCTATGGCAGAAAAAGAAACATCTTCCTATAAAAACTAGACAGAATAATTATCAGAATCTGCTTTGCGATGTGTGCGTTCAACTCACAGAGTAAAACTTTTCTTTTGATAGAGCAGTTTTGAAACACTCTTTTTGTAGTATTTGCATGTGTATATTTAGGGCGCATTGAAGCCCACAGTAGAAAAGGAAATAACTTCACCTAAAACCTAGACAGAAGCAATCTCAGAAACTACTTTGTGATGTGTACATTCAACTCACAGAGTGGAACTTTTCTCTTTATAGAGCAGTGTTGAAACACTCTTTTTGTAGAAACTGCAAGTGGATATTTGGACCTCTTTGAGGCCTTCGTTGGAAACGGGATTTCTTCCTATAACCCTAGACAGAAGAATTTTCAGAAACCTCATTGTGTTGTGTGCGTTCATCTCACAGAGTGGAGTCTTCCTTTTGATAGAGAAGTTTTGAAACCCTGTTCTTGTAGGATTTCCAAGTGGATATTTAGACCACTTTGAAGCCTATAATAGAAAAGGAAACATCTTCATGGAAAACATAGATAGAATCATTCTCAGAAACAACTTTGTGACGTGTGCATTGAACTCGCCGTCTTTAACCTTTCTTTTGGTAGAGAAGTTTTGAAACACTCTCTTTGTAAAGTCTACAAGTGGATATTTTGAGCCCTTGGAGGCATTCTTTGGAAAAGGGAATGTCTTCACGTAAAAGGCAGACAGAAGTGTTCTCAGAAACTGCTTTGTGATGTCTGTGTTCAACTCACAGAGTTTAACATTTCCTTTGAGAGAGCGGTTTAGTAACACTCTCTTTGTAGAATTTGGAAGTGTATACTAAGAGCGCTTTGAGGCCTATGGTAGAAAAGGAAATATCTTTCCATAAAAGCTAGACAGAAGCAATCTCAGAAACTCCTTTGTGATGTCTGCATTCAACTCACCGAGTGGAACATTCCTCTTGATAGAGCAGTTTGGAAACACTCTTTCTGTAGAATCAGCTTGTTTGTATTTGGACCTCCTTGAGGCCTTCGTTGGAAACGGGTTTTCATCTTATAAACCCAGACAGAAGAATTCTCAGAGTCTTCTTTGTGATGTGTGCTTTCAACTCACCGAGATAAAGATTTCTCTTGATAGAGCAATTTGGAAACACTCTTTTTGTAGAATTTGCAAGGGTACATTGAGAGCGCTTTCAGGCCTATGGTAGAAAAGGTAGACAGAAGCAATCTCAGAAACTACTTTGTGATGTGTGCATTCAACTCACCGAGTGCAACATTCCTCTTGATAGAGCAGTTTGGAAACATTGTTTCTGTAGAATCTGCAAGTGGATATATGGACCGCTTTGAGGCCTTCGTTGGAAACGGGATTTCTTCCTATAAACCCAGACAGAAGAATTCTCAGAGATTTCTTTGTGATGTGTGAATTCAACTCACAGTGTGGATCCTTCCTTTTGATAGAGCAGTTTTGAAACACTGTTTTTGTAGTATTTCCAAGCGGATATTTGGAACGCCTTGAAGCGTATGGTAGAAAAGGAAATATCTTCCCATAAAACCTAGACAGAACCCATCTCAGAAACGACTTTGTGATGTCTGCATTGAACTCACAGAGTTGAACATTTCTCTTGATAGAGCAGTTTTGAAACCCTCTTTCTGAAGGATCTGCAAGTGGATATTTGGAACTCCTTTGGGTCTTCGTTGGAAACGGGATTTCTTCGTATAAATCCAGACAGAAGAATTCTCCGAAACTTCTTTGGTTGTGTGCATTCAAGTCACAGAGTGGAACCTTCCTTTGGATAGAGCAGTTTGAAACGCTGTGGTTGTAGTATTTCCAAGCGGATATTAGAGCGCCTTGAAGCCTATGGTAGAAAAGGAAATATCTTCCCATAAAACCTAGACGGAAGCAATCTCAGAAACTACTGTGTGATGGCTGCATTCCACACACACGGTGGAACATTTCTCTTGATAGAGCAGTTTTGAAACACTCTTTCTGTAGAATCTGCAAGTGGATAATTGGACCGCCTTGAGGCCTTCGTTGGAAACGGGATTTCTTCATGTTACTCTAGACAGAAGAATTCTCAAACACTGCTATGTGATGTTTGCATTCAAGTCACAGAGTGCAACATTCCTCTTGATAGAGCAGTTGGGAAACACTCCTTTTGTAGAATTTGCAATGGGATATTTGGACTTCTTTGAGGCCTTCGTTGGAAACGGGATTTCTTCGTATGAATCTAGACAGAAGAATTCTCAGAAACTTCCTTGTGATGTGTGCATTCAACTCAGCGAGTGGCACCTTCCTTTGGATACAGCAGTTTTGAAACACTGTTTTTGTAGTATTTCCAAGCGGATATTTAGAGCGCCTTGAAGCCTACGCTAGAAATGGAAATATCTCCCCATAAAACCAAGACAGAAGCAATCTCAGAAACTAATGTGTGATGGCTGCATTCCACACACACGGTGGACCATTTCTCTTGATAGAGCAGTTTTGAAACACTCATTCTGTAGAATCTGCAACTGGGTAATTGGACCTCCTAGAGGCCTTCATTGGAAACGGGATTTCTTCATCTAAACCTACAGAGAAGAATTCTCAGTAACTTCTTCGGATGTGTGCATTCGACTCACAGAATGGAACATTCCCTTTGATAGAGCAGTTTTGAGATACCGTTTTTGTAGAATTCCCAAGTGGATATTTAGAGCACTTTGAAGTCTCTGCTAGAAAAGGAAACATCTTCATGTAAAAAGTAGATAGAATCGTTCTCAGAAAGTGCTTAGTGACGTGTGTGTTCAACTCACAGAGTTTAACGTTTCTTTTGATAGAGCGTTTCTGAAACACCCTTCTTGTAGTAGCTGCAAGTGGATATTTGGACCTATTTGAGGCCTTCTTTGGAAACGGGATTTCTTCATGTAACTCTAGTTTGAAGAATTTTCAGAAACTCCTTTGTGATGTGTGCATTCAATTCAAAGAGTGAAACCTCCCTTTTCACAGAGCAGTTTTGAAACACTGTTTTTGTAGGATTTCCAAGGGGATATATATAGCGCATTGAGCCTACGGCAGAAAAAGAAACATCTTCCTATAAAAACTAGACAGAATAATTCTCAGAATCTGCTTTGCGATGTGTGCGTTCAACTCACAGAGTAAAACTTTTCTTTTGATAGAGCAGTTTTGAAACACTCTTTTTGTAGTATTTGCATGTGTATATTTAGAGCGCATTGAAGCCCACAGTAGAAAAGGAAATAACTTCACCTAAAACCTAGACAGAAGCAATCTCAGAAACTACTTTGTGATGTGTACATTCAACTCACAGAGTGGAACTTTCCTCTTTATAGAGCAGTGTTGAAACACTCTTTTTGTAGAAACTGCAAGTGGATATTTGGACCTCTTTGAGGCCTTCGTTGGAAACGGGATTTCTTCCTATAACCCTAGACAGAAGAATTTTCAGAAACCTCATTGTGATGTGTGCGTTCATCTCACAGAGTGGAGTCTTCCGTTTGATAGAGAAGTTTTGAAACCCTGTTCTTGTAGGATTTCCAAGTGGATATTTAGACCACTTTGAAGCCTATGATAGAAAAGGAAACATCTTCATGGAAAACATAGATAGAATCATTCTCAGAAACAACTTTGTGATGTGTGCGTTGAACTCACCGTCTTTAACCTTTCTTTTGGTAGAGAAGTTTTGAAACACTCTCTTTGTAAAGTCTACAAGTGGATATTTTGAGCCCTTGGAGGCATTCTTTGGAAAAGGGAATGTCTTCACATAAAAGGCAGACAGAAGTGTTCTCAGAAACTGCTTTGTGATGTCTGTGTTCAACTCACAGAGTTTAACATTTCCTTTGAGAGAGCGGTTTAGTAACACTCTCTTTGTAGAATTTGGAAGTGTATACTAAGAGCGCTTTGAGGCCTATGGTAGAAAAGGAAATATCTTTCCATAAAAGCTAGACAGAAGCAATCTCAGAAACTCCTTTGTGATGTCTGCATTCAACTCACCGAGTGGAACATTCCTCTTGATAGAGCAGTTTGGAAACACTCTTTCTGTAGAATCAGCTTGTTTGTATTTGGACCTCCTTGAGGCCTTCGTTGGAAACGGGTTTTCATCTTATAAACCCAGACAGAAGAATTCTCAGAGTCTTCTTTGTGATGTGTGCTTTCAACTCACCGAGATAAAGATTTCTCTTGATAGAGCAATTTGGAAACACTCTTTTTGTAGAATTTGCAAGGGTACATTGAGAGCGCTTTCAGGCCTATGGTAGAAAAGGGAATATCTTTCCATAAAAGGTAGACAGAAGCAATCTCAGAAACTACTTTGTGATGTGTGCATTCAACTCACCGAGTGCAACATTCCTCTTGATAGAGCAGTTTGGAAACATTGTTTCTGTAGAATCTGCAAGTGGATATATGGACCGCTTTGAGGCCTTCGTTGGAAACGGGATTTCTTCCTATAAACCCAGACAGAAGAATTCTCAGAGATTTCTTTGTGATGTGTGAATTCAACTCACAGTGTGGATACTTCCTTTTGATAGAGCAGTTTGGAAACACCGTTTTTGTAGTATTTCCAAGCGGATATTTGGAACGCCTTGAAGCGTATGGTAGAAAAGGAAATATCTTCCCATAAAACCTAGACAGAACCCATCTCAGAAACGACTTTGTGATGTCTGCATTCAACTCGCAGAGTTGAACATTTGTCTTGATAGAGCAGTTTTGAAACCCTCTTTCTGAAGGATCTGCAAGTGGATATTTGGAACTCCTTTGGGTCTTCGTTGGAAACGGGATTTCTTCGTATAAATCCAGACAGAAGAATTCTCCGAAACTTCTTTGGTTGTGTGCATTCAAGTCACAGAGTGGAACCTTCCTTTGGATAGAGCAGTTTGAAACGCTGTGGTTGTAGTATTTCCAAGCGGATATTAGAGCGCCTTGAGGCCTATGGTAGAAAAGGAAATATCTTCCCATAAAACCTAGACGGAAGCAATCTCAGAAACTACTGTGTGATGGCTGCATTCCACACACACGGTGGAACATTTCTCTTGATAGAGCAGTTTTGAAACACTCTTTCTGTAGAATCTGCAAGTGGATAATTGGACCGCCTTGAGGCCTTCGTTGGAAACGGGATTTCTTCATGTTACTCTAGACAGAAGAATTCTCAAACACTGCTATGTGATGTTTGCATTCAAGTCACAGAGTGCAACATTCCTCTTGATAGAGCAGTTGGGAAACACTCCTTTTGTAGAATTTGCAATGGGATATTTGGACTTCTTTGAGGCCTTCGTTGGAAACGGGATTTCTTCGTATGAATCTAGACAGAAGAATTCTCAGAAACTTCCTTGTGATGTGTGCATTCAACTCAGCGAGTGGCACCTTCCTTTGGATACAGCAGTTTTGAAACACTGTTTTTGTAGTATTTCCAAGCGGATATTTAGAGCGCCTTGAAGCCTATGCTAGAAATGGAAATATCTCCCCATAAAACCAAGACAGAAGCAATCTCAGAAACTAATGTTTGATGGCTGCATTCCACACACACGGTGGACCATTTCTCTTGATAGAGCAGTTTTGAAACACTCTTTCTGTAGAATCTGCAAGTGGATAATTGGACCTCCTAGAGGCCTTCGTTGGAAACGGGATTTCTTCATCTAAACCTACAGAGAAGAATTCTCAGTAACTTCTTCGGATGTGTGCATTCGACACACAGAATGGAACATTCCGTTTGATAGAGCAGTTTTGAGACACTGTTTTTGTAGAATTCCCAAGTGGATATTTAGAGCACTTTGAAGTCTCTGCTAGAAAAGGAAACATCTTCATGTAAAAAGTAGATAGAATCGTTCTCAGAAAGTGCTTAGTGACGTGTGCGTTCAACTCACAGAGTTTAACGTTTCTTTTGATAGAGCGTTTCTGAAACACCCTTCTTGTAGTAGCTGCAAGTGGATATTTGGACCTATTTGAGGCCTTCTTTGGAAACGGGATTTCTTCATGTAACTCTAGTTTGAAGAATTTTCAGAAACTCCTTTGTGATGTGTGCATTCAATTCAAAGAGTGAAACCTCCCTTTTCACAGAGCAGTTTTGAAACACTGTTTTTGTAGGATTTCCAAGGGGATATTTTATAGCGCATTGAGCCTACGGCAGAAAAAGAAACATCTTCCTATAAAAACTAGACAGAATAATTCTCAGAATCTGCTTTGCGATGTGTGCGTTCAACCCACAGAGTAAAACTTTTCTTTTGATAGAGCAGTTTTGAAACACTCTTTTTGTAGTATTTGCATGTGTATATTTAGAGCGCATTGAAGCCCACAGTAGAAAAGGAAATAACTTCACCTAAAACCTAGACAGAAGCAATCTCAGAAACTACTTTGTGATGTGTACATTCAACTCACAGAGTGGAACTTTCCTCTTTATAGAGCAGTGTTGAAACACTCTTTTTGTAGAAACTGCAAGTGGATATTTGGACCTCTTTGAGGCCTTCGTTGGAAACGGGATTTCTTCCTATAACCCTAGACAGAAGAATTTTCAGAAACCTCATTGTGATGTGTGCGTTCATCTCACAGAGTGGAGTCTTCCGTTTGATAGAGAAGTTTTGAAACCCTGTTCTTGTAGGATTTCCAAGTGGATATTTAGACCACTTTGAAGCCTATGATAGAAAAGGAAACATCTTCATGGAAAACATAGATAGAATCATTCTCAGAAACAACTTTGTGATGTGTGCGTTGAACTCACCGTCTTTAACCTTTCTTTTGGTAGAGAAGTTTTGAAACACTCTCTTTGTAAAGTCTACAAGTGGATATTTTGAGCCCTTGGAGGCATTCTTTGGAAAAGGGAATGTCTTCACATAAAAGGCAGACAGAAGTGTTCTCAGAAACTGCTTTGTGATGTCTGTGTTCAACTCACAGAGTTTAACATTTCCTTTGAGAGAGCGGTTTAGTAACACTCTCTTTGTAGAATTTGGAAGTGTATACTAAGAGCGCTTTGAGGCCTATGGTAGAAAAGGAATTATCTTTCCATAAAAGCTAGACAGAAGCAATCTCAGAAACTCCTTTGTGATGTCTGCATTCAACTCACCGAGTGGAACATTCCTCTTGAAAGAGCAGTTTGGAAACACTCTTTCTGTAGAATCAGCTTGTTTGTATTTGGACCTCCTTGAGGCCTTCATTGGAAACGGGTTTTCATCTTATAAACCCAGACAGAAGAATTCTCAGAGTCTTCTTTGTGATGTGTGCTTTCAACTCACCGAGATAAAGATTTCTCTTGATAGAGCAATTTGGAAACACTCTTTTTGTAGAATTTGCAAGGGTACATTGAGAGCGCTTTCAGGCCTATGGTAGAAAAGGGAATATCTTTCCATAAAAGGTAGACAGAAGCAATCTCAGAAACTACTTTGTGATGTGTGCATTCAACTCACCGAGTGCAACATTCCTCTTGACCGAGCAGTTTGGAAACATTGTTTCTGTAGAATCTGCAAGTGGATATTTGGACCTCTTTGAGGCCTTCGTTGGAAACGGGATTTCTTCCTATAAACCGAGACAGAAGAATTCTCAGAGACTTCTTTGTGATGTGTGAATTCAACTCACAGTGTGGATCCTTCCTTTTGATAGAGCAGTTTTGAAACACTGTTTTTGTAGTATTTCCAAGCGGATATTTGGAACGCCTTGAAGCGTATGGTAGAAAAGGAAATATCTTCCCATAAAACCTAGACAGAACCAATCTCAGAAACGACTTTGTGATGTCTGCATTCAACTCACAGAGTTGAACATTTCTCTTGATAGAGCAGTTTTGAAACCCTCTTTCTGAAGGATCTGCAAGTGGATATTTGGAACTCCTTTGGGTCTTCGTTGGAAACGGGATTTCTTCGTATAAATCCAGACAGAAGAATTCTCCGAAACTTCTTTGGTTGTGTGCATTCAAGTCACAGAGTGGAACCTTCCTTTGGATAGAGCAGTTTGAAACGCTGTGGTTGTAGTATTTCCAAGCGGATATTAGAGAGCCTTGAAGCCTATGGTAGAAAAGGAAATATCTTCCCATAAAACCTAGACGGAAGCAATCTCAGAAACTACTGTGTGATGGCTGCATTCCACACACACGGTGGAACATTTCTCTTGATAGAGCAGTTTTGAAACACTCTTTCTGTAGAATCTGCAAGTGGATAATTGGACCGCCTTGAGGCCTTCGTTGGAAACGGGATTTCTTCATGTTACTCTAGACAGAAGAATTCTCAAACACTGCTATGTGATGTTTGCATTCAAGTCACAGAGTGCAACATTCCTCTTGATAGAGCAGTTGGGAAACACTCCTTTTGTAGAATTTGCAATGGGATATTTGGACTTCTTTGAGGCCTTCGTTGGAAACGGGATTTCTTCGTATGAATCTAGACAGAAGAATTCTCAGAAACTTCCTTGTGATGTGTGCATTCAACTCAGCGAGTGGCACCTTCCTTTGGATACAGCAGTTTTGAAACACTGTTTTTGTAGTATTTCCAAGCGGATATTTAGAGCGCCTTGAAGCCTATGCTAGAAATGGAAATATCTCCCCATAAAACCAAGACAGAAGCAATCTCAGAAACTAATGTGTGATGGCTGCATTCCACACACACGGTGGACCATTTCTCTTGATAGAGCAGTTTTGAAACACTCTTTCTGTAGAATCTGCAAGTGGATAATTGGAACTCCTAGAGGCCTTCTTTGGAAATGGGATTTCTTCATCTAAACCTACAGAGAAGAATTCTCAGTAACTTCTTCGGATGTGTGCATTCGACTCACAGAATGGAACATTCCGTTTGATAGAGCAGTTTTGAGACACCGTTTTTGTAGAATTCCCAAGTGGATATTTAGAGCACTTTGAAGTCTCTGCTAGAAAAGGAAACATCTTCATGTAAAAAGTAGATAGAATCGTTCTCAGAAAGTGCTTAGTGACGTGTGCGTTCAACTCACAGAGTTTAACGTTTCTTTTGATAGAGCGTTTCTGAAACACCCTTCTTGTAGTAGCTGCAAGTGGATATTTGGACCTATTTGAGGCCTTCTTTGGAAACGGGATTTCTTCATGTAACTCTAGTTTGAAGGACTTTCAGAAACTCCTTTGTGATGCGTGCATTCAATTCAAAGAGTGAAACCTCCCTTTTCACAGAGCAGTTTTGAAACACTGTTTTTGTAGGATTTCCAAGGGGATATTTATAGCGCATTGAGCCTACGGCAGAAAAAGAAACATCTTCCTATAAAAACTAGACAGAATAATTCTCAGAATCTGCTTTGCGATGTGTGCGTTCAACCCACAGAGTAAAACTTTTCTTTTGATAGAGCAGTTTTGAAACACTCTTTTTGTAGTATTTGCATGTGTATATTTAGAGCGCATTGAAGCCCACAGTAGAAAAGGAAATAACTTCACCTAAAACCTAGACAGAAGCAATCTCAGAAACTACTTTGTGATGTGTACATTCAACTCACAGAGTGGAACTTTCCTCTTTATAGAGCAGTGTTGAAACACTCTTTTTGTAGAAACTGCAAGTGGATATTTGGACCTCTTTGAGGCCTTCGTTGGAAACGGGATTTCTTCCTATAACCCTAGACAGAAGAATTTTCAGAAACCTCATTGTGATGTGTGCGTTCATCTCACAGAGTGGAGTCTTCCGTTTGATAGAGAAGTTTTGAAACCCTGTTCTTGTAGGATTTCCAAGTGGATATTTAGACCACTTTGAAGCCTATGATAGAAAAGGAAACATCTTCATGGAAAACATAGATAGAATCATTCTCAGAAACAACTTTGTGATGTGTGCGTTGAACTCACCGTCTTTAACCTTTCTTTTGGTAGAGAAGTTTTGAAACACTCTCTTTGTAAAGTCTACAAGTGGATATTTTGAGCCCTTGGAGGCATTCTTTGGAAAAGGGAATGTCTTCACATAAAAGGCAGACAGAAGTGTTCTCAGAAACTGCTTTGTGATGTCTGTGTTCAACTCACAGAGTTTAACATTTCCTTTGAGAGAGCGGTTTAGTAACACTCTCTTTGTAGAATTTGGAAGTGTATACTAAGAGCGCTTTGAGGCCTATGGTAGAAAAGGAAATATCTTTCCATAAAAGCTAGACAGAAGCAATCTCAGAAACTCCTTTGTGATGTCTGCATTCAACTCACCGAGTGGAACATTCCTCTTGATAGAGCAGTTTGGAAACACTCTTTCTGTAGAATCAGCTTGTTTGTATTTGGACCTCCTTGAGGCCTTCGTTGGAAACGGGTTTTCATCTTATAAACCCAGACAGAAGAATTCTCAGAGTCTTCTTTGTGATGTGTGCTTTCAACTCACCGAGATAAAGATTTCTCTTGATAGAGCAATTTGGAAACACTCTTTTTGTAGAATTTGCAAGGGTACATTGAGAGCGCTTTCAGGCCTATGGTAGAAAAGGGAATATCTTTCCATAAAAGGTAGACAGAAGCAATCTCAGAAACTACTTTGTGATGTGTGCATTCAACTCACCGAGTGCAACATTCCTCTTGACCGAGCAGTTTGGAAACATTGTTTCTGTAGAATCTGCAAGTGGATATATGGACCGCTTTGAGGCCTTCGTTGGAAACGGGATTTCTTCCTATAAACCCAGACAGAAGAATTCTCAGAGATTTCTTTGTGATGTGTGAATTCAACTCACAGTGTGGATCCTTCCTTTTGATAGAGCAGTTTTGAAACACTGTTTTTTTTGTATTTCCAAGCGGATATTTGCAACGCCTTGAAGCGTATGGTAGAAAAGGAAATATCTTCCCATAAAACCTAGACAGAACCCATCTCAGAAACGACTTTGTGATGTCTGCATTCAACTCACAGAGTTGAACATTTCTCTTGATAGAGCAGTTTTGAAACCCTCTTTCTGAAGGATCTGCAAGTGGATATTTGGAACTCCTTTGGGTCTTCGTTGGAAACGGGATTTCTTCGTATAAATCCAGACAGAAGAATTCTCCGAAACTTCTTTGGTTGTGTGCATTCAAGTCACAGAGTGGAACCTTCCTTTGGATAGAGCAGTTTGAAACGCTGTGGTTGTAGTATTTCCAAGCGGATATTAGAGCGCCTTGAAGCCTATGGTAGAAAAGGAAATATCTTCCCATAAAACCTAGACGGAAGCAATCTCAGAAACTACTGTGTGATGGCTGCATTCCACACACACGGTGGAACATTTCTCTTGATAGAGCAGTTTTGAAACACTCTTTCTGTAGAATCTGCAAGTGGATAATTGGACCGCCTTGAGGCCTTCGTTGGAAACGGGATTTCTTCATGTTACTCTAGACAGAAGAATTCTCAAACACTGCTATGTGATGTTTGCATTCAAGTCACAGAGTGCAACATTCCTCTTGATAGAGCAGTTGGGAAACACTCCTTTTGTAGAATTTGCAATGGGATATTTGGACTTCTTTGAGGCCTTCGTTGGAAACGGGATTTCTTCGTATGAATCTAGACAGAAGAATTCTCAGAAACTTCCTTGTGATGTGTGCATTCAACTCAGCGAGTGGCACCTTCCTTTGGATACAGCAGTTTTGAAACACTGTTTTTGTACTATTTCCAAGCGGATATTTAGAGCGCCTTGAAGCCTATGCTAGAAATGGAAATATCTCCCCATAAAACCAAGACAGAAGCAATCTCAGAAACTTATGTGTGATGGCTGCATTCCACACACACGGTGGACCATTTCTCTTGATAGAGCAGTTTTGAAACACTCTTTCTGTAGAATCTGCAAGTGGATAATTGGACCTCCTAGAGGCCTTCGTTGGAAACGGGATTTCTTCATCTAAACCTACAGAGAAGAATTCTCAGTAACTTCTTCGGATGTGTGCATTCGACTCACAGAATGGAACATTCCCTTTGGTAGAGCAGTTTTGAGACACCGTTTTTGTAGAATTCCCAAGTGGATATTTAGAGCACTTTGAAGTCTCTGCTAGAAAAGGAAACATCTTCATGTAAAAAGTAGATAGAATCGTTCTCAGAAAGTGCTTAGTGACGTGTGCGTTCAACTCACAGAGTTTAACGTTTCTTTTGATAGAGCGTTTCTGAAACACCCTTCTTGTAGTAGCTGCAAGTGGATATTTGGACCTATTTGAGGCCTTCTTTGGAAACGGGATTTCTTCATGTAACTCTAGATTGAAGAATTTTCAGAAACTCCTTTGTGATGTGTGCATTCAATTCAAAGAGTGAAACCTCCCTTTTCACAGAGCAGTTTTGAAACACTGTTTTTGTAGGATTTCCAAGGGGATATTTATAGCGCATTGAGCCTATGGCAGAAAAAGAAACATCTTCCTATAAAAACTAGACAGAATAATTCTCAGAATCTGCTTTGCGATGTGTGCGTTCAACTCACAGAGTAAAACTTTTCTTTTGATAGAGCAGTTTTGAAACACTCTTTTTGTAGTATTTGCATGTGTATATTTAGAGCGCATTGAAGCCCACAGTAGAAAAGGAAATAACTTCACCTAAAACCTAGACAGAAGCAATCTCAGAAACTACTTTGTGATGTGTACATTCAACTCACAGAGTGGAACTTTTCTCTTTATAGAGCAGTGTTGAAACACTCTTTTTGTAGAAACTGCAAGTGGATATTTGGACCAGCTTTGAGGCCTTCGTTGGAAACGGGATTTCTTCCTATAACCCTAGACAGAAGAATTTTCAGAAACCTCATTGTGATGTGTGCGTTCATCTCACAGAGTGGAGTCTTCCGTTTGATAGAGAAGTTTTGAAACCCTGTTCTTGTAGGATTTCCAAGTGGATATTTAGACCACTTTGAAGCCTATGATAGAAAAGGAAACATCTTCATGGAAAACATAGATAGAATCATTCTCAGAAACAACTTTGTGATGTGTGCGTTGAACTCACCGTCTTTAACCTTTCTTTTGGTAGAGAAGTTTTGAAACACTCTCTTTGTAAAGTCTACAAGTGGATATTTTGAGCCCTTGGAGGCATTCTTTGGAAAAGGGAATGTCTTCACATAAAAGGCAGACAGAAGTGTTCTCAGAAACTGCTTTGTGATGTCTGTGTTCAACTCACAGAGTTTAACATTTCCTTTGAGAGAGCGGTTTAGTAACACTCTCTTTGTAGAATTTGGAAGTGTATACTAAGAGCGCTTTGAGGCCTATGGTAGAAAAGGAAATATCTTTCCATAAAAGCTAGACAGAAGCAATCCCAGAAACTCCTTTGTGATGTCTGCATTCAACTCACCGAGTGGAACATTCCTCTTGATAGAGCAGTTTGGAAACACTCTTTCTGTAGAATCAGCTTGTTTGTATTTGGACCTCCTTGAGGCCTTCGTTGGAAACGGGTTTTCATCTTATAAACCCAGACAGAAGAATTCTCAGAGTCTTCTTTGTGATGTGTGCTTTCAACTCACCGAGATAAAGATTTCTCTTGATAGAGCAATTTGGAAACACTCTTTTTGTAGAATTTGCAAGGGTACATTGAGAGCGCTTTCAGGCCTATGGTAGAAAAGGGAATATCTTTCCATAAAAGGTAGACAGAAGCAATCTCAGAAACTACTTTGTGATGTGTGCATTCAACTCACCGAGTGCAACATTCCTCTTGACCGAGCAGTTTGGAAACATTGTTTCTGTAGAATCTGCAAGTGGATATTTGGACCTCTTTGAGGCCTTCGTTGGAAACGGGATTTCTTCCTATAAACCCAGACAGAAGAATTCTCAGAGACTTCTTTGTGATGTGTGAATTCAACTCACAGTGTGGATCCTTCCTTTTGATAGAGCAGTTTTGAAACACTGTTTTTGTAGTATTTCCAAGCGGATATTTGGAACGCCTTGAAGCGTATGGTAGAAAAGGAAATATCTTCCCATAAAACCTAGACAGAACCAATCTCAGAAACGACTTTGTGATGTCTGCATTCAACTCACAGAGTTGAACATTTCTCTTGATAGAGCAGTTTTGAAACCCTCTTTCTGAAGGATCTGCAAGTGGATATTTGGAACTCCTTTGGGTCTTCGTTGGAAACGGGATTTCTTCGTATAAATACTAGACAGAAGAATTCTCCGAAACTTCTTTGGTTCTGTGCATTCAAGTCACAGAGTGGAACCTTCCTTTGGATAGAGCAGTTTGAAACGCTGTGGTTGTAGTATTTCCAAGCGGATATTAGAGCGCCTTGAAGCCTATGGTAGAAAAGGAAATATCTTCCCATAAAACCTAGACGGAAAGCAATCTCAGAAACTACTGTGTGATGGCTGCATTCCACACACACGGTGGAACATTTCTCTTGATAGAGCAGTTTTGAAACACTCTTTCTGTAGAATCTGCAAGTGGATAATTGGACCGCCTTGAGGCCTTCGTTGGAAACGGGATTTCTTCATGTTACTCTAGACAGAAGAATTCTCAAACACTGCTATGTGATGTTTGCATTCAAGTCACAGAGTGCAACATTCCTCTTGATAGAGCAGTTGGGAAACACTCCTTTTGTAGAATTTGCAATGGGATATTTGGACTTCTTTGAGGCCTTCGTTGGAAACGGGATTTCTTCGTATGAATCTAGACAGAAGAATTCTCAGAAACTTCCTTGTGATGTGTGCATTCAACTCAGCGAGTGGCACCTTCCTTTGGATACAGCAGTTTTGAAACACTGTTTTTGTAGTATTTCCAAGCGGATATTTAGAGCGCCTTGAAGCCTATGCTAGAAATGGAAATATCTCCCCATAAAACCAAGACAGAAGCAATCTCAGAAACTAATGTGTGATGGCTGCATTCCACACACACGGTGGACCATTTCTCTTGATAGAGCAGTTTTGAAACACTCTTTCTGTAGAATCTGCAAGTGGATAATTGGACCTCCTAGAGGCCTTCGTTGGAAACGGGATTTCTTCATCTAAACCTACAGAGAAGAATTCTCAGTAACTTCTTCGGATGTGTGCATTCGACTCACAGAATGGAACATTCCCTTTGATAGAGCAGTTTTGAGACACCGTTTTTGTAGAATTCCCAAGTGGATATTTAGAGCACTTTGAAGTCTCTGCTAGAAAAGGAAACATCTTCATGTAAAAAGTAGATAGAATCGTTCTCAGAAAGTGCTTAGTGACGTGTGTGTTCAACTCACAGAGTTTAACGTTTCTTTTGATAGAGTGTTTCTGAAACACCCTTCTTGTAGTAGCTGCAAGTGGATATTTGGACCTATTTGAGGCCTTCTTTGGAAACGGGATTTCTTCATGTAACTCTAGATTGAAGAATTTTCAGAAACTCCTTTGTGATGTGTGCATTCAATTCAAAGAGTGAAACGTCCCTTTTCACAGAGCAGTTTTGAAACACTGTTTTTGTAGGATTTCCAAGGGGATATTTATAGCGCATTGATCCTACGGCAGAAAAAGAAACATCTTCCTATAAAAACTAGACAGAATAATTCTCAGAATCTGGTTTGCCATGTGTGCGTTCAACTCACAGAGTAAAACATTTCTTTTGATAGAGCAGTCTTGAAACACTCTTTTTGTAGTATTTGCATGTGTATATTTAGAGCGCATTGAAGCCCACAGTAGAAAAGGAAATAACTTCACCTAAAACCTAGACAGAAGCAATCTCAGAAACTACTTTGTGATGTGTACATTCAACTCACAGAGTGGAACTTTCCTCTTTATAGAGCAGTGTTGAAACACTCTTTTTGTAGAAACTGCAAGTGGATATGTGGACCTCTTTGAGGCCCTCGTTGGAAACGGGATTTCTTCCTATAACCCTAGACAGAAGAATTTTCAGAAACCTCATTGTGATGTGTGCGTTCATCTCACAGAGTGGAGTCTTCCGTTTGATAGAGAAGTTTTGAAACCCTGTTCTTGTAGGATTTCCAAGTGGATATTTAGACCACTTTGAAGCCTATGATAGAAAAGGAAACATCTTCATGGAAAACATAGATAGAATCATTCTCAGAAACAACTTTGTGATGTGTGCGTTGAACTCGCCGTCTTTAACCTTTCTTTTGGTAGAGAAGTTTTGAAACACTCTCTTTGTAAAGTCTACAAGTGGATATTTTGAGCCCTTGGAGGCATTCTTTGGAAAAGGGAATGTCTTCACGTAAAAGGCAGACAGAAGTGTTCTCAGAAACTGCTTTGTGATGTCTGTGTTCAACTCACAGAGTTTAACATTTCCTGTGATAGAGCGGTTTAGTAACCCTCTCTTTGTAGAATTTGGAAGTGTATACTAGGAGCGCTTTGAGGCCTATGGTAGAAAAGGAAATATCTTTCCATAAAAGCTAGACACAAGCAATCTCAGAAACTCCTTTGTGATGTGTGCATTCAACTCACCGAGTGGAACATTCCTCTTGATAGAGCAGTTTGGAAACACTCTTTCTGTAGAATCAGCTTGTTTGTATTTGGACCTCCTTGAGGCCTTCGTTGGAAACGGGTTTTCATCTTATAAACCCAGACAGAAGAATTCTCAGAGTCTTCTTTGTGATGTGTGCTTTCAACTCACCGAGATAAAGATTTCTCTTCATAGAGCAATTTGGAAACACTCTTTTTGTAGAATTTGCAAGGGTACATTGAGAGCGCTTTCAGGCCTATGGTAGAAAAGGGAATATCTTTCCATAAAAGGTAGACAGAAGCAATCTCAGAAACTACTTTGTGATGTGTGCATTCAACTCACCGAGTGCAACATTCCTCTTGACCGAGCAGTTTGGAGACATTGTTTCTGTAGAATCTGCAAGTGGATATTTGGACCTCTTTGAGGCCTTCGTTGGAAACGGGATTTCTTCCTATAAACCCAGACAGAAGAATTCTCAGAGACTTCTTTGTGATGTGTGAATTCAACTCACAGTGTGGATCCTTCCTTTTGATAGAGCAGTTTTGAAACACTGTTTTTGTAGTATTTCCAAGCGGATATTTGGAACGCCTTGAAGCGTATGGTAGAAAAGGAAATATCTTCCCATAAAACCTAGACAGAACCAATCTCAGAAACGACTTTGTGATGTCTGCATTCAACTCACAGAGTTGAACATTTCTCTTGATAGAGCAGTTTTGAAACCCTCTTTCTGAAGGATCTGCAAGTGGATATTTGGAACTCCTTTGGGTCTTCGTTGGAAACGGGATTTCTTCGTATAAATCTAGACAGAAGAATTCTCCGAAACTTCTTTGGTTGTGTGCATTCAAGTCACAGAGTGGAACCTTCCTTTGGATAGAGCAGTTTGAAACGCTGTGGTTGTAGTATTTCCAAGCGGATATTAGAGCGCCTTGAGGCCTATGGTAGAAAAGGAAATATCTTCCCATAAAACCTAGACGGAAGCAATCTCAGAAACTACTGTGTGATGGCTGCATTCCACACACACGGTGGAACATTTCTCTTGATAGAGCAGTTTTGAAACACTCTTTCTGTAGAATCTGCAAGTGGATAATTGGACCGCCTTGAGGCCTTCGTTGGAAACGGGATTTCTTCATGTTACTCTAGACAGAAGAATTCTCAAACACTGCTATGTGATGTTTGCATTCAAGTCACAGAGTGCAACATTCCTCTTGATAGAGCAGTTGGGAAACACTCCTTTTGTAGAATTTGCAATGGGATATTTGGACTTCTTTGAGGCCTTCGTTGGAAATGGGATTTCTTCGTATGAATCTAGACAGAAGAATTCTCAGAAACTTCCTTGTGATGTGTGCATTCAACTCAGCGAGTGGCACCTTCCTTTGGATACAGCAGTTTTGAAACACTGTTTTTGTACTATTTCCAAGCGGATATTTAGAGCGCCTTGAAGCCTATGCTAGAAATGGAAATATCCTCCCCATAAAACCAAGACAGAAGCAATCTCAGAAACTAATGTGTGATGGCTGCATTCCACACACACGGTGGACCATTTCTCTTGATAGAGCAGTTTTGAAACACTCTTTCTGTAGAATCTGCAAGTGGATAATTGGACCTCCTAGAGGCCTTCGTTGGAAACGGGATTTCTTCATCTAAACCTACAGAGAAGAATTCTCAGTAACTTCTTCGGATGTGTGCATTCGACTCACAGAATGGAACATTCCGTTTGATAGAGCAGTTTTGAGACACCGTTTTTGTAGAATTCCCAAGTGGATATTTAGAGCACTTTGAAGTCTCTGCTAGAAAAGGAAACATCTTCATGTAAAAAGTAGATAGAATCGTTCTCAGAAAGTGCTTAGTGACGTGTGCGTTCAACTCACAGAGTTTAACGTTTCTTTTGATAGAGCGTTTCTGAAACACCCTTCTTGTAGTAGCTGCAAGTGGATATTTGGACCTATTTGAGGCCTTCTTTGGAAACGGGATTTCTTCATGTAACTCTAGTTTGAAGAATTTTCAGAAACTCCTTTGTGATGTGTGCATTCAATTCAAAGAGTGAAACCTCCCTTTTCACAGAGCAGTTTTGAAACACTGTTTTTGTAGGATTTCCAAGGGGATATTTATAGCACATTGAGCCTATGGCAGAAAAAGAAACATCTTCCTATAAAAACTAGACAGAATAATTCTCAGAATCTGCTTTGCGATGTGTGCGTTCAACCCACAGAGTAAAACTTTTCTTTTGATAGAGCAGTTTTGAAACACTCTTTTTGTAGTATTTGCATGTGTATATTTAGAGCGCATTGAAGCCCACAGTAGAAAAGGAAATAACTTCACCTAAAACCTAGACAGAAGCAATCTCAGAAACTACTTTGTGATGTGTACATTCAACTCACAGAGTGGAACTTTCCTCTTTATAGAGCAGTGTTGAAACACTCTTTTTGTAGAAACTGCAAGTGGATATTTGGACCTCTTTGAGGCCTTCGTTGGAAACGGGATTTCTTCCTATAACCCTAGACAGAAGAATTTTCAGAAACCTCATTGTGATGTGTGCGTTCATCTCACAGAGTGGAGTCTTCCGTTTGATAGAGAAGTTTTGAAACCCTGTTCTTGTAGGATTTCCAAGTGGATATTTAGACCACTTTGAAGCCTATGATAGAAAAGGAAACATCTTCATGGAAAACATAGATAGAATCATTCTCAGAAACAACTTTGTGATGTGTGCGTTGAACTCACCGTCTTTAACCTTTCTTTTGGTAGAGAAGTTTTGAAACACTCTCTTTGTAAAGTCTACAAGTGGATATTTTGAGCCCTTGGAGGCATTCTTTGGAAAAGGGAATGTCTTCACATAAAAGGCAGACAGAAGTGTTCTCAGAAACTGCTTTGTGATGTCTGTGTTCAACTCACAGAGTTTAACATTTCCTTTGAGAGAGCGGTTTAGTAACACTCTCTTTGTAGAATTTGGAAGTGTATACTAAGAGCGCTTTGAGGCCTATGGTAGAAAAGGAAATATCTTTCCATAAAAGCTAGACAGAAGCAATCTCAGAAACTCCTTTGTGATGTCTGCATTCAACTCACCGAGTGGAACATTCCTCTTGATAGAGCAGTTTGGAAACACTCTTTCTGTAGAATCAGCTTGTTTGTATTTGGACCTCCTTGAGGCCTTCGTTGGAAACGGGTTTTCATCTTATAAACCCAGACAGAAGAATTCTCAGAGTCTTCTTTGTGATGTGTGCTTTCAACTCACCGAGATAAAGATTTCTCTTGATAGAGCAATTTGGAAACACTCTTTTTGTAGAATTTGCAAGGGTACATTGAGAGCGCTTTCAGGCCTATGGTAGAAAAGGGAATATCTTTCCATAAAAGGTAGACAGAAGCAATCTCAGAAACTACTTAGTGATGTGTGCATTCAACTCACCGAGTGCAACATTCCTCTTGACCGAGCAGTTTGGAAACATTGTTTCTGTAGAATCTGCAAGTGGATATTTGGACCTCTTTGACGCCTTCGTTGGAAACGGGATTTCTTCCTATAAACCCAGACAGAAGAATTCTCAGAGACTTCTTTGTGATGTGTGAATTCAACTCACAGTGTGGATCCTTCCTTTTGATAGAGCAGTTTTGAAACACTGTTTTTGTAGTATTTCCAAGCGGATATTTGGAACGCCTTGAAGCGTATGGTAGAAAAGGAAATATCTTCCCATAAAACCTAGACAGAACCAATCTCAGAAACGACTTTGTGATGTCTGCATTCAACTCACAGAGTTGAACATTTCTCTTGATAGAGCAGTTTTGAAACCCTCTTTCTGAAGGATCTGCAAGTGGATATTTGGAACTCCTTTGGGTCTTCGTTGGAAACGGGATTTCTTCGTATAAATCTAGACAGAAGAATTCTCCGAAACATCTTTGGTTGTGTGCATTCAACTCACAGGGTGGAACCTTCCTTTGGATAGAGCAGTTTGAAACGCTGTGGTTGTAGTATTTCCAAGCGGATATTAGAGCGCCTTGAGGCCTATGGTAGAAAAGGAAATATCTTCCCATAAAACCTAGACGGAAGCAATCTCAGAAACTACTGTGTGATGGCTGCATTCCACACACACGGTGGAACATTTCTCTTGATAGAGCAGTTTTGAAACACTCTTTCTGTAGAATCTGCAAGTGGATAATTGGACCGCCTTGAGGCCTTCGTTGGAAACGGGATTTCTTCATGTTACTCTAGACAGAAGAATTCTCAAACACTGCTATGTGATGTTTGCATGCAAGTCACAGAGTGCAACATTCCTCTTGATAGAGCAGTTGGGAAACACTCCTTTTGTAGAATTTGCAATGGGATATTTGGACTTCTTTGAGGCCTTCGTTGGAAACGGGATTTCTTCGTATGAATCTAGACAGAAGAATTCTCAGAAACTTCCTTGTGATGTGTGCATTCAACTCAGCGAGTGGCACCTTCCTTTGGATACAGCAGTTTTGAAACACTGTTTTTGTAGTATTTCCAAGCGGATATTTAGAGCGCCTTGAAGCCTATGCTAGAAATGGAAATATCTCCCCATAAAACCAAGACAGAAGCAATCTCAGAAACTAATGTGTGATGGCTGCATTCCACACACACGGTGGACCATTTCTCTTGATAGAGCAGTTTTGAAACACTCTTTCTGTAGAATCTGCAAGTGGATAATTGGACCTCCTAGAGGCCTTCGTTGGAAACGGGATTTCTTCATCTAAACCTACAGAGAAGAATTCTCAGTAACTTCTTCGGATGTGTGCATTAGACTCACAGAATGGAACATTCCCTTTGGTAGAGCAGTTTTGAGACACCGTTTTTGTAGAATTCCAAAGTGGATATTTAGAGCACTTTGAAGTCTCTGCTAGAAAAGGAAACATCTTCATGTAAAAAGTAGATAGAATCGTCCTCAGAAAGTGCTTAGTGACGTGTGCGTTCAACTCACAGAGTTTAACGTTTCTTTTGATAGAGCGTTTCTGAAACACCCTTCTTGTAGTAGCTGCAAGTGGATATTTGGACCTATTTGAGGCCTTCTTTGGAAACGGGATTTCTTCATGTAACTCTAGATTGAAGAATTTTCAGAAACTTCTTTGTGATGTGTGCATTCAATTCAAAGAGTGAAACCTCCCTTTTCACAGAGCAGTTTTGAAACACTGTTTTTGTAGGATTTCCAAGGGGATATTTATAGCGCATTGATCCTATGGCAGAAAAAGAAACATCTTCCTATAAAAACTAGACAGAATAATTCTCAGAATCTGCTTTGCGATGTGTGCGTTCAACCCACAGAGTAAAACTTTTCTTTTGATAGAGCAGTTTTGAAACACTCTTTTTGTAGTATTTGCATGTGTATATTTAGAGCGCATTGAAGCCCACAGTAGAAAAGGAAATAACTTCACCTAAAACCTAGACAGAAGCAATCTCAGAAACTACATTGTGATGTGTACATTCAACTCACAGAGTGGAACTTTCCTCTTTATAGAGCAGTGTTGAAACACTCTTTTTGTAGAAACTGCAAGTGGATATTTGGACCTCTTTGAGGCCTTCGTTGGAAACGGGATTTCTTCCTATAACCCTAGACAGAAGAATTTTCAGAAACCTCATTGTGATGTGTGCGTTCATCTCACAGAGTGGAGTCTTCCGTTTGATAGAGAAGTTTTGAAACCCTGTTCTTGTAGGATTTCCAAGTGGATATTTAGACCACTTTGAAGCCTATGATAGAAAAGGAAACATCTTCATGGAAAACATAGATAGAATCATTCTCAGAAACAACTTTGTGATGTGTGCGTTGAACTCACCGTCTTTAACCTTTCTTTTGGTAGAGAAGTTTTGAAACACTCTCTTTGTAAAGTCTACAAGTGGATATTTTGAGCCCTTGGAGGCATTCTTTGGAAAAGGGAATGTCTTCACATAAAAGGCAGACAGAAGTGTTCTCAGAAACTGCTTTGTGATGTCTGTGTTCAACTCACAGAGTTTAACATTTCCTTTGAGAGAGCGGTTTAGTAACACTCTCTTTGTAGAATTTGGAAGTGTATACTAAGAGCGCTTTGAGGCCTATGGTAGAAAAGGAAATATCTTTCCATAAAAGCTAGACAGAAGCAATCTCAGAAACTCCTTTGTGATGTCTGCATTCAACTCACCGAGTGGAACATTCCTCTTGATAGAGCAGTTTGGAAACACTCTTTCTGTAGAATCAGCTTGTTTGTATTTGGACCTCCTTGAGGCCTTCGTTGGAAACGGGTTTTCATCTTATAAACCCAGACAGAAGAATTCTCAGAGTCTTCTTTGTGATGTGTGCTTTCAACTCACCGAGATAAAGATTTCTCTTGATAGAGCAATTTGGAAACACTCTTTTTGTAGAATTTGCAAGGGTACATTGAGAGCGCTTTCAGGCCTATGGTAGAAAAGGGAATATCTTTCCATAAAAGGTAGACAGAAGCAATCTCAGAAACTACTTTGTGATGTGTGCATTCAACTCACCGAGTGCAACATTCCTCTTGACCGAGCAGTTTGGAAACATTGTTTCTGTAGAATCTGCAAGTGGATATTTGGACCTCTTTGAGGCCTTCGTTGGAAACGGGATTTCTTCCTATAAACCCAGACAGAAGAATTCTCAGAGACTTCTTTGTGATGTGTGAATTCAACTCACAGTGTGGATCCTTCCTTTTGATAGAGCAGTTTTGAAACACTGTTTTTGTAGTATTTCCAAGCGGATATTTGGAACGCCTTGAAGCGTATGGTAGAAAAGGAAATATCTTCCCATAAAACCTAGACAGAACCAATCTCAGAAACGACTTTGTGATGTCTGCATTCAACTCACAGAGTTGAACATTTCTCTTGATAGAGCAGTTTTGAAACCCTCTTTCTGAAGGATCTGCAAGTGGATATTTGGAACTCCTTTGGGTCTTCGTTGGAAACGGGATTTCTTCGTATAAATCTAGACAGAAGAATTCTCCGAAACTTCTTTGGTTGTGTGCATTCAACTCACAGAGTGGAACCTTCCTTTGGATAGAGCAGTTTGAAACGCTGTGGTTGTAGTATTTCCAAGCGGATATTAGAGCGCCTTGAGGCCTATGGTAGAAAAGGAAATATCTTCCCATAAAACCTAGACGGAAGCAATCTCAGAAACTACTGTGTGATGGCTGCATTCCACACACACGGTGGAACATTTCTCTTGATAGAGCAGTTTTGAAACACTCTTTCTGTAGAATCTGCAAGTGGATAATTGGACCGCCTTGAGGCCTTCGTTGGAAACGGGATTTCTTCATGTTACTCTAGACAGAAGAATTCTCAAACACTGCTGTGTGATGTTTGCATGCAAGTCACAGAGTGCAACATTCCTCTTGATAGAGCAGTTGGGAAACACTCCTTTTGTAGAATTTGCAATGGGATATTTGGACTTCTTTGTGGCCTTCGTTGGAAACGGGATTTCTTCGTATGAATCTAGACAGAAGAATTCTCAGAAACTTCCTTGTGATGTGTGCATTCAACTCAGCGAGTGGCACCTTCCTTTGGATACAGCAGTTTTGAAACACTGTTTTTGTAGTATTTCCAAGCGGATATTTAGAGCGCCTTGAAGCCTATGCTAGAAATGGAAATATCTCCCCATAAAACCAAGACAGAAGCAATCTCAGAAACTAATGTGTGATGGCTGCATTCCACACACACGGTGGACCATTTCTCTTGATAGAGCAGTTTTGAAACACTCTTTCTGTAGAATCTGCAAGTGGATAATTGGACCTCCTAGAGGCCTTCGTTGGAAACGGGATTTCTTCATCTAAACCTACAGAGAAGAATTCTCAGTAACTTCTTCGGATGTGTGCATTCGACTCACAGAATGGAACATTCCCTTTGATAGAGCAGTTTTGAGACACCGTTTTTGTAGAATTCCCAAGTGGATATTTAGAGCACTTTGAAGTCTCTGCTAGAAAAGGAAACATCTTCATGTAAAAAGTAGATAGAATCGTTCTCAGAAAGTGCTTAGTGACGTGTGCGTTCAACTCACAGAGTTTAACGTTTCTTTTGATAGAGCGTTTCTGAAACACCCTTCTTGTAGTAGCTGCAAGTGGATATTTGGACCTATTTGAGGCCTTCTTTGGAAACGGGATTTCTTCATGTAACTCTAGATTGAAGAATTTTCAGAAACTCCTTTGTGATGTGTGCATTCAATTCAAAGAGTGAAACCTCCCTTTTCACAGAGCAGTTTTGAAACACTGTTTTTGTAGGATTTCCAAGGGGATATTTATAGCGCATTGAGCCTATGGCAGAAAAAGAAACATCTTCCTATAAAAACTAGACAGAATAATTCTCAGAATCTGCTTTGCGATGTGTGCGTTCAACCCACAGAGTAAAACTTTTCTTTTGATAGAGCAGTTTTGAAACACTCTTTTTGTAGTATTTGCATGTGTATATTTAGAGCGCATTGAAGCCCAAAGTAGAAAAGGAAATAACTTCACCTAAAACCTAGACAGAAGCAATCTCAGAAACTACTTTGTGATGTGTACATTCAACTCACAGAGTGGAACTTTTCTCTTTATAGAGCAGTGTTGAAACACTCTTTTTGTAGAAACTGCAAGTGGATATTTGGACCAGCTTTGAGGCCTTCGTTGGAAACGGGATTTCTTCCTATAACCCTAGACAGAAGAATTTTCAGAAACCTCATTGTGATGTGTGCGTTCATCTCACAGAGTGGAGTCTTCCGTTTGATAGAGAAGTTTTGAAACCCTGTTCTTGTAGGATTTCCAAGTGGATATTTAGACCACTTTGAAGCCTATGATAGAAAAGGAAACATCTTCATGGAAAACATAGATAGAATCATTCTCAGAAACAACTTTGTGATGTGTGCGTTGAACTCACCGTCTTTAACCTTTCTTTTGGTAGAGAAGTTTTGAAACACTCTCTTTGTAAAGTCTACAAGTGGATATTTTGAGCCCTTGGAGGCATTCTTTGGAAAAGGGAATGTCTTCACATAAAAGGCAGACAGAAGTGTTCTCAGAAACTGCTTTGTGATGTCTGTGTTCAACTAACAGAGTGTAACATTTCCTTTGAGAGAGCGGTTTAGTAACACTCTCTTTGTAGAATTTGGAAGTGTATACTAAGAGCGCTTTGAGGCCTATGGTAGAAAAGGAAATATCTTTCCATAAAAGCTAGACAGAAGCAATCTCAGAAACTCCTTTGTGATGTCTGCATTCAACTCACCGAGTGGAATATTCCTCTTGATAGAGCAGTTTGGAAACACTCTTTCTGTAGAATCAGCTTGTTTGTATTTGGACCTCCTTGAGGCCTTCGTTGGAAACGGGTTTTCATCTTATAAACCCAGACAGAAGAATTCTCAGAGTCTTCTTTGTGATGTGTGCTTTCAACTCACCGAGATAAAGATTTCTCTTGATAGAGCAATTTGGAAACACTCTTTTTGTAGAATTTGCAAGGGTACATTGAGAGCGCTTTCAGGCCTATGGTAGAAAAGGGAATATCTTTCCATAAAAGGTAGACAGAAGCAATCTCAGAAACTACTTTGTGATGTGTGCATTCAACTCACCGAGTGCAACATTCCTCTTGATAGAGCAGTTTGGAAACATTGTTTCTGTAGAATCTGCAAGTGGATATATGGACCGCTTTGAGGCCTTCGTTGGAAACGGGATTTCTTCCTATAAACCCAGACAGAAGAATTCTCAGAGATTTCTTTGTGATGTGTGAATTCAACTCACAGTGTGGATCCTTCCTTTTGATAGAGCAGTTTTGAAACACCGTTTTTGTAGTATTTCCAAGCGGATATTTGGAACGCCTTGAAGCGTATGGTAGAAAAGGAAATATCTTCCCATAAAACCTAGACAGAACCAATCTCAGAAACGACTTTGTGATGTCTGCATTCAACTCACAGAGTTGAACATTTCTCTTGATAGAGCAGTTTTGAAACCCTCTTTCTGAAGGATCTGCAAGTGGATATTTGGAACTCCTTTGGGTCTTCGTTGGAAACGGGATTTCTTCGTATAAATCCAGACAGAAGAATTCTCCGAAACTTCTTTGGTTGTGTGCATTCAAGTCACAGAGTGGAACCTTCCTTTGGATAGAGCAGTTTGAAACGCTGTGGTTGTAGTATTTCCAAGCGGATATTAGAGCGCCTTGAAGCCTATGGTAGAAAAGGAAATATCTTCCCATAAAACCTAGACGGAAGCAATCTCAGAAACTACTGTGTGATGGCTGCATTCCACACACACGGTGGAACATTTCTCTTGATAGAGCAGTTTTGAAACACTCTTTCTGTAGAATCTGCAAGTGGATAATTGGACCGCCTTGAGGCCTTCGTTGGAAACGGGATTTCTTCATGTTACTCTAGACAGAAGAATTCTCAAACACTGCTATGTGATGTTTGCATTCAAGTCACAGAGTGCAACATTCCTCTTGATAGAGCAGTTGGGAAACACTCCTTTTGTAGAATTTGCAATGGGATATTTGGACTTCTTTGAGGCCTTCGTTGGAAACGGGATTTCTTCGTATGAATCTAGACAGAAGAATTCTCAGAAACTTCCTTGTGATGTGTGCATTCAACTCAGCGAGTGGCACCTTCCTTTGGATACAGCAGTTTTGAAACACTGTTTTTGTAGTATTTCCAAGCGGATATTTAGAGCGCCTTGAAGCCTATGCTAGAAATGGAAATATCTCCCCATAAAACCAAGACAGAAGCAATCTCAGAAACTAATGTGTGATGGCTGCATTCCACACACACGGTGGACCATTTCTCTTGATAGAGCAGTTTTGAAACACTCTTTCTGTAGAATCTGCAAGTGGATAATTGGACCTCCTAGAGGCCTTCGTTGGAAACGGGATTTCTTCATCTAAACCTACAGAGAAGAATTCTCAGTAACTTCTTCGGATGTGTGCATTCGACTCACAGAATGGAACATTCCGTTTGATAGAGCAGTTTTGAGACACCGTTTTTGTAGAATTCCCAAGTGGATATTTAGAGCACTTTGAAGTCTCTGCTAGAAAAGGAAACATCTTCATGTAAAAAGTAGATAGAATCGTTCTCAGAAAGTGCTTAGTGACGTGTGTGTTCAACTCACAGAGTTTAACGTTTCTTTTGATAGAGCGTTTCTGAAACACCCTGCTTGTAGTAGCTGCAAGTGGATATTTGGACCTATTTGAGGCCTTCTTTGGAAACGGGATTTCTTCATGTAACTCTAGTTGAAGAATTTTCAGAAACTCTTTTGTGATGTGTGCATTCAATTCAAAGAGTGAAACGTCCCTTTTCACAGAGCAGTTTTGAAACACTGTTTTTGTAGGATTTCCAAGGGGATATTTATAGCGCATTGAGCCTACGGCAGAAAAAGAAACATCTTCCTATAAAAACTAGACAGAATAATTCTCAGAATCTGCTTTGCGATGTGTGCGTTCAACCCACAGAGTAAAACTTTTCTTTTGATAGAGCAGTTTTGAAACACTCTTTTTGTAGTATTTGCATGTGTATATTTAGAGCGCATTGAAGCCCACAGTAGAAAAGGAAATAACTTCACCTAAAACCTAGACAGAAGCAATCTCAGAAACTACTTTGTGATGTGTACATTCAACTCACAGAGTGGAACTTTCCTCTTTATAGAGCAGTGTTGAAACACTCTTTTTGTAGAAACTGCAAGTGGATATTTGGACCTCTTTGAGGCCTTCGTTGGAAACGGGATTTCTTCCTATAACCCTAGACAGAAGAATTTTCAGAAACCTCATTGTGATGTGTGCGTTCATCTCACAGAGTGGAGTCTTCCGTTTGATAGAGAAGCTTTGAAACCCTGTTCTTGTAGGATTTCCAGGTGGATATTTAGACCACTTGGAAGCCTATGATAGAAAAGGAAACATCTTCATGGAAAACATAGATAGAATCATTGTCAGAAACAACTTTGTGATGTGTGCGTTGAACTCACCGTCTTTAACCTTTCTTTTGGTAGAGAAGTTTTGAAACACTCTCTTTGTAAAGTCTACAAGTGGATATTTTGAGCCCTTGGAGGCATTCTTTGGAAAAGGGAATGTCTTCACATAAAAGGCAGACAGAAGTGTTCTCAGAAACTGCTTTGTGATGTCTGTGTTCAACTCACAGAGTTTAACATTTCCTTTGAGAGAGCGGTTTAGTAACACTCTCTTTGTAGAATTTGGAAGTGTATACTAAGAGCGCTTTGAGGCCTATGGTAGAAAAGGAAATATCTTTCCATAAAAGCTAGACAGAAGCAATCTCAGAAACTCCTTTGTGATGTCTGCATTCAACTCACCGAGTGGAACATTACTCTTGATAGAGCAGTTTGGAAACACTCTTTCTGTAGAATCAGCTTGTTTGTATTTGGACCTCCTTGAGGCCTTCGTTGGAAACGGGTTTTCATCTTATAAACCCAGACAGAAGAATTCTCAGAGTCTTCTTTGTGATGTGTGCTTTCAACTCACCGAGATAAAGATTTCTCTTGATAGAGCAATTTGGAAACACTCTTTTTGTAGAATTTGCAAGGGTACATTGAGAGCGCTTTCAGGCCTATGGTAGAAAAGGGAATATCTTTCCATAAAAGGTAGACAGAAGCAATCTCAGAAACTACTTTGTGATGTGTGCATTCAACTCACCGAGTGCAACATTCCTCTTGACCGAGCAGTTTGGAAACATTGTTTCTGTAGAATCTGCAAGTGGATATTTGGACCTCTTTGAGGCCTTCGTTGGAAACGGGATTTCTTCCTATAAACCCAGACAGAAGAATTCTCAGAGACTTCTTTGTGATGTGTGAATTCAACTCACAGTGTGGATCCTTCCTTTTGATAGAGCAGTTTTGAAACACTGTTTTTGTAGTATTTCCAAGCGGATATTTGGAACGCCTTGAAGCGTATGGTAGAAAAGGAAATATCTTCCCATAAAACCTAGACAGAACCAATCTCAGAAACGACTTTGTGATGTCTGCATTCAACTCACAGAGTTGAACATTTCTCTTGATAGAGCAGTTTTGAAACCCTCTTTCTGAAGGATCTGCAAGTGGATATTTGGAACTCCTTTGGGTCTTCGTTGGAAACGGGATTTCTTCGTATAAATCTAGACAGAAGAATTCTCCGAAACTTCTTTGGTTGTGTGCATTCAACTCACAGAGTGGAACCTTCCTTTGGATAGAGCAGTTTGAAACGCTGTGGTTGTAGTATTTCCAAGCGGATATTAGAGCGCCTTGAGGCCTATGGTAGAAAAGGAAATATCTTCCCATAAAACCTAGACGGAAGCAATCTCAGAAACTACTGTGTGATGGCTGCATTCCACACACACGGTGGAACATTTCTCTTGATAGAGCAGTTTTGAAACACTCTTTCTGTAGAATCTGCAAGTGGATAATTGGACCGCCTTGAGGCCTTCGTTGGAAACGGGATTTCTTCATGTTACTCTAGACAGAAGAATTCTCAAACACTGCTGTGTGATGTTTGCATGCAAGTCACAGAGTGCAACATTCCTCTTGATAGAGCAGTTGGGAAACACTCCTTTTGTAGAATTTGCAATGGGATATTTGGACTTCTTTGAGGCCTTCGTTGGAAACGGGATTTCTTCGTATGAATCTAGACAGAAGAATTCTCAGAAACTTCCTTGTGATGTGTGCATTCAACTCAGCGAGTGGCACCTTCCTTTGGATACAGCAGTTTTGAAACACTGTTTTTGTAGTATTTCCAAGCGGATATTTAGAGCGCCTTGAAGCCTATGCTAGAAATGGAAATATCTCCCCATAAAACCAAGACAGAAGCAATCTCAGAAACTAATGTGTGATGGCTGCATTCCACACACACGGTGGACCATTTCTCTTGATAGAGCAGTTTTGAAACACTCTTTCTGTAGAATCTGCAAGTGGATAATTGGACCTCCTAGAGGCCTTCGTTGGAAACGGGATTTCTTCATCTAAACCTACAGAGAAGAATTCTCAGTAACTTCTTCGGATGTGTGCATTCGACTCACAGAATGGAACATTCCGTTTGATAGAGCAGTTTTGAGACACCGTTTTTGTAGAATTCCCAAGTGGATATTTAGAGCACTTTGAAGTCTCTGCTAGAAAAGGAAACATCTTCATGTAAAAAGTAGATAGAATCGTTCTCAGAAAGTGCTTAGTGACGTGTGTGTTCAACTCACAGAGTTTAACGTTTCTTTTGATAGAGCGTTTCTGAAACACCCTTCTTGTAGTAGCTGCAAGTGGATATTTGGACCTATTTGAGGCCTTCTTTGGAAACGGGATTTCTTCATGTAACTCTAGTTTGAAGAATTTTCAGAAACTCCTTTGTGATGTGTGCATTCAATTCAAAGAGTGAAACCTCCCTTTTCACAGAGCAGTTTTGAAACACTGTTTTTGTAGGATTTCCAAGGGGATATTTATAGCGCATTGATCCTACGGCAGAAAAAGAAACATCTTCCTATAAAAACTAGACAGAATAATTCTCAGAATCTGCTTTGCGATGTGTGCGTTCAACCCACAGAGTAAAACTTTTCTTTTGATAGAGCAGTTTTGAAACACTCTTTTTGTAGTATTTGCATGTGTATATTTAGAGCGCATTGAAGCCCACAGTAGAAAAGGAAATAACTTCACCTAAAACCTAGACAGAAGCAATCTCAGAAACTACTTTGTGATGTGTACATTCAACTCACAGAGTGGAACTTTCCTCTTTATAGAGCAGTGTTGAAACACTCTTTTTGTAGAAACTGCAAGTGGATATTTGGACCTCTTTGAGGCCTTCGTTGGAAACGGGATTTCTTCCTATAACCCTAGACAGAAGAATTTTCAGAAACCTCATTGTGATGTGTGCGTTCATCTCACAGAGTGGAGTCTTCCGTTTGATAGAGAAGTTTTGAAACCCTGTTCTTGTAGGATTTCCAAGTGGATATTTAGACCACTTTGAAGCCTATGATAGAAAAGGAAACATCTTCATGGAAAACATAGATAGAATCATTCTCAGAAACAACTTTGTGATGTGTGCGTTGAACTCACCGTCTTTAACCTTTCTTTTGGTAGAGAAGTTTTGAAACACTCTCTTTGTAAAGTCTACGAGTGGATATTTTGAGCCCTTGGAGGCATTCTTTGGAAAAGGGAATGTCTTCACATAAAAGGCAGACAGAAGTGTTCTCAGAAACTGCTTTGTGATGTCTGTGTTCAACTCACAGAGTTTAACATTTCCTTTGAGAGAGCGGTTTAGTAACACTCTCTTTGTAGAATTTGGAAGTGTATACTAAGAGCGCTTTGAGGCCTATGGTAGAAAAGGAAATATCTTTCCATAAAAGCTAGACAGAAGCAATCTCAGAAACTCCTTTGTGATGTCTGCATTCAACTCACCGAGTGGAACATTCCTCTTGATAGAGCAGTTTGGAAACACTCTTTCTGTAGAATCAGCTTGTTTGTATTTGGACCTCCTTGAGGCCTTCGTTGGAAACGGGTTTTCATCTTATAAACCCAGACAGAAGAATTCTCAGAGTCTTCTTTGTGATGTGTGCTTTCAACTCACCGAGATAAAGATTTCTCTTGATAGAGCAATTTGGAAACACTCTTTTTGTAGAATTTGCAAGGGTACATTGAGAGCGCTTTCAGGCCTATGGTAGAAAAGGGAATATCTTTCCATAAAAGGTAGACAGAAGCAATCTCAGAAACTACTTTGTGATGTGTGCATTCAACTCACCGAGTGCAACATTCCTCTTGACCGAGCAGTTTGGAAACATTGTTTCTGTAGAATCTGCAAGTGGATATATGGACCGCTTTGAGGCCTTCGTTGGAAACGGGATTTCTTCCTATAAACCCAGACAGAAGAATTCTCAGAGATTTCTTTGTGATGTGTGAATTCAACTCACAGTGTGGATCCTTCCTTTTGATAGAGCAGTTTTGAAACACTGTTTTTGTAGTATTTCCAAGCAGATATTTGGAACGCCTTGAAGCGTATGCTAGAAAAGGAAATAACTTCCCATAAAACCTAGACAGAACCAATCTCAGAAACGACTTTGTGATGTCTGCATTCAACTCACAGAGTTGAACATTTCTCTTGATAGAGCAGTTTTGAAACCCTCTTTCTGAAGGATCTGCAAGTGGATATTTGGAACTCCTTTGGGTCTTCGTTGGAAACGGGATTTCTTCGTATAAATCTAGACAGAAGAATTCTCCGAAACTTCTTTGGTTGTGTGCATTCAAGTCACAGAGTGGAACCTTCCTTTGGATAGAGCAGTTTGAAACGCTGTGGTTGTAGTATTTCCAAGCGGATATTAGAGCGCCTTGAGGCCTATGGTAGAAAAGGAAATATCTTCCCATAAAACCTAGACGGAAGCAATCTCAGAAACTACTGTGTGATGGCTGCATTCCACACACACGGTGGAACATTTCTCTTGATAGAGCAGTTTTGAAACACTCTTTCTGTAGAATCTGCAAGTGGATAATTGGACCGCCTTGAGGCCTTCGTTGGAAACGGGATTTCTTCATGTTACTCTAGACAGAAGAATTCTCAAACACTGCTGTGTGATGTTTGCATGCAAGTCACAGAGTGCAACATTCCTCTTGATAGAGCAGTTGGGAAACACTCCTTTTGTAGAATTTGCAATGGGATATTTGGACTTCTTTGAGGCCTTCGTTGGAAACGGGATTTCTTCGTATGAATCTAGACAGAAGAATTCTCAGAAACTTCCTTGTGATGTGTGCATTCAACTCAGCGAGTGGCACCTTCCTTTGGATACAGCAGTTTTGAAACACTGTTTTTGTAGTATTTCCAAGCGGATATTTAGAGCGCCTTGAAGCCTATGCTAGAAATGGAAATATCTCCCCATAAAACCAAGACAGAAGCAATCTCAGAAACTAATGTGTGATGGCTGCATTCCACACACACGGTGGACCATTTCTCTTGATAGAGCAGTTTTGAAACACTCTTTCTGTAGAATCTGCAAGTGGATAATTGGACCTCCTAGAGGCCTTCGTTGGAAACGGGATTTCTTCATCTAAACCTACAGAGAAGAATTCTCAGTAACTTCTTCGGATGTGTGCATTCGACTCACACAATGGAACATTCCGTTTGATAGAGCAGTTTTGAGACACCGTTTTTGTAGAATTCCCAAGTGGATATTTAGAGCACTTTGAAGTCTCTGCTAGAAAAGGAAACATCTTCATGTAAAAAGTAGATACAATCGTTCTCAGAAAGTGCTTAGTGACGTGTGTGTTCAACTCACAGAGTTTAACGTTTCTTTTGATAGAGCGTTTCTGAAACACCCTTCTTGTAGTAGCTGCAAGTGGATATTTGGACCTATTTGAGGCCTTCTTTGGAAACGGGATTTCTTCATGTAACTCTAGATTGAAGAATTTTCAGAAACTCCTTTGTGATGTGTGCATTCAATTCAAAGAGTGAAACCTCCCTTTTCACAGAGCAGTTTTGAAACACTGTTTTTGTAGGATTTCCAAGGGGATATTTATAGCGCATTGATCCTATGGCAGAAAAAGAAACATCTTCCTATAAAAACTAGACAGAATAATTCTCAGAATCTGCTTTGCGATGTGTGCGTTCAACTCACAGAGTAAAACTTTTCTTTTGATAGAGCAGTTTTGAAACACTCTTTTTGTAGTATTTGCATGTGTATATTTAGAGCGCATTGAAGCCCACAGTAGAAAAGGAAATAACTTCACCTAAAACCTAGACAGAAGCAATCTCAGAAACTACTTTGTGATGTGTACATTCAACTCACAGAGTGGAACTTTCCTCTTTATAGAGCAGTGTTGAAACACTCTTTTTGTAGAAACTGCAAGTGGATATTTGGACCTCTTTGAGGCCTTCGTTGGAAACGGGATTTCTTCCTATAACCCTAGACAGAAGAATTTTCAGAAACCTCATTGTGATGTGTGCGTTCATCTCACAGAGTGGAGTCTTCCGTTTGATAGAGAAGTTTTGAAACCCTGTTCTTGTAGGATTTCCAAGTGGATATTTAGACCACTTTGAAGCCTATGATAGAAAAGGAAACATCTTCATGGAAAACATAGATAGAATCATTCTCAGAAACAACTTTGTGATGTGTGCGTTGAACTCACCGTCTTTAACCTTTCTTTTGGTAGAGAAGTTTTGAAACACTCTCTTTGTAAAGTCTACAAGTGGATATTTTGAGCCCTTGGAGGCATTCTTTGGAAAAGGGAATGTCTTCACATAAAAGGCAGACAGAAGTGTTCTCAGAAACTGCTTTGTGATGTCTGTGTTCAACTCACAGAGTTTAACATTTCCTTTGAGAGAGCGGTTTAGTAACACTCTCTTTGTAGAATTTGGAAGTGTATACTAAGAGCGCTTTGAGGCCTATGGTAGAAAAGGAAATATCTTTCCATAAAAGCTAGACAGAAGCAATCTCAGAAACTCCTTTGTGATGTCTGCATTCAACTCACCGAGTGGAACATTCCTCTTGATAGAGCAGTTTGGAAACACTCTTTCTGTAGAATCAGCTTGTTTGTATTTGGACCTCCTTGAGGCCTTCGTTGGAAACGGGTTTTCATCTTATAAACCCAGACAGAAGAATTCTCAGAGTCTTCTTTGTGATGTGTGCTTTCAACTCACCGAGATAAAGATTTCTCTTGATAGAGCAATTTGGAAACACTCTTTTTGTAGAATTTGCAAGGGTACATTGAGAGCGCTTTCAGGCCTATGGTAGAAAAGGGAATATCTTTCCATAAAAGGTAGACAGAAGCAATCTCAGAAACTACTTTGTGATGTGTGCATTCAACTCACCGAGTGCAACATTCCTCTTGACCGAGCAGTTTGGAAACATTGTTTCTGTAGAATCTGCAAGTGGATATATGGACCGCTTTGAGGCCTTCGTTGGAAACGGGATTTCTTCCTATAAACCCAGACAGAAGAATTCTCAGAGATTTCTTTGTGATGTGTGAATTCAACTCACAGTGTGGATCCTTCCTTTTGATAGAGCAGTTTTGAAACACTGTTTTTGTAGTATTTCCAAGCGGATATTTGGAACGCCTTGAAGCGTATGGTAGAAAAGGAAATATCTTCCCATAAAACCTAGACAGAACCCATCTCAGAAACGACTTTGTGATGTCTGCATTCAACTCACAGAGTTGAACATTTCTCTTGATAGAGCAGTTTTGAAACCCTCTTTCTGAAGGATCTGCAAGTGGATATTTGGAACTCCTTTGGGTCTTCGTTGGAAACGGGATTTCTTCGTATAAATCCAGACAGAAGAATTCTCCGAAACTTCTTTGGTTGTGTGCATTCAAGTCACAGAGTGGAACCTTCCTTTGGATAGAGCAGTTTGAAACGCTGTGGTTGTAGTATTTCCAAGCGGATATTAGAGCGCCTTGAGGCCTATGGTAGAAAAGGAAATATCTTCCCATAAAACCTAGACGGAAGCAATCTCAGAAACTACTGTGAGATGGCTGCATTCCACACACACGGTGGAACATTTCTCTTGATAGAGCAGTTTTGAAACACTCTTTCTGTAGAATCTGCAAGTGGATAATTGGACCGCCTTGAGGCCTTCGTTGGAAACGGGATTTCTTCATGTTACTCTAGACAGAAGAATTCTCAAACACTGCTATGTGATGTTTGCATTCAAGTCACAGAGTGCAACATTCCTCTTGATAGAGCAGTTGGGAAACACTCCTTTTGTAGAATTTGCAATGGGATATTTGGACTTCTTTGAGGCCTTCGTTGGAAACGGGATTTCTTCGTATGAATCTAGACAGAAGAATTCTCAGAAACTTCCTTGTGATGTGTGCATTCAACTCAGCGAGTGGCACCTTCCTTTGGATACAGCAGTTTTGAAACACTGTTTTTGTAGTATTTCCAAGCGGATATTTAGAGCGCCTTGAAGCCTATGCTAGAAATGGAAATATCTCCCCATAAAACCAAGACAGAAGCAATCTCAGAAACTAATGTGTGATGGCTGCATTCCACACACACGGTGGACCATTTCTCTTGATAGAGCAGTTTTGAAACACTCTTTCTGTAGAATCTGCAAGTGGATAATTGGACCTCCTAGAGGCCTTCGTTGGAAACGGGATTTCTTCATCTAAACCTACAGAGAAGAATTCTCAGTAACTTCTTCGGATGTGTGCATTCGACTCACAGAATGGAACATTCCGTTTGATAGAACAGTTTTGAGACACCGTTTTTGTAGAATTCCCAAGTGGATATTTAGAGCACTTTGAAGTCTCTGCTAGAAAAGGAAACATCTTCATGTAAAAAGTAGATAGAATCGTTCTCAGAAAGTGCTTAGTGACGTGTGTGTTCAACTCACAGAGTTTAACGTTTCTTTTGATAGAGCGTTTCTGAAACACCCTGCTTGTAGTAGCTGCAAGTGGATATTTGGACCTATTTGAGGCCTTCTTTGGAAACGGGATTTCTTCATGTAACTCTAGTTTGAAGAATTTTCAGAAACTCCTTTGTGATGTGTGCATTCAATTCAAAGAGTGAAACCTCCCTTTTCACAGAGCAGTTTTGAAACACTGTTTTTGTAGGATTTCCAAGGGGATATTTATAGCGCATTGAGCCTACGGCAGAAAAAGAAACATCTTCCTATAAAAACTAGACAGAATAATTCTCAGAATCTGCTTTGCGATGTGTGCGTTCAACCCACAGAGTAAAACTTTTCTTTTGATAGAGCAGTTTTGAAACACTCTTTTTGTAGTATTTGCATGTGTATATTTAGAGCGCATTGAAGCCCACAGTAGAAAAGGAAATAACTTCACCTAAAACCTAGACAGAAGCAATCTCAGAAACTACTTTGTGATGTGTACATTCAACTCACAGAGTGGAACTTTCCTCTTTATAGAGCAATGTTGAAACACTCTTTTTGTAGAAACTGCAAGTGGATATTTGGACCTCTTTGAGGCCTTCGTTGGAAACGGGATTTCTTCCTATAACCCTAGACAGAAGAATTTTCAGAAACCTCATTGTGATGTGTGCGTTCATCTCACAGAGTGGAGTCTTCCGTTTGATAGAGAAGTTTTGAAACCCTGTTCTTGTAGGATTTCCAAGTGGATATTTAGACCACTTTGAAGCCTATGATAGAAAAGGAAACATCTTCATGGAAAACATAGATAGAATCATTCTCAGAAACAACTTTGTGATGTGTGTGTTGAACTCACCGTCTTTAACCTTTCTTTTGGTAGAGAAGTTTTGAAACACTCTCTTTGTAAAGTCTACAAGTGGATATTTTGAGCCCTTGGAGGCATTCTTTGGAAAAGGGAATGTCTTCACATAAAAGGCAGACAGAAGTGTTCTCAGAAACTGCTTTGTGATGTCTGTGTTCAACTCACAGAGTTTAACATTTCCTTTGAGAGAGCAGTTTAGTAACACTGTCTTTGTAGAATTTGGAAGTGTATACTAAGAGCGCTTTGAGGCCTATGGTAGAAAAGGAAATATCTTTCCATAAAAGCTAGACAGAAGCAATCTCAGAAACTCCTTTGTGATGTCTGCATTCAACTCACCGAGTGGAACATTCCTCTTGATAGAGCAGTTTGGAAACACTCTTTCTGTAGAATCAGCTTGTTTGTATTTGGACCTCCTTGAGGCCTTCGTTGGAAACGGGTTTTCATCTTATAAACCCAGACAGAAGAATTCTCAGAGTCTTCTTTGTGATGTGTGCTTTCAACTCACCGAGATAAAGATTTCTCTTGATAGAGCAATTTGGAAACACTCTTTTTGTAGAATTTGCAAGGGTACATTGAGAGCGCTTTCAGGCCTATGGTAGAAAAGGGAATATCTTTCCATAAAAGGTAGACAGAAGCAATCTCAGAAACTACTTTGTGATGTGTGCATTCAACTCACCGAGTGCAACATTCCTCTTGATAGAGCAGTTTGGAAACATTGTTTCTGTAGAATCTGCAAGTGGATATATGGACCGCTTTGAGGCCTTCGTTGGAAACGGGATTTCTTCCTATAAACCAAACAGAAGAATTCTCAGAGATTTCTTTGTGATGTGTGAATTCAACTCACAGTGTGGATCCTTCCTTTTGATAGAGCAGTTTTGAAACACCGTTTTTGTAGTATTTCCAAGCGGATATTTGGAACGCCTTGAAGCGTATGGTAGAAAAGGAAATATCTTCCCATAAAACCTAGACAGAACCAATCTCAGAAACGACTTTGTGATGTCTGCATTCAACTCACAGAGTTGAACATTTCTCTTGATAGAGCAGTTTTGAAACCCTCTTTCTGAAGGATCTGCAAGTGGATATTTGGAACTCCTTTGGGTCTTCGTTGGAAACGGGATTTCTTCGTATAAATCCAGACAGAAGAATTCTCCGAAACTTCTTTGGTTGTGTGCATTCAAGTCACAGAGTGGAACCTTCCTTTGGATAGAGCAGTTTGAAACGCTCTGGTTGTAGTATTTCCAAGCGGATATTAGAGAGCCTTGAGGCCTATGGTAGAAAAGGAAATATCTTCCCATAAAACCTAGACGGAAGCAATCTCAGAAACTACTGTGTGATGGCTGCATTCCACACACACGGTGGAACATTTCTCTTGATAGAGCAGTTTTGAAACACTCTTTCTGTAGAATCTGCAAGTGGATAATTGGACCGCCTTGAGGCCTTCGTTGGAAACGGGATTTCTTCATGTTACTCTAGACAGAAGAATTCTCAAACACTGCTATGTGATGTTTGCATTCAAGTCACAGAGTGCAACATTCCTCTTGATAGAGCAGTTGGGAAACACTCCTTTTGTAGAATTTGCAATGGGATATTTGGACTTCTTTGAGGCCTTCGTTGGAAACGGGATTTCTTCGTATGAATCTAGACAGAAGAATTCTCAGAAACTTCCTTGTGATGTGTGCATTCAACTCAGCGAGTGGCACCTTCCTTTCGATACAGCAGTTTTGAAACACTGTTTTTGTACTATTTCCAAGCAGATATTTAGAGCGCCTTGAAGCCTATGCTAGAAATGGAAATATCTCCCCATAAAACCAAGACAGAAGCAATCTCAGAAACTAATGTGTGATGGCTGCATTCCACACACACGGTGGACCATTTCTCTTGATAGAGCAGTTTTGAAACACTCTTTCTGTAGAATCTGCAAGTGGATAATTGGACCTCCTAGAGGCCTTCGTTGGAAACGGGATTTCTTCATCTAAACCTACAGAGAAGAATTCTCAGTAACTTCTTCGGATGTGTGCATTCGACTCACAGAATGGAACATTCCGTTTGATAGAGCAGTTTTGAGACACCGTTTTTGTAGAATTCCCAAGTGGATATTTAGAGCACTTTGAAGTCTCTGCTAGAAAAGGAAACATCTTCATGTAAAAAGTAGATAGAATCGTTCTCAGAAAGTGCTTAGTGACGTGTGCGTTCAACTCACAGAGTTTAACGTTTCTTTTGATAGAGCGTTTCTGAAACACCCTTCTTGTAGTAGCTGCAAGTGGATATTTGGACCTATTTGAGGCCTTCTTTGGAAACGGGATTTCTTCATGTAACTCTAGTTTGAAGAATTTTCAGAAACTCCTTTGTGATGTGTGCATTCAATTCAAAGAGTGAAACGTCCCTTTTCACAGAGCAGTTTTGAAACACTGTTTTTGTAGGATTTCCAAGGGGATATTTATAGCGCATTGAGCCTACGGCAGAAAAAGAAACATCTTCCTATAAAAACTAGACAGAATAATTCTCAGAATCTGCTTTGCGATGTGTGCGTTCAACTCACAGAGTAAAACTTTTCTTTTGATAGAGCAGTTTTGAAACACTCTTTTTGTAGTATTTGCATGTGTATATTTAGAGCGCATTGAAGCCCACAGTAGAAAAGGAAATAACTTCACCTAAAACCTAGACAGAAGCAATCTCAGAAACTACTTTGTGATGTGTACATTCAAATCACAGAGTGGAACTTTCCCCTTTACAGAGCAGTGTTGAAACACTCTTTTTGTAGAAACTGCAGGTGGATATTTGGACCTCTTTGAGGCCTTCGTTGGAAACGGGATTTCTTCCTATAACCCTAGACAGAAGAATTTTCAGAAACCTCATTGTGATGTGTGCGTTCATCTCACAGAGTGGAGTCTTCCGTTTGATAGAGAAGTTTTGAAACCCTGTTCTTGTAGGATTTCCAAGTGGATATTTAGACCACTTTGAAGCCTATGATAGAAAAGGAAACATCTTCATGGAAATCATAGATAGAGTCATTCTCAGAAACAACTTTGTGATGTGTGCGTTGAACTCACAGCCTTTAACCTTTCTTTTGGTAGAGAAGTTTTGAAACACTCTCTTTGTAAAGTCTACAAGTGGATATTTTGAGCCCTTGGAGGCATTCTTTGGAAAAGGGAATGTCTTCACATAAAAGGCAGACAGAAGTGTTCTCAGAAACTGCTTTGTGATGTCTGTGTTCAACTCACAGAGTTTAACATTTCCTGTGATAGAGCGGTTTAGTAACCCTCTCTTTGTAGAATTTGGAAGTGTATACTAAGAGCGCTTTGAGGCCTATGGTAGAAAAGGAAATATCTTTCCATAAAAGCTAGACAGAAGCAATCTCAGAAACTCCTTTGTGATGTCTGCATTCAACTCACCGAGTGGAACATTCCTCTTGATAGAGCAGTTTGGAAACACTCTTTCTGTAGAATCAGCTTGTTTGTATTTGGACCTCCTTGAGGCCTTCGTTGGAAACGGGTTTTCATCTTATAAACCCAGACAGAAGAATTCTCAGAGTCTTCTTTGTGATGTGTGCTTTCAACTCACCGAGATAAAGATTTCTCTTGATAGAGCAATTTGGAAACACTCTTTTTGTAGAATTTGCAAGGGTACATTGAGAGCGCTTTCAGGCCTATGGTAGAAAAGGTAGACAGAAGCAATCTCAGAAACTACTTTGTGATGTGTGCATTCAACTCACCGAGTGCAACATTCCTCTTGATAGAGCAGTTTGGAAACATTGTTTCTGTAGAATCTGCAAGTGGATATATGGACCGCTTTGAGGCCTTCGTTGGAAACGGGATTTCTTCCTATAAACCCAGACAGAAGAATTCTCAGAGACTTCTTTGTGATGTGTGAATTCAACTCACAGTGTGGATCCTTCCTTTTGATAGAGCAGTTTTGAAACACCGTTTTTGTAGTATTTCCAAGCAGATATATGGAACGCCTTGAAGCGTATGGTAGAAAAGGAAATATCTTCCCATAAAACCTAGACAGAACCCATCTCAGAAACGACTTTGTGATGTCTGCATTCAACTCACAGAAGTTGAACATTTCTCTTGATAGAGCAGTTTTGAAACCCTCTTTCGGAAGGATCTGCAAGTGGATATTTGGAACTCCTTTGGGTCTTCGTTGGAAACGGGATTTCTTCATATAAATCCAGACAGAAGAATTCTCCGAAACTTCTTTGGTTGTGTGCATTCAAGTCACAGAGTGGAACCTTCCTTTGGATAGAGCAGTTTGAAACGCTGTGGTTGTAGTATTTCCAAGCGGATATTAGAGCGCCTTGAGGCCTATGGTAGAAAAGGAAATATCTTCCCATAAAACCTAGACGGAAGCAATCTCAGAAACTACTGTGTGATGGCTGCATTCCACACACACGGTGGAACATTTCTCTTGATAGAGCAGTTTTGAAACACTCTTTCTGTAGAATCTGCAAGTGGATAATTGGACCGCCTTGAGGCCTTCGTTGGAAACGGGATTTCTTCATGTTACTCTAGACAGAAGAATTCTCAAACACTGCTGTGTGATGTTTGCATGCAAGTCACAGAGTGCAACATTCCTCTTGATAGAGCAGTTGGGAAACACTCCTTTTGTAGAATTTGCAATGGGATATTTGGACTTCTTTGAGGCCTTCGTTGGAAACGGGATTTCTTCGTATGAATCTAGACAGAAGAATTCTCAGAAACTTCCTTGTGATGTGTGCATTCAACTCAGCGAGTGGCACCTTCCTTTGGATACAGCAGTTTTGAAACACTGTTTTTGTAGTATTTCCAAGCGGATATTTAGAGCGCCTTGAAGCCTATGCTAGAAATGGAAATATCTCCCCATAAAACCAAGACAGAAGCAATCTCAGAAACTAATGTGTGATGGCTGCATTCCACACACACGGTGGACCATTTCTCTTGATAGAGCAGTTTTGAAACACTCTTTCTGTAGAATCTGCAAGTGGATAATTGGACCTCCTAGAGGCCTTCGTTGGAAACGGGATTTCTTCATCTAAACCTACAGAGAAGAATTCTCAGTAACTTCTTCGGATGTGTGCATTCGACTCACAGAATGGAACATTCCCTTTGATAGAGCAGTTTTGAGACACCGTTTTTGTAGAATTCCCAAGTGGATATTTAGAGCACTTTGAAGTCTCTGCTAGAAAAGGAAACATCTTCATGTAAAAAGTAGATAGAATCGTTCTCAGAAAGTGCTTAGTGACGTGTGCGTTCAACTCACAGAGTTTAACGTTTCTTTTGATAGAGCGTTTCTGAAACACCCTTCTTGTAGTAGCTGCAAGTGGATATTTGGACCTATTTGAGGCCTTCTTTGGAAACGGGATTTCTTCATGTAACTCTAGATTGAAGAATTTTCAGAAACTCCTTTGTGATGTGTGCATTCAATTCAAAGAGTGAAACCTCCCTTTTCACAGAGCAGTTTTGAAACACTGTTTTTGTAGGATTTCCAAGGGGATATTTATAGCGCATTGAGCCTACGGCAGAAAAAGAAACATCTTCCTATAAAAACTAGACAGAATAATTCTCAGAATCTGCTTTGCGATGTGTGCGTTCAACCCACAGATTAAAACTTTTCTTTTGATAGAACAGTTTTGAAACACTCTTTTTGTAGTATTTGCATGTGTATATTGAGAGCGCATTGAAGCCCACAGTAGAAAAGGAAATAACTTCACCTAAAACCTAGACAGAAGCAATCTCAGAAACTACTTTGTGATGTGTACATTCAACTCACAGAGTGGAAATTTCCTCTTTATAGAGCAGTGTTGAAACACTCTTTTTGTAGAAACTGCAAGTGGATATTTGGACCTCTTTGAGGCCTTCGTTGGAAACGGGATTTCTTCCTATAACCCTAGACAGAAGAATTTTCAGAAACCTCATTGTGATGTGTGCGTTCATCTCACAGAGTGGAGTCTTCCGTTTGATAGAGAAGTTTTGAAACCCTGTTCTTGTAGGATTTCCAAGTGGATATTTAGACCACTTTGAAGCCTATGATAGAAAAGGAAACATCTTCATGGAAAACATAGATAGAATCATTCTCAGAAACAACTTTGTGATGTGTGTGTTGAACTCACCGTCTTTAACCTTTCTTTTGGTAGAGAAGTTTTGAAACACTCTCTTTGTAAAGTCTACAAGTGGATATTTTGAGCCCTTGGAGGCATTCTTTGGAAAAGGGAATGTCTTCACATAAAAGGCAGACAGAAGTGTTCTCAGAAACTGCTTTGTGATGTCTGTGTTCAACTCACAGAGTTTAACATTTCCTTTGAGAGAGCGGTTTAGTAACACTCTCTTTGTAGAATTTGGAAGTGTATACTAAGAGCGCTTTGAGGCCTATGGTAGAAAAGGAAATATCTTTCCATAAAAGCTAGACAGAAGCAATCTCAGAAACTCCTTTGTGATGTCTGCATTCAACTCACCGAGTGGAACATTCCTCTTGATAGAGCAGTTTGGAAACACTCTTTCTGTAGAATCAGCTTGTTTGTATTTGGACCTCCTTGAGGCCTTCGTTGGAAACGGGTTTTCATCTTATAAACCCAGACAGAAGAATTCTCAGAGTCTTCTTTGTGATGTGTGCTTTCAACTCACTGAGATAAAGATTTCTCTTGATAGAGCAATTTGGAAACACTCTTTTTGTAGAATTTGCAAGGGTACATTGAGAGCGCTTTCAGGCCTATGGTAGAAAAGGGAATATCTTTCCATAAAAGGTAGACAGAAGCAATCTCAGAAACTACTTTGTGATGTGTGCATTCAACTCACCGAGTGCAACATTCCTCTTGATAGAGCAGTTTGGAAACATTGTTTCTGTAGAATCTGCAAGTGGATATATGGACCGCTTTGAGGCCTTCGTTGGAAACGGGATTTCTTCCTATAAACCCAGACAGAAGAATTCTCAGAGATTTCTTTGTGATGTGTGAATTCAACTCACAGTGTGGATCCTTCCTTTTGATAGAGCAGTTTTGAAACACTGTTTTTGTAGTATTTCCAAGCGGATATTTGGAACGCCTTGAAGCGTATGGTAGAAAAGGAAATATCTTTCCATAAAACCTAGACAGAACCCATCTCAGAAACGACTTTGTGATGTCTGCATTGAACTCACAGAGTTGAACATTTCTCTTGATAGAGCAGTTTTGAAACCCTCTTTCTGAAGGATCTGCAAGTGGATATTTGGAACTCCTTTGGGTCTTCGTTGGAAACGGGATTTCTTCGTATAAATCCAGACAGAAGAATTCTCCGAAACTTCTTTGGTTGTGTGCATTCAAGTCACAGAGTGGAACCTTCCTTTGGATAGAGCAGTTTGAAACGCTGTGGTTGCAGTATTTCCAAGCGGATATTAGAGCGCCTTGAGGCCTATGGTAGAAAAGGAAATATCTTCCCATAAAACCTAGACGGAAGCAATCTCAGAAACTACTGTGTGATGGCTGCATTCCACACACACGGTGGAACATTTCTCTTGATAGAGCAGTTTTGAAACACTCTTTCTGTAGAATCTGCAAGTGGATAATTGGACCGCCTTGAGGCCTTCGTTGGAAACGGGATTTCTTCATGTTACTCTAGACAGAAGAATTCTCAAACACTGCTATGTGATGTTTGCATGCAAGTCACAGAGTGCAACATTCCTCTTGATAGAGCAGTTGGGAAACACTCCTTTTGTAGAATTTGCAATGGGATATTTGGACTTCTTTGAGGCCTTCGTTGGAAACGGGATTTCTTCATATGAATCTAGACAGAAGAATTCTCAGAAACTTCCTTGTGATGTGTGCATTCAACTCAGCGAGTGGCACCTTCCTTTGGATACAGCAGTTTTGAAACACTGTTTTTGTAGTATTTCCAAGCGGATATTTAGAGCGCCTTGAAGCCTATGCTAGAAATGGAAATATCTCCCCATAAAACCAAGACAGAAGCAATCTCAGAAACTAATGTGTGATGGCTGCATTCCACACACACGGTGGACCATTTCTCTTGATAGAGCAGTTTTGAAACACTCTTTCTGTAGAATCTGCAAGTGGATAATTGGACCTCCTAGAGGCCTTCGTTGGAAACGGGATTTCTTCATCTAAACCTACAGAGAAGAATTCTCAGTAACTTCTTCGGATGTGTGCATTCGACTCACAGAATGGAACATTCCCTTTGATAGAGCAGTTTTGAGACACCGTTTTTGTAGAATTCCCAAGTGGATATTTAGAGCACTTTGAAGTCTCTGCTAGAAAAGGAAACATCTTCATGTAAAAAGTAGATAGAATCGTTCTCAGAAAGTGCTTAGTGACGTGTGTGTTCAACTCACAGAGTTTAACGTTTCTTTTGATAGAGCGTTTCTGAAACACCCTGCTTGTAGTACCTGCAAGTGGATATTTGGACCTATTTGAGGCCTTCTTTGGAAACGGGATTTCTTCATGTAACTCTAGTTTGAAGAATTTTCAGAAACTCCTTTGTGATGTGTGCATTCAATTCAAAGAGTGAAACCTCCCTTTTCACAGAGCAGTTTTGAAATACTGTTTTTGTAGGATTTCCAAGGGGATATTTATAGCGCATTGAGCCTATGGCAGAAAAAGAAACATCTTCCTATAAAAACTAGACAGAATAATTCTCAGAATCTGCTTTGCGATGTGTGCGTTCAACCCACAGAGTAAAACTTTTCTTTTGATAGAGCAGTTTTGAAACACTCTTTTTGTAGTATTTGCATGTGTATATTTAGAGCGCATTGAAGCACACAGTAGAAAAGGAAATAACTTCACCTAAAACCTAGACAGAAGCAATCTCAGAAACTATTTTGTGATGTGTACATTCAACTCACAGAGTGGAACTTTCCTCTTTATAGAGCAGTGTTGAAACACTCTTTTTGTAGAAACTGCAAGTGGATATTTGGACCTCTTTGAGGCCTTCGTTGGAAACGGGATTTCTTCCTATAACCCTAGACAGAAGAATTTTCAGAAACCTCATTGTGATGTGTGCGTTCATCTCACAGAGTGGAGTCTTCCGTTTGATAGAGAAGTTTTGAAACCCTGTTCTTGTAGGATTTCCAAGTGGATATTTAGACCACTTTGAAGCCTATGATAGAAAAGGAAACATCTTCATGGAAAACATAGATAGAATCATTCTCAGAAACAACTTTGTGATGTGTGCGTTGAACTCACCGTCTTTAACCTTTCTTTTGGTAGAGAAGTTTTGAAACACTCTCTTTGTAAAGTCTACAAGTGGATATTTTGAGCCCTTGGAGGCATTCTTTGGAAAAGGGAATGTCTTCACATAAAAGGCAGACAGAAGTGTTCTCAGAAACTGCTTTGTGATGTCTGTGTTCAACTCACAGAGTTTAACATTTCCTTTGAGAGAGCGGTTTAGTAACACTCTCTTTGTAGAATTTGGAAGTGTATACTAAGAGCGCTTTGAGGCCTATGGTAGAAAAGGAAATATCTTTCCATAAAAGCTAGACAGAAGCAATCTCAGAAACTCCTTTGTGATGTCTGCATTCAACTCACCGAGTGGAACATTCCTCTTGATAGAGCAGTTTGGAAACACTCTTTCTGTAGAATCAGCTTGTTTGTATTTGGACCTCCTTGAGGCCTTCGTTGGAAACGGGTTTTCATCTTATAAACCCAGACAGAAGAATTCTCAGAGTCTTCTTTGTGATGTGTGCTTTCAACTCACCGAGATAAAGATTTCTCTTGATAGAGCAATTTGGAAACACTCTTTTTGTAGAATTTGCAAGGGTACATTGAGAGCGCTTTCAGGCCTATGGTAGAAAAGGGAATATCTTTCCATAAAAGGTAGACAGAAGCAATCTCAGAAACTACTTTGTGATGTGTGCATTCAACTCACCGAGTGCAACATTCCTCTTGATAGAGCAGTTTGGAAACATTGTTTCTGTAGAATCTGCAAGTGGATATATGGACCGCTTTGAGGCCTTCGTTGGAAACGGGATTTCTTCCTATAAACCCAGACAGAAGAATTCTCAGAGATTTCTTTGTGATGTGTGAATTCAACTCACAGTGTGGATCCTTCCTTTTGATAGAGCAGTTTTGAAACACTGTTTTTGTAGTATTTCCAAGCGGATATTTGGAACGCCTTGAAGCGTAAGGTAGAAAAGGAAATATCTTCCCATAAAACCTAGACAGAACCCATCTCAGAAACGACTTTGTGATGTCTGCATTCAACTCACAGAGTTGAACATTTCTCTTGATAGAGCAGTTTTGAAACCCTCTTTCTGAAGGAGCTGCAAGTGGATATTTGGAACTCCTTTGGGTCTTCGTTGGAAACGGGATTTCTTCGTATAAATCCAGACAGAAGAATTCTCCGAAACTTCTTTGGTTGTGTGCATTCAAGTCACAGAGTGGAACCTTCCTTTGGATAGAGCAGTTTGAAACGCTGTGGTTGTAGTATTTCCAAGCGGATATTAGAGCGCCTTGAAGCCTATGGTAGAAAAGGAAATATCTTCCCATAAAACCTAGACGGAAGCAATCTCAGAAACTACTGTGTGATGGCTGCATTCCACACACACGGTGGAACATTTCTCTTGATAGAGCAGTTTTGAAACACTCTTTCTGTAGAATCTGCAAGTGGATAATTGGACCGCCTTGAGGCCTTCGTTGGAAACGGGATTTCTTCATGTTACTCTAGACAGAAGAATTCTCAAACACTGCTATGTGATGTTTGCATGCAAGTCACAGAGTGCAACATTCCTCTTGATAGAGCAGTTGGGAAACACTCCTTTTGTAGAATTTGCAATGGGATATTTGGACTTCTTTGAGGCCTTCGTTGGAAACGGGATTTCTTCGTATGAATCTAGACAGAAGAATTCTCAGAAACTTCCTTGTGATGTGTGCATTCAACTCAGCGAGTGGCACCTTCCTTTGGATACAGCAGTTTTGAAACACTGTTTTTGTAGTATTTCCAAGCGGATATTTAGAGCGCCTTGAAGCCTATGCTAGAAATGGAAATATCTCCCCATAAAACCAAGACAGAAGCAATCTCAGAAACTAATGTGTGATGGCTGCATTCCACACACACGGTGGACCATTTCTCTTGATAGAGCAGTTTTGAAACACTCTTTCTGTAGAATCTGCAAGTGGATAATTGGACCTCCTAGAGGCCTTCGTTGGAAACGGGATTTCTTCATCTAAACCTACAGAGAAGAATTCTCAGTAACTTCTTCGGATGTGTGCATTCGACTCACAGAATGGAACATTCCCTTTGGTAGAGCAGTTTTGAGACACCGTTTTTGTAGAATTCCCAAGTGGATATTTAGAGCACTTTGAAGTCTCTGCTAGAAAAGGAAACATCTTCATGTAAAAAGTAGATAGAATCGTTCTCAGAAAGTGCTTAGTGACGTGTGCGTTCAACTCACAGAGTTTAACGTTTCTTTTGATAGAGCGTTTCTGAAACACCCTTCTTGTAGTAGCTGCAAGTGGATATTTGGACCTATTTGAGGCCTTCTTTGGAAACGGGATTTCTTCATGTAACTCTAGATTGAAGAATTTTCAGAAACTCCTTTGTGATGTGTGCATTCAATTCAAAGAGTGAAACCTCCCTTTTCATAGAGCAGTTTTGAAACACTGTTTTTGTAGGATTTCCAAGGGGATATTTATAGCGCATTGAGCCTATGGCAGAAAAAGAAACATACTTCGTATAAAAACTAGACAGAATAATTCTCAGAATCTGCTTTGCGATGTGTGCGTTCAACCCGCAGAGTAAAACTTTTCTTTTGATAGAGCAGTTTTGAAACACTCTTTTTGTAGTATTTGCATGTGTATATTTAGAGCGCATTGAAGCCCACAGTAGAAAAGGAAATAACTTCACCTAAAACCTAGACAGAAGCAATCTCAGAAACTACTTTGTGATGTGTACATTCAACTCACAGAGTGGAACTTTCCTCTTTATAGAGCAGTGTTGAAACACTCTTTTTGTAGAAACTGCAAGTGGATATTTGGACCTCTTTGAGGCCTTCGTTGGAAACGGGATTTCTTCCTATAACCCTAGACAGAAGAATTTTCAGAAACCTCATTGTGATGTGTGCGTTCATCTCACAGAGTGGAGTGTTCCGTTTGATAGAGAAGTTTTGAAACCCTGTTCTTGTAGGATTTCCAAGTGGATATTTAGACCACTTTGAAGCCTATGATAGAAAAGGAAACATCTTCATGGAAAACATAGATAGAATCATTCTCAGAAACAACTTTGTGATGTGTGCGTTGAACTCACCGTCTTTAACCTTTCTTTTGGTAGAGAAGTTTTGAAACACTCTCTTTGTAAAGTCTACAAGTGGATATTTTGAGCCCTTGGAGGCATTCTTTGGAAAAGGGAATGTCTTCACATAAAAGGCAGACAGAAGTGTTCTCAGAAACTGCTTTGTGATGTCTGTGTTCAACTCACAGAGTTTAACATTTCCTTTGAGAGAGCGGTTTAGTAACACTCTCTTTGTAGAATTTGGAAGTGTATACTAAGAGCGCTTTGAGGCCTATGGTAGAAAAGGAAATATCTTTCCATAAAAGCTAGACAGAAGCAATCTCAGAAACTCCTTTGTGATGTCTGCATTCAACTCACCGAGTGGAACATTCCTCTTGATAGAGCAGTTTGGAAACACTCTTTCTGTAGAATCAGCTTGTTTGTATTTGGACCTCCTTGAGGCCTTCGTTGGAAACGGGTTTTCATCTTATAAACCCAGACAGAAGAATTCTCAGAGTCTTCTTTGTGATGTGTGCTTTCAACTCACCGAGATAAAGATTTCTCTTGATAGAGCAATTTGGAAACACTCTTTTTGTAGAATTTGCAAGGGTACATTGAGAGCGCTTTCAGGCCTATGGTAGAAAAGGGAATATCTTTCCATAAAAGGTAGACAGAAGCAATCTCAGAAACTAATTTGTGATGTGTGCATTCAACTCACCGAGTGCAACATTCCTCTTGACCGAGCAGTTTGGAAACATTGTTTCTGTAGAATCTGCAAGTGGATATATGGACCGCTTTGAGGCCTTCGTTGGAAACGGGATTTCTTCCTATAAACCCAGACAGAAGAATTCTCAGAGATTTCTTTGTGATGTGTGAATTCAACTCACAGTGTGGATCCTTCCTTTTGATAGAGCAGTTTTGAAACACTGTTTTTGTAGTATTTCCAAGCGGATATTTGGAAAGCCTTGAAGCGTATGGTAGAAAAGGAAATATCTTCCCATAAAACCTAGACAGAACCCATCTCAGAAACGACTTTGTGATGTCTGCATTCAACTCACAGAGTTGAACATTTCTCTTGATAGAGCAGTTTTGAAACCCTCTTTCTGAAGGATCTGCAAGTGGATATTTGGAACTCCTTTGGGTCTTCGTTGGAAACGGGATTTCTTCGTATAAATCCAGACAGAAGAATTCTCCGAAACTTCTTTGGTTGTGTGCATTCAAGTCACAGAGTGGAACCTTCCTTTGGATAGAGCAGTTTGAAACGCTGTGGTTGTAGTATTTCCAAGCGGATATTAGAGCGCCTTGAGGCCTATGGTAGAAAAGGAAATATCTTCCCATAAAACCTAGACGGAAGCAATCTCAGAAACTACTGTGTGATGGCTGCATTCCACACACACGGTGGAACATTTCTCTTGATAGAGCAGTTTTGAAACACTCTTTCTGTAGAATCTGCAAGTGGATAATTGGACCGCCTTGAGGCCTTCGTTGGAAACGGGATTTCTTCATGTTACTCTAGACAGAAGAATTCTCAAACACTGCTGTGTGATGTTTGCATGCAAGTCACAGAGTGCAACATTCCTCTTGATAGAGCAGTTGGGAAACACTCCTTTTGTAGAATTTGCAATGGGATATTTGGACTTCTTTGAGGCCTTCGTTGGAAACGGGATTTCTTCGTATGAATCTAGACAGAAGAATTCTCAGAAACTTCCTTGTGATGTGTGCATTCAACTCAGCGAGTGGCACCTTCCTTTGGATACAGCAGTTTTGAAACACTGTTTTTGTAGTATTTCCAAGCGGATATTTAGAGCGCCTTGAAGCCTATGCTAGAAATGGAAATATCTCCCCATAAAACCAAGACAGAAGCAATCTCAGAAACTAATGTGTGATGGCTGCATTCCACACACACGGTGGACCATTTCTCTTGATAGAGCAGTTTTGAAACACTCTTTCTGTAGAATCTGCAAGTGGATAATTGGACCTCCTAGAGGCCTTCGTTGGAAACGGGATTTCTTCATCTAAACCTACAGAGAAGAATTCTCAGTAACTTCTTCGGATGTGTGCATTCGACTCACAGAATGGAACATTCCGTTTGATAGAGCAGTTTTGAGACACCGTTTTTGTAGAATTCCCAAGTGGATATTTAGAGCACTTTGAAGTCTCTGCTAGAAAAGGAAACATCTTCATGTAAAAAGTAGATACAATCGTTCTCAGAAAGTGCTTAGTGACGTGTGTGTTCAACTCACAGAGTTTAACGTTTCTTTTGATAGAGCGTTTCTGAAACACCCTTCTTGTAGTAGCTGCAAGTGGATATTTGGACCTATTTGAGGCCTTCTTTGGAAACGGGATTTCTTCATGTAACTCTAGATTGAAGAATTTTCAGAAACTCCTTTGTGATGTGTGCATTCAATTCAAAGAGTGAAACCTCCCTTTTCACAGAGCAGTTTTGAAACACTGTTTTTGTAGGACTTCCAAGGGGATATTTATAGCGCATTGATCCTATGGCAGAAAAAGAAACATCTTCCTATAAAAACTAGACAGAATAATTCTCAGAATCTGCTTTGCGATGTGTGCGTTCAACCCACAGAGTAAAACTTTTCTTTTGATAGAGCAGTTTTGAAACACTCTTTTTGTAGTATTTGCATGTGTATATTTAGAGCGCATTGAAGCCCACAGTAGAAAAGGAAATAACTTCACCTAAAACCTAGACAGAAGCAATCTCAGAAACTACTTTGTGATGTGTACATTCAACTCACAGAGTGGAACTTTCCTCTTTATAGAGCAGTGTTGAAACACTCTTTTTGTAGAAACTGCAAGTGGATATTTGGACCTCTTTGAGGCCTTCGTTGGAAACGGGATTTCTTCCTATAACCCTAGACAGAAGAATTTTCAGAAACCTCATTGTGATGTGTGCGTTCATCTCACAGAGTGGAGTGTTCCGTTTGATAGAGAAGTTTTGAAACCCTGTTCTTGTAGGATTTCCAAGTGGATATTTAGACCACTTTGAAGCCTATGATAGAAAAGGAAACATCTTCATGGAAAACATAGATAGAATCATTCTCAGAAACAACTTTGTGATGTGTGCGTTGAACTCACCGTCTTTAACCTTTCTTTTGGTAGAGAAGTTTTGAAACACTCTCTTTGTAAAGTCTACGAGTGGATATTTTGAGCCCTTGGAGGCATTCTTTGGAAAAGGGAATGTCTTCACATAAAAGGCAGACAGAAGTGTTCTCAGAAACTGCTTTGTGATGTCTGTGTTCAACTCACAGAGTTTAACATTTCCTTTGAGAGAGCGGTTTAGTAACACTCTCTTTGTAGAATTTGGAAGTGTATACTAAGAGCACTTGGAGGCCTATGGTAGAAAAGGAAATATCTTTCCATAAAAGCTAGACAGAAGCAATCTCAGAAACTCCTTTGTGATGTCTGCATTCAGCTCACCGAGTGGAACATTCCTCTTGATAGAGCAGTTTGGAAACACTCTTTCTGTAGAATCAGCTTGTTTGTATTTGGACCTCCTTGAGGCCTTCGTTGGAAACGGGTTTTCATCTTATAAACCCAGACAGAAGAATTCTCAGAGTCTTCTTTGTGATGTGTGCTTTCAACTCACCGAGATAAAGATTTCTCTTGATAGAGCAATTTGGAAACACTCTTTTTGTAGAATTTGCAAGGGTACATTGAGAGCGCTTTCAGGCCTATGGTAGAAAAGGGAATATCTTTCCATAAAAGGTAGACAGAAGCAATCTCAGAAACTACTTTGTGATGTGTGCATTCAACTCCCCGAGTGCAACATTCCTCTTGATAGAGCAGTTTGGAAACATTGTTTCTGTAGAATCTGCAAGTGGATATATGGACCGCTTTGAGGCCTTCGTTGGAAACGGGATTTCTTCCTATAAACCCAGACAGAAGAATTCTCAGAGATTTCTTTGTGATGTGTGAATTCAACTCACAGTGTGGATCCTTCCTTTTGATAGAGCAGTTTTGAAACACTGTTTTTGTAGTATTTCCAAGCGGATATTTGGAACGCCTTGAATCGTATGGTAGAAAAGGAAATATCTTCCCATAAAACCTAGACAGAACCCATCTCAGAAACGACTTTGTGATGTCTGCATTGAACTCACAGAGTTGAACATTTCTCTTGATAGAGCAGTTTTGAAACCCTCTTTCTGAAGGATCTGCAAGTGGATATTTGGAACTCCTTTGGGTCTTCGTTGGAAACGGGATTTCTTCGTATAAATCCAGACAGAAGAATTCTCCGAAACTTCTTTGGTTGTGTGCATTCAAGTCACAGAGTGGAACCTTCCTTTGGATAGAGCAGTTTGAAACGCTGTGGTTGTAGTATTTCCAAGCGGATATTAGAGCGCCTTGAGGCCTATGGTAGAAAAGGAAATATCTTCCCATAAAACCTAGACGGAAGCAATCTCAGAAACTACTGTGTGATGGCTGCATTCCACACACACGGTGGAACATTTCTCTTGATAGAGCAGTTTTGAAACACTCTTTCTGTAGAATCTGCAAGTGGATAATTGGACCGCCTTGAGGCCTTCGTTGGAAACGGGATTTCTTCATGTTACTCTAGATAGAAGAATTCTCAAACACTGCTGTGTGATGTTTGCATGCAAGTCACAGAGTGCAACATTCCTCTTGATAGAGCAGTTGGGAAACACTCCTTTTGTAGAATTTGCAATGGGATATTTGGACTTCTTTGAGGCCTTCGTTGGAAACGGGATTTCTTCGTATGAATCTAGACAGAAGAATTCTCAGAAACTTCCTTGTGATGTGTGCATTCAACTCAGCGAGTGGCACCTTCCTTTGGATACAGCAGTTTTGAAACACTGTTTTTGTAGTATTTCCAAGCGGATATTTAGAGCGCCTTGAAGCCTATGCTAGAAATGGAAATATCTCCCCATAAAACCAAGACAGAAGCAATCTCAGAAACTAATGTGTGATGGCTGCATTCCACACACACGGTGGACCATTTCTCTTGATAGAGCAGTTTTGAAACACTCTTTCTGTAGAATCTGCAAGTGGATAATTGGACCTCCTAGAGGCCTTCGTTGGAAACGGGATTTCTTCATCTAAACCTACAGAGAAGAATTCTCAGTAACTTCTTCGGATGTGTGCATTCGACTCACAGAATGGAACATTCCCTTTGATAGAGCAGTTTTGAGACACCGTTTTTGTAGAATTCCCAAGTGGATATTTAGAGCACTTTGAAGTCTCTGCTAGAAAAGGAAACATCTTCATGTAAAAAGTAGATAGAATCGTTCTCAGAAAGTGCTTAGTGACGTGTGTGTTCAACTCACAGAGTTTATCGTTTCTTTTGATAGAGCGTTTCTGAAACACCCTTCTTGTAGTAGCTGCAAGTGGATATTTGGACCTATTTGAGGCCTTCTTTGGAAACGGGATTTCTTCATGTAACTCTAGATTGAAGAATTTTCAGAAACTCCTTTGTGATGTGTGCATTCAATTCAAAGAGTGAAACCTCCCTTTTCACAGAGCAGTTTTGAAACACTGTTTTTGTAGGATTTCCAAGGGGATATTTATAGCGCATTGATCCTATGGCAGAAAAAGAAACATCTTCCTATAAAAACTAGACAGAATAATTCTCAGAATCTGCTTTGCGATGTGTGCGTTCAACTCACAGAGTAAAACTTTTCTTTTGATAGAGCAGTTTTGAAACACTCTTTTTGTAGTATTTGCATGTGTATATTTAGAGCGCATTGAAGCCCACAGTAGAAAAGGAAATAACTTCACCTAAAACCTAGACAGAAGCAATCTCAGAAACTACTTTGTGATGTGTACATTCAACTCACAGAGTGGAACTTTCCTCTTTATAGAGCAGTGTTGAAACACTCTTTTTGTAGAAACTGCAAGTGGATATTTGGACCTCTTTGAGGCCTTCGTTGGAAACGGGATTTCTTCCTATAACCCTAGACAGAAGAATTTTCAGAAACCTCATTGTGATGTGTGCGTTCATCTCACAGAGTGGAGTCTTCCGTTTGATAGAGAAGTTTTGAAACCCTGTTCTTGTAGGATTTCCAAGTGGATATTTAGACCACTTTGAAGCCTATGATAGAAAAGGAAACATCTTTCATGGAAAACATAGATAGAATCATTCTCAGAAACAACTTTGTGATGTGTGCGTTGAACTCACCGTCTTTAACCTTTCTTTTGGTAGAGAAGTTTTGAAACACTCTCTTTGTAAAGTCTACAAGTGGATATTTTGAGCCCTTGGAGGCATTCTTTGGAAAAGGGAATGTCTTCACATAAAAGGCAGACAGAAGTGTTCTCAGAAACTGCTTTGTGATGTCTGTGTTCAACTCACAGAGTTTAACATTTCCTTTGAGAGAGCGGTTTAGTAACACTCTCTTTGTAGAATTTGGAAGTGTATACTAAGAGCGCTTTGAGGCCTATGGTAGAAAAGGAATTATCTTTCCATAAAAGCTAGACAGAAGCAATCTCAGAAACTCCTTTGTGATGTCTGCATTCAACTCACCGAGTGGAACATTCCTCTTGATAGAGCAGTTTGGAAACACTCTTTCTGTAGAATCAGCTTGTTTGTATTTGGACCTCCTTGAGGCCTTCGTTGGAAACGGGTTTTCATCTTATAAACCCAGACAGAAGAATTCTCAGAGTCTTCTTTGTGATGTGTGCTTTCAACTCACCGAGATAAAGATTTCTCTTGATAGAGCAATTTGGAAACACTCTTTTTGTAGAATTTGCAAGGGTACATTGAGAGCGCTTTCAGGCCTATGGTAGAAAAGGGAATATCTTTCCATAAAAGGTAGACAGAAGCAATCTCAGAAACTACTTTGTGATGTGTGCATTCAACTCACCGAGTGCAACATTCCTCTTGACCGAGCAGTTTGGAAACATTGTTTCTGTAGAATCTGCAAGTGGATATTTGGACCTCTTTGAGGCCTTCGTTGGAAACGGGATTTCTTCCTATAAACCCAGACAGAAGAATTCTCAGAGACTTCTTTGTGATGTGTGAATTCAACTCACAGTGTGGATCCTTCCTTTTGATAGAGCAGTTTTGAAACACTGTTTTTGTAGTATTTCCAAGCGGATATTTGGAACGCCTTGAAGCGTATGGTAGAAAAGGAAATATCTTCCCATAAAACCTAGACAGAACCAATCTCAGAAACGACTTTGTGATGTCTGCATTCAACTCACAGAGTTGAACATTTCTCTTGATAGAGCAGTTTTGAAACCCTCTTTCTGAAGGATCTGCAAGTGGATATTTGGAACTCCTTTGGGTCTTCGTTGGAAACGGGATTTCTTCGTATAAATCTAGACAGAAGAATTCTCCGAAACTTCTTTGGTTGTGTGCATTCAACTCACAGAGTGGAACCTTCCTTTGGATAGAGCAGTTTGAAACGCTGTGGTTGTAGTATTTCCAAGCGGATATTAGAGCGCCTTGAGGCCTATGGTAGAAAAGGAAATATCTTCCCATAAAACCTAGACGGAAGCAATCTCAGAAACTACTGTGTGATGGCTGCATTCCACACACACGGTGGAACATTTCTCTTGATAGAGCAGTTTTGAAACACTCTTTCTGTAGAATCTGCAAGTGGATAATTGGACCGCCTTGAGGCCTTCGTTGGAAACGGGATTTCTTCATGTTACTCTAGACAGAAGAATTCTCAAACACTGCTGTGTGATGTTTGCATGCAAGTCACAGAGTGCAACATTCCTCTTGATAGAGCAGTTGGGAAACACTCCTTTTGTAGAATTTGCAATGGGATATTTGGACTTCTTTGAGGCCTTCGTTGGAAACGGGATTTCTTCGTATGAATCTAGACAGAAGAATTCTCAGAAACTTCCTTGTGATGTGTGCATTCAACTCAGCGAGTGGCACCTTCCTTTGGATACAGCAGTTTTGAAACACTGTTTTTGTAGTATTTCCAAGCGGATATTTAGAGCGCCTTGAAGCCTATGCTAGAAATGGAAATATCTCCCCATAAAACCAAGACAGAAGCAATCTCAGAAACTAATGTGTGATGGCTGCATTCCACACACACGGTGGACCATTTCTCTTGATAGAGCAGTTTTGAAACACTCTTTCTGTAGAATCTGCAAGTGGATAATTGGACCTCCTAGAGGCCTTCGTTGGAAACGGGATTTCTTCATCTAAACCTACAGAGAAGAATTCTCAGTAACTTCTTCGGATGTGTGCATTCGACTCACAGAATGGAACATTCCCTTTGATAGAGCAGTTTTGAGACACCGTTTTTGTAGAATTCCCAAGTGGATATTTAGAGCACTTTGAAGTCTCTGCTAGAAAAGGAAACATCTTCATGTAAAAAGTAGATAGAATCGTTCTCAGAAAGTGCTTAGTGACGTGTGTGTTCAACTCACAGAGTTTAACGTTTCTTTTGATAGAGCGTTTCTGAAACACCCTTCTTGTAGTAGCTGCAAGTGGATATTTGGACCTATTTGAGGCCTTCTTTGGAAACGGGATTTCTTCATGTAACTCTAGATTGAAGAATTTTCAGAAACTCCTTTGTGATGTGTGCATTCAATTCAAAGAGTGAAACCTCCCTTTTCACAGAGCAGTTTTGAAACACTGTTTTTGTAGGATTTCCAAGGGGATATTTATAGCGCATTGAGCCTACGGCAGAAAAAGAAACATCTTCCTATAAAAACTAGACAGAATAATTCTCAGAATCTGCTTTGCGATGTGTGCGTTCAACTCACAGAGTAAAACTTTTCTTTTGATAGAGCAGTTTTGAAACACTCTTTTTGTAGTATTTGCATGTGTATATTTAGAGCGCATTGAAGCCCACAGTAGAAAAGGAAATAACTTCACCTAAAACCTAGACAGAAGCAATCTCAGAAACTACTTTGTGATGTGTACATTCAACTCACAGAGTGGAACTTTTCTCTTTATAGAGCAGTGTTGAAACACTCTTTTTGTAGAAACTGCAAGTGGATATTTGGACCTCTTTGAGGCCTTCGTTGGAAACGGGATTTCTTCCTATAACCCTAGACAGAAGAATTTTCAGAAACCTCATTGTGATGTGTGCGTTCATCTCACAGAGTGGAGTCTTCCGTTTGATAGAGAAGTTTTGAAACCCTGTTCTTGTAGGATTTCCAAGTGGATATTTAGACCACTTTGAAGCCTATGATAGAAAAGGAAACATCTTCATGGAAAACATAGATAGAATCATTCTCAGAAACAACTTTGTGATGTGTGCGTTGAACTCACCGTCTTTAACCTTTCTTTTGGTAGAGAAGTTTTGAAACACTCTCTTTGTAAAGTCTACAAGTGGATATTTTGAGCCCTTGGAGGCATTCTTTGGAAAAGGGAATGTCTTCACATAAAAGGCAGACAGAAGTGTTCTCAGAAACTGCTTTGTGATGTCTGTGTTCAACTCACAGAGTTTAACATTTCCTTTGAGAGAGCGGTTTAGTAACACTCTCTTTGTAGAATTTGGAAGTGTATACCAAGAGCGCTTTGAGGCCTATGGTAGAAAAGGAAATATCTTTCCATAAAAGCTAGACAGAAGCAATCTCAGAAACTCCTTTGTGATGTCTGCATTCAACTCACCGAGTGGAACATTCCTCTTGATAGAGCAGTTTGGAAACACTCTTTCTGTAGAATCAGCTTGTTTGTATTTGGACCTCCTTGAGGCCTTCGTTGGAAACGGGTTTTCATCTTATAAACCCAGACAGAAGAATTCTCAGAGTCTTCTTTGTGATGTGTGCTTTCAACTCACCGAGATAAAGATTTCTCTTGATAGAGCAATTTGGAAACACTCTTTTTGTAGAATTTGCAAGGGTACATTGAGAGCGCTTTCAGGCCTATGGTAGAAAAGGGAATATCTTTCCATAAAAGGTAGACAGAAGCAATCTCAGAAACTACTTTGTGATGTGTGCATTCAACTCACCGAGTGCAACATTCCTCTTGATAGAGCAGTTTGGAAACATTGTTTCTGTAGAATCTGCAAGTGGATATATGGACCGCTTTGAGGCCTTCGTTGGAAACGGGATTTCTTCCTATAAACCCAGACAGAAGAATTCTCAGAGATTTCTTTGTGATGTGTGAATTCAACTCACAGTGTGGATACTTCCTTTTGATAGAGCAGTTTTGAAACACCGTTTTTGTAATATTTCCAAGCGGATATTTGGAACGCCTTGAAGCGTATGGTAGAAAAGGAAATATCTTCCCATAAAACCTAGACAGAACCCATCTCAGAAACGACTTTGTGATGTCTGCATTCAACTCACAGAGTTGAACATTTCTCTCGATAGAGCAGTTTTGAAACCCTCTTTCTGAAGGATCTGCAAGTGGATATTTGGAACTCCTTTGGGTCTTCGTTGGAAACGGGATTTCTTCGTATAAATCTAGACAGAAGAATTCTCCGAAACTTCTTTGGTTGTGTGCATTCAAGTCACAGAGTGGAACCTTCCTTTGGATAGAGCAGTTTGAAACGCTGTGGTTGTAGTATTTCCAAGCGGATATTAGAGCGCCCTGAAGCCTATGGTAGAAAAGGAAATATCTTCCCATAAAACCTAGACGGAAGCAATCTCAGAAACTACTGTGTGATGGCTGCATTCCACACACACGGTGGAACATTTCTCTTGATAGAGCAGTTTTGAAACACTCTTTCTGTAGAATCTGCAAGTGGATAATTGGACCGCCTTGAGGCCTTCGTTGGAAACGGGATTTCTTCATGTTACTCTAGACAGAAGAATTCTCAAACACTGCTATGTGATGTTTGCATTCAAGTCACAGAGTGCAACATTCCTCTTGATAGAGCAGTTGGGAAACACTCCTTTTGTAGAATTTGCAATGGGATATTTGGACTTCTTTGAGGCCTTCGTTGGAAACGGGTTTTCGTCGTATGAATCTAGACAGAAGAATTCTCAGAAACTTCCTTGTGATGTGTGCATTCAACTCATCGAGTGGCACCTTCCTTTTGATACAGCAGTTTTGAAACACTGTTTTTGTAGTATTTCCAAGCGGATATTTAGAGCGCCTTGAAGCCTATGCTAGAAATGGAAATATCTCCCCATAAAACCAAGACAGAAGCAATCTCAGAAACTAATGTGTGATGGCTGCATTCCACACACACGGTGGACCATTTCTCTTGATAGAGCAGTTTTGAAACACTCTTTCTGTAGAATCTGCAAGTGGATAATAGGACCTCCTAGAGGCCTTCGTTGGAAACGGATTTCTTCATCTAAACCTACAGAGAAGAATTCTCAGTAACTTCTTCGGATGTGTGCATTCGACTCACAGAATGGAACATTCCGTTTGATAGAGCAGTTTTGAGACACCGTTTTTGTAGAATTCCCAAGTGGATATTTAGAGCACTTTGAAGTCTCTGCTAGAAAAGGAAACATCTTCATGTAAAAAGTAGATAGAATCGTTCTCAGAAAGTGCTTAGTGACGTGTGTGTTCAACTCACAGAGTTTAACGTTTCTTTTGATAGAGCGTTTCTGAAACACCCTGCTTGTAGTAGCTGCAAGTGGATATTTGGACCTATTTGAGGCCTTCTTTGGAAACGGGATTTCTTCATGTAACTCTAGTTTGAAGAATTCTCAGAAACTCCTTTGTGATGTGTGCATTCAATTCAAAGAGTGAAACCTCCCTTTTCACAGAGCAGTTTTGAAACTCTGTTGTTGTAGGATTTCCAAGGGGATATTTCTAGCGCATTGAGCCTACGGCAGAAAAAGAAACACCTTCCTATAAAAACTAGACAGAATAATTCTCAGCAATCTGCTTTGCGATGTGTGCGTTCAACCCACAGAGTAAAACTTTTCTTTTGATAGAGCAGTTTTGAAACACTCTTTTTGTAGTATTTGCATGTGTATATTTAGAGCGCATTGAAGCCCACAGTAGAAAAGGAAATAACTTCACCTAAAACCTAGACAGAAGCAATCTCAGAAACTACTTTGTGATGTGTACATTCAACTCACAGAGTGGAACTTTCCTCTTTATAGAGCAGTGTTGAAACACTCTTTTTGTAGAAACTGCAAGTGGATATTTAGACCTCTTTGAGGCCTTCGTTGGAAACGGGATTTCTTCCTATAACCCTAGACAGAAGAATTTTCAGAAACCTCATTGTGATGTGTGCGTTCATCTCACAGAGTGGAGTGTTCCGTTTGATAGAGAAGTTTTGAAACCCTGTTCTTGTAGGATTTCCAAGTGGATATTTAGACCACTTTGAAGCCTATGATAGAAAAGGAAACATCTTCATGGAAAACATAGATAGAATCATTCTCAGAAACAACTTTGTGATGTGTGCGTTGAACTCACCGTCTTTAACCTTTCTTTTGGTAGAGAAGTTTTGAAACACTCTCTTTGTAAAGTCTACGAGTGGATATTTTGAGCCCTTGGAGGCATTCTTTGGAAAAGGGAATGTCTTCACATAAAAGGCAGACAGAAGTGTTCTCAGAAACTGCTTTGTGATGTCTGTGTTCAACTCACAGAGTTTAACATTTCCTTTGAGAGAGCGGTTTAGTAACACTCTCTTTGTAGAATTTGGAAGTGTATACTAAGAGCGCTTTGAGGCCTATGGTAGAAAAGGAAATATCTTTCCATAAAAGCTAGACAGAAGCAATCTCAGAAACTCCTTTGTGATGTCTGCATTCAACTCACCGAGTGGAACATTCCTCTTGATAGTGCAGTTTGGAAACACTCTTTCTGTAGAATCAGCTTGTTTGTATTTGGACCTCCTTGAGGCCTTCGTTGGAAACGGGTTTTCATCTTATAAACCCAGACAGAAGAATTCTCAGAGTCTTCTTTGTGATGTGTGCTTTCAACTCACCGAGATAAAGATTTCTCTTGATAGAGCAATTTGGAAACACTCTTTTTGTAGAATTTGCAAGGGTACATTGAGAGCGCTTTCAGGCCTATGGTAGAAAAGGGAATATCTTTCCATAAAAGGTAGACAGAAGCAATCTCAGAAACTACTTTGTGATGTGTGCATTCAACTCACCGAGTGCAACATTCCTCTTGACCGAGCAGTTTGGAAACATTGTTTCTGTAGAATCTGCAAGTGGATATTTGGACCTCTTTGAGGCCTTCGTTGGAAACGGGATTTCTTCCTATAAACCCAGACAGAAGAATTCTCAGAGACTTCTTTGTGATGTGTGAATTCAACTCACAGTGTGGATCCTTCCTTTTGATAGAGCAGTTTTGAAACACTGTTTTTGTAGTATTTCCAAGCGGATATTTGGAACGCCTTGAAGCGTATGGTAGAAAAGGAAATATCTTCCCATAAAACCTAGACAGAACCAATCTCAGAAACGACTTTGTGATGTCTGCATTCAACTCACAGAGTTGAACATTTCTCTTGATAGAGCAGTTTTGAAACCCTCTTTCTGAAGGATCTGCAAGTGGATATTTGGAACTCCTTTGGGTCTTCGTTGGAAACGGGATTTCTTCGTATAAATCTAGACAGAAGAATTCTCCGAAACTTCTTTGGTTGTGTGCATTCAAGTCACAGAGTGGAACCTTCCTTTGGATAGAGCAGTTTGAAACGCTGTGGTTGTAGTATTTCCAAGCGGATATTAGAGCGCCTTGAGGCCTATGGTAGAAAAGGAAATATCTTCCCATAAAACCTAGACGGAAGCAATCTCAGAAACTACTGTGTGATGGCTGCATTCCACACACACGGTGGAACATTTCTCTTGATAGAGCAGTTTTGAAACACTCTTTCTGTAGAATCTGCAAGTGGATAATTGGACCACCTTGAGGCCTTCGTTGGAAACGGGATTTCTTCATGTTACTCTAGACAGAAGAATTCTCAAACACTGCTATGTGATGTTTGCATGCAAGTCACAGAGTGCAACATTCCTCTTGATAGAGCAGTTGGGAAACACTCCTTTTGTAGAATTTGCAATGGGATATTTGGACTTCTTTGAGGCCTTCATTGGAAACGGGATTTCTTCGTATGAATCTAGACAGAAGAATTCTCAGAAACTTCCTTGTGATGTGTGCATTCAACTCAGCGAGTGGCACCTTCCTTTGGATACAGCAGTTTTGAAACACTGTTTTTGTAGTATTTCCAAGCGGATATTTAGAGCGCCTTGAAGCCTATGCTAGAAATGGAAATATCTCCCCATAAAACCAAGACAGAAGCAATCTCAGAAACTAATGTGTGATGGCTGCATTCCACACACACGGTGGACCATTTCTCTTGATAGAGCAGTTTTGAAACACTCTTTCTGTAGAATCTGCAAGTGGATAATTGGACCTCCTAGAGGCCTTCGTTGGAAACGGGATTTCTTCATCTAAACCTACAGAGAAGAATTCTCAGTAACTTCTTCGGATGTGTGCTTTCGACTCACAGAATGGAACATTCCGTTTGATAGAGCAGTTTTGAGACACCGTTTTTGTAGAATTCCCAAGTGGATATTTAGAGCACTTTGAAGTCTCTGCTAGAAAAGGAAACATCTTCATGTAAAAAGTAGATAGAATCGTTCTCAGAAAGCGCTTAGTGACGTGTGCGTTCAACTCACAGAGTTTAACAGTTTCTTTTGATAGAGCGTTTCTGAAACACCCTTCTTGTAGTAGCTGCAAGTGGATATTTGGACCTATTTGAGGCCTTCTTTGGAAACGGGATTTCTTCATGTAACTCTAGTTTGAAGAATTTTCAGAAACTCCTTTGTGATGTGTGCATTCAATTCAAAGAGTGAAACGTCCCTTTTCACAGAGCAGTTTTGAAACACTGTTTTTGTAGGATTTCCAAGGGGATATTTATAGCGCATTGATCCTATGGCAGAAAAAGAAACATCTTCCTATAAAAACTAGACAGAATAATTCTCAGAATCTGCTTTGCGATGTGTGCGTTCAACTCACAGAGTAAAACTTTTCTTTTGATAGAGCAGTTTTGAAACACTCTTTTTGTAGTATTTGCATGTGTATATTTAGAGCGCATTGAAGCCCACAGTAGAAAAGGAAATAACTTCACCTAAAACCTAGACAGAAGCAATCTCAGAAACTACTTTGTGATGTGTACATTCAACTCACAGAGTGGAACTTTCCTCTTTATAGAGCAGTGTTGAAACACTCTTTTTGTAGAAACTGCAAGTGGATATTTGGACCTCTTTGAGGCCTTCGTTGGAAACGGGATTTCTTCCTATAACCCTAGACAGAAGAATTTTCAGAAACCTCATTGTGATGTGTGCGTTCATCTCACAGAGTGGAGTCTTCCGTTTGATAGAGAAGTTTTGAAACCCTGTTCTTGTAGGATTTCCAAGTGGATATTTAGACCACTTTGAAGCCTATGATAGAAAAGGAAACATCTTCATGGAAAACATAGATAGAATCATTCTCAGAAACAACTTTGTGATGTGTGCGTTGAACTCACCGTCTTTAACCTTTCTTTTGGTAGAGAAGTTTTGAAACACTCTCTTTGTAAAGTCTACAAGTGGATATTTTGAGCCCTTGGAGGCATTCTTTGGAAAAGGGAATGTCTTCACATAAAAGGCAGACAGAAGTGTTCTCAGAAACTGCTTTGTGATGTCTGTGTTCAACTAACAGAGTGTAACATTTCCTTTGAGAGAGCGGTTTAGTAACACTCTCTTTGTAGAATTTGGAAGTGTATACTAAGAGCGCTTTGAGGCCTATGGTAGAAAAGGAAATATCTTTCCATAAAAGCTAGACAGAAGCAATCTCAGAAACTCCTTTGTGATGTCTGCATTCAACTCACCGAGTGGAATATTCCTCTTGATAGAGCAGTTTGGAAACACTCTTTCTGTAGAATCAGCTTGTTTGTATTTGGACCTCCTTGAGGCCTTCGTTGGAAACGGGTTTTCATCTTATAAACCCAGACAGAAGAATTCTCAGAGTCTTCTTTGTGATGTGTGCTTTCAACTCACCGAGATAAAGATTTCTCTTGATAGAGCAATTTGGAAACACTCTTTTTGTAGAATTTGCAAGGGTACATTGAGAGCGCTTTCAGGCCTATGGTAGAAAAGGGAATATCTTTCCATAAAAGGTAGACAGAAGCAATCTCAGAAACTACTTTGTGATGTGTGCATTCAACTCACCGAGTGCAACATTCCTCTTGACCGAGCAGTTTGGAAACATTGTTTCTGTAGAATCTGCAAGTGGATATATGGACCTTCTTTGAGGCCTTCGTTGGAAACGGGATTTCTTCCTATAAACCCAGACAGAAGAATTCTCAGAGACTTCTTTGTGATGTGTGAATTCAACTCACAGTGTGGATCCTTCCTTTTGATAGAGCAGTTTTGAAACACTGTTTTTGTAGTATTTCCAAGCGGATATTTGGAACGCCTTGAAGCGTATGGTAGAAAAGGAAATATCTTCCCATAAAACCTAGACAGAACCCATCTCAGAAACGACTTTGTGATGTCTGCATTCAACTCACAGAGTTCAACATTTCTCTTGATAGAGCAGTTTTGAAACCCTCTTTCTGAAGGATCTGCAAGTGGATATTTGGAACTCCTTTGGGTCTTCGTTGGAAACGGGATTTCTTCGTATAAATCCAGACAGAAGAATTCTCCGAAACTTCTTTGGTTGTGTGCATTCAAGTCACAGAGTGGAACCTTCCTTTGGATAGAGCAGTTTGAAACGCAGTGGTTGTAGTATTTCCAAGCGGATATTAGAGCGCCTTGAGGCCTATGGTAGAAAAGGAAATATCTTCCCATAAAACCTAGACGGAAGCAATCTCAGAAACTACTGTGTGATGGCTGCATTCCACACACACGGTGGAACATTTCTCTTGATAGAGCAGTTTTGAAACACTCTTTCTGTAGAATCTGCAAGTGGATAATTGGACCGCCTTGAGGCCTTCGTTGGAAACGGGATTTCTTCATGTTACTCTAGACAGAAGAATTCTCAAACACTGCTATGTGATGTTTGCATGCAAGTCACAGAGTGCAACATTCCTCTTGATAGAGCAGTTGGGAAACACTCCTTTTGTAGAATTTGCAATGGGATATTTGGACTTCTTTGAGGCCTTCGTTGGAAACGGGATTTCTTCATATGAATCTAGACAGAAGAATTCTCAGAAACTTCCTTGTGATGTGTGCATTCAACTCAGCGAGTGGCACCTTCCTTTGGATACAGCAGTTTTGAAACACTGTTTTTGTAGTATTTCCAAGCGGATATTTAGAGCGCCTTGAAGCCTATGCTAGAAATGGAAATATCTCCCCATAAAACCAAGACAGAAGCAATCTCAGAAACTAATGTGTGATGGCTGCATTCCACACACACGGTGGACCATTTCTCTTGATAGAGCAGTTTTGAAACACTCTTTCTGTAGAATCTGCAAGTGGATAATTGGACCTCCTAGAGGCCTTCGTTGGAAACGGGATTTCTTCATCTAAACCTACAGAGAAGAATTCTCAGTAACTTCTTCGGATGTGTGCATTCGACTCACAGAATGGAACATTCCGTTTGATAGAGCAGTTTTGAGACACCGATTTGTAGAATTCCCAAGTGGATATTTAGAGCACTTTGAAGTCTCTGCTAGAAAAGGAAACATCTTCATGTAAAAAGTAGATAGAATCGTTCTCAGAAAGTGCTTAGTGACGTGTGTGTTCAACTCACAGAGTTTAACGTTTCTTTTGATAGAGCGTTTCTGAAACACCCTTCTTGTAGTAGCTGCAAGTGGATATTTGGACCTATTTGAGGCCTTCTTTGGAAACGGGATTTCTTCATGTAACTCTAGATTGAAGAATTTTCAGAAACTCCTTTGTGATGTGTGCATTCAATTCAAAGAGTGAAACGTCCCTTTTCACAGAGCAGTTTTGAAACACTCTTTTTGTAGGATTTCCAAGGGGATATTTATAGCGCATTGATCCTATGGCAGAAAAAGAAACATCTTCCTATAAAAACTAGACAGAATAATTCTCAGAATCTGCTTTGTGATGTGTGCGTTCAACTCACAGAGTAAAACTTTTCTTTTGATAGAGCAGTTTTGAAACACTCTTTTTGTAGTATTTGCATGTGTATATTTAGAGCGCATTGAAGCCCACAGTAGAAAAGGAAATAACTTCACCTAAAACCTAGACAGAAGCAATCTCAGAAACTACTTTGTGATGTGTACATTCAACTCACAGAGTGGAACTTTCCTCTTTATAGAGCAGTGTTGAAACACTCTTTTTGTAGAAACTGCAAGTGGATATTTGGACCTCTTTGAGGCCTTCGTTGGAAACGGGATTTCTTCCTATAACCCTAGACAGAAGAATTTTCAGAAACCTCATTGTGATGTGTGCGTTCATCTCACAGAGTGGAGTCTTCCGTTTGATAGAGAAGTTTTGAAACCCTGTTCTTGTAGGATTTCCAAGTGGATATTTAGACCACTTTGAAGCCTATGATAGAAAAGGAAACATCTTCATGGAAAACATAGATAGAATCATTCTCAGAAACAACTTTGTGATGTGTGTGTTGAACTCACCGTCTTTAACCTTTCTTTTGGTAGAGAAGTTTTGAAACACTCTCTTTGTAAAGTCTACAAGTGGATATTTTGAGCCCTTGGAGGCATTCTTTGGAAAAGGGAATGTCTTCACATAAAAGGCAGACAGAAGTGTTCTCAGAAACTGCTTTGTGATGTCTGTGTTCAACTCACAGAGTTTAACATTTCCTTTGAGAGAGCGGTTTAGTAACACTCTCTTTGTAGAATTTGGAAGTGTATACTAAGAGCGCTTTGAGGCCTATGGTAGAAAAGGAAATATCTTTCCATAAAAGCTAGACAGAAGCAATCTCAGAAACTCCTTTGTGATGTCTGCATTCAACTCACCGAGTGGAACATTCCTCTTGATAGAGCAGTTTGGAAACACTCTTTCTGTAGAATCAGCTTGTTTGTATTTGGACCTCCTTGAGGCCTTCGTTGGAAACAGGTTTTCATCTTATAAACCCAGACAGAAGAATTCTCAGAGTCTTCTTTGTGATGTGTGCTTTCAACTCACCGAGATAAAGATTTCTCTTGATAGAGCAATTTGGAAACACTCTTTTTGTAGAATTTGCAAGGGTAAATTGAGAGCGCTTTCAGGCCTATGGTAGAAAAGGGAATATCTTTCCATAAAAGGTAGACAGAAGCAATCTCAGAAACTACTTTGTGATGTGTGCATTCAACTCACCGAGTGCAACATTCCTCTTGACCGAGCAGTTTGGAAACATTGTTTCTGTAGAATCTGCAAGTGGATATTTGGACCTCTTTGAGGCCTTCGTTGGAAACGGGATTTCTTCCTATAAACCCAGACAGAAGAATTCTCAGAGACTTCTTTGTGATGTGTGAATTCAACTCACAGTGTGGATCCTTCCTTTTGATAGAGCAGTTTTGAAACACTGTTTTTGTAGTATTTCCAAGCGGATATTTGGAACGCCTTGAAGCGTATGGTAGAAAAGGAAATATCTTCCCATAAAACCTAGACAGAACCAATCTCAGAAACGACTTTGTGATGTCTGCATTCAACTCACAGAGTTGAACATTTCTCTTGATAGAGCAGTTTTGAAACCCTCTTTCTGAAGGATCTGCAAGTGGATATTTGGAACTCCTTTGGGTCTTCGTTGGAAACGGGATTTCTTCGTATAAATCTAGACAGAAGAATTCTCCGAAACTTCTTTGGTTGTGTGCATTCAAGTCACAGAGTGGAACCTTCCTTTGGATAGAGCAGTTTGAAACGCTGTGGTTGTAGTATTTCCAAGCGGATATTAGAGCGCCTTGAAGCCTATGGTAGAAAAGGAAATATCTTCCCATAAAACCTAGACGGAAGCAATCTCAGAAACTACTGTGTGATGGCTGCATTCCACACACACGGTGGAACATTTCTCTTGATAGAGCAGTTTTGAAACACTCTTTCTGTAGAATCTGCAAGTGGATAATTGGACCGCCTTGAGGCCTTCGTTGGAAACGGGATTTCTTCATGTTACTCTAGACAGAAGAATTCTCAAACACTGCTGTGTGATGTTTGCATGCAAGTCACAGAGTGCAACATTCCTCTTGATAGAGCAGTTGGGAAACACTCCTTTTGTAGAATTTGCAATGGGATATTTGGACTTCTTTGAGGCCTTCGTTGGAAACGGGATTTCTTCGTATGAATCTAGACAGAAGAATTCTCAGAAACTTCCTTGTGATGTGTGCATTCAACTCAGCGAGTGGCACCTTCCTTTGGATACAGCAGTTTTGAAACACTGTTTTTGTAGTATTTCCAAGCGGATATTTAGAGCGCCTTGAAGCCTATGCTAGAAATGGAAATATCTCCCCATAAAACCAAGACAGAAGCAATCTCAGAAACTAATGTGTGATGGCTGCATTCCACACACACGGTGGACCATTTCTCTTGATAGAGCAGTTTTGAAACACTCTTTCTGTAGAATCTGCAAGTGGATAATTGGACCTCCTAGAGGCCTTCGTTGGAAACGGGATTTCTTCATCTAAACCTACAGAGAAGAATTCTCAGTAACTTCTTCGGATGTGTGCATTCGACTCACACAATGGAACATTCCGTTTGATAGAGCAGTTTTGAGACACCGTTTTTGTAGAATTCCCAAGTGGATATTTAGAGCACTTTGAAGTCTCTGCTAGAAAAGGAAACATCTTCATGTAAAAAGTAGATACAATCGTTCTCAGAAAGTGCTTAGTGACGTGTGTGTTCAACTCACAGAGTTTAACGTTTCTTTTGATAGAGCGTTTCTGAAACACCCTTCTTGTAGTAGCTGCAAGTGGATATTTGGACCTATTTGAGGCCTTCTTTGGAAACGGGATTTCTTCATGTAACTCTAGATTGAAGAATTTTCAGAAACTCCTTTGTGATGTGTGCATTCAATTCAAAGAGTGAAACCTCCCTTTTCACAGAGCAGTTTTGAAACACTGTTTTTGTAGGATTTCCAAGGGGATATATATAGCGCATTGAGCCTACGGCAGAAAAAGAAACATCTTCCTATAAAAACTAGACAGAATAATTCTCAGAATCTGCTTTGCCATGTGTGCGTTCAACGCACAGAGTAAAACTTTTCTTTTGATAGAGCAGTTTTGAAACACTCTTTTTGTAGTATTTGCATGTGTATATTTAGAGCGCATTGAAGCCCACAGTAGAAAAGGAAATAACTTCACCTAAAACCTAGACAGAAGCAATCTCAGAAACTACTTTGTGATGTGTACATTCAACTCACAGAGTGGAACTTTCCTCTTTATAGAGCAGTGTTGAAACACTCTTTTTGTAGAAACTGCAAGTGGATATTTGGACCTCTTTGAGGCCTTCGTTGGAAACGGGATTTCTTCCTATAACCCTAGACAGAAGAATTTTCAGAAACCTCATTGTGATGTGTGCGTTCATCTCACAGAGTGGAGTCTTCCGTTTGATAGAGAAGTTTTGAAACCCTGTTCTTGTAGGATTTCCAAGTGGATATTTAGACCACTTTGAAGCCTATGATAGAAAAGGAAACATCTTCATGGAAAACATAGATAGAATCATTCTCAGAAACAACTTTGTGATGTTTGCGTTGAACTCACAGCCTTTAACCTTTCTTTTGGTAGAGAAGTTTTGAAACACTCTCTTTGTAAAGTCTACAAGTGGATATTTTGGGCCCTTGGAGGCATTCTTTGGAAAAGGGAATGTCTTCACATAAAAGGCAGACAGAAGTGTTCTCAGAAACTGCTTTGTGATGTCTGTGTTCAACTCACAGAGTTTAACATTTCCTTTGATAGAGCAGTTTAGTAACACTCTCTTTGTAGAATTTGGAAGTGTATACTAAGAGCGCTTTGAGGCCTATGGTAGAAAAGGAAATATCTTTCCATAAAAGCTAGACAGAAGCAATCTCAGAAACTCCTTTGTGATGTCTGCATTCAACTCACCGAGTGGAACATTCCTCTTGATAGAGCAGTTTGGAAACGCTCTTTCTGTAGAATCAGCTTGTTTGTAGTTGGACCTCCTTGAGGCCTTCGTTGGAAACGGGTTTTCATCTTATAAACCCAGACAGAAGAATTCTCAGGTTCTTCTTTGTGATGTGTGCTTTCAACTCACCGAGATAAAGATTTCTCTTGATAGAGCAATTTGGAAACACTCTTTTTGTAGAATTTGCAAGGGTACATTGAGAGCGCTTTCAGGCCTATGGTAGAAAAGGGAATATCTTTCCATCAAAGGTAGACAGAAGCAATCTCAGAAACTACTTTGTGATGTGTGCATTCAACTCACCGATTGCAACATTCCTCTTGATAGAGCAGTTTGGAAACATTGTTTCTGTAGAATCTGCAAGTGGATATTTGGACCTCTTTGAGGCCTTCGTTGGAAACGGGATTTCTTCCTATAAACCCAGACAGAAGAATTCTCAGAGACTTCTTTGTGATGTGTGAATTCAACTCACAGTGTGGATCCTTCCTTTTGATAGAGCAGGTTTGAAACACTGTTTTTGTAGTATTTCCAAGCGGATATTTGGAACGCCTTGAAGCGCATGGTAGAAAAGGAAATATCTTCCCATAAAACCTAGACAGAACCAATCTCAGAAACGACTTTGTGATGTCTGCATTCACCTCACAGAGTTGAACATTTCTCTTGATAGAGCAGTTTTGAAACCCTCTTTCTGAAGGATCTGCAAGTGGATATTTGGAACTCCTTTGGGTCTTCGTTGGAAACGGGATTTCTTCGTATAAATCTAGACCGAAGAATTCTCCGAAACTTCTTTGGTTGTGTGCATTCAAGTCACAGAGTGGAACCTTCCTTTGGATAGAGCAGTTTGAAACGCTGTGGTTGTAGTATTTCCAAGCGGATATTAGAGCGCCTTGAGGCCTATGGTAGAAAAGGAAATATCTTCCCATAAAACCTAGACGGAAGCAATCTCAGAAACTACTGTGTGATGGCTGCATTCCACACACACGGTGGAACATTTCTCTTGATAGAGCAGTTTTGAAACACTCTTTCTGTAGAATCTGCAAGTGGATAATTGGACCGCCTTGAGGCCTTCGTTGGAAACGGGATTTCTTCATGTTACTCTAGACAGAAGAATTCTCAAACACTGCTGTGTGATGTTTGCATGCAAGTCACAGAGTGCAACATTCCTCTTGATAGAGCAGTTGGGAAACACTCCTTTTGTAGAATTTGCAATGGGATATTTGGACTTCTTTGAGGCCTTCGTTGGAAACGGGATTTCTTCGTATGAATCTAGACAGAAGAATTCTCAGAAACTTCCTTGTGATGTGTGCATTCAACTCAGCGAGTGGCACCTTCCTTTGGATACAGCAGTTTTGAAACACTGTTTTTGTAGTATTTCCAAGCGGATATTTAGAGCGCCTTGAAGCCTATGCTAGAAATGGAAATATCTCCCCATAAAACCAAGACAGAAGCAATCTCAGAAACTAATGTGTGATGGCTGCATTCCACACACACGGTGGACCATTTCTCTTGATAGAGCAGTTTTGAAACACTCTTTCTGTAGAATCTGCAAGTGGATAATTGGACCTCCTAGAGGCCTTCGTTGGAAACGGGATTTCTTCATCTAAACCTACACAGAAGAATTCTCAGTAACTTCTTCGGATGTGTGCATTCGACTCACAGAATGGAACATTCCCTTTGGTAGAGCAGTTTTGAGACACCGTTTTTGTAGAATTCCCAAGTGGATATTTAGAGCACTTTGAAGTCTCTGCTAGAAAAGGAAACATCTTCATGTAAAAAGTAGATAGAATCGTTCTCAGAAAGTGCTTAGTGACGTGTGCGTTCAACTCACAGAGTTTAACGTTTCTTTTGATAGAGCGTTTCTGAAACACCCTTCTTGTAGTAGCTGCAAGTGGATATTTGGACCTATTTGAGGCCTTCTTTGGAAACGGGATTTCTTCATGTAACTCTAGATTGAAGAATTTTCAGAAACTCCTTTGTGATGTGTGCATTCAATTCAAAGAGTGAAACCTCCCTTTTCACAGAGCAGTTTTGAAACACTGTTTTTGTAGGATTTCCAAGGGGATATTTATAGCGCATTGAGCCTATGGCAGAAAAAGAAACATCTTCCTATAAAAACTAGACAGAATAATTCTCAGAATCTGCTTTGCGATGTGTGCGTTCAACTCACAGAGTAAAACTTTTCTTTTGATAGAGCAGTTTTGAAACACTCTTTTTGTAGTATTTGCATGTGTATATTTAGAGCGCATTGAAGCCCACAGTAGAAAAGGAAATAACTTCACCTAAAACCTAGACAGAAGCAATCTCAGAAACTACTTTGTGATGTGTACATTCAACTCACAGAGTGGAACTTTTCTCTTTATAGAGCAGTGTTGAAACACTCTTTTTGTAGAAACTGCAAGTGGATATTTGGACCTCTTTGAGGCCTTCGTTGGAAACGGGATTTCTTCCTATAACCCTAGACAGAAGAATTTTCAGAAACCTCATTGTGATGTGTGCGTTCATCTCACAGAGTGGAGTCTTCCGTTTGATAGAGAAGTTTTGAAACCCTGTTCTTGTAGGATTTCCAAGTGGATATTTAGACCACTTTGAAGCCTATGTTAGAAAAGGAAACATCTTCATGGAAAACATAGATAGAATCATTCTCAGAAACAACTTTGTGATGTGTGCGTTGAACTCACCGTCTTTAACCTTTCTTTTGGTAGAGAAGTTTTGAAACACTCTCTTTGTAAAGTCTACAAGTGGATATTTTGAGCCCTTGGAGGCATTCTTTGGAAAAGGGAATGTCTTCACATAAAAGGCAGACAGAAGTGTTCTCAGAAACTGCTTTGTGATGTCTGTGTTCAACTCACAGAGTTTAACATTTCCTTTGAGAGAGCGGTTTAGTAACACTCTCTTTGTAGAATTTGGAAGTGTATACTAAGAGCGCTTTGAGGCCTATGGTAGAAAAGGAAATATCTTTCCATAAAAGCTAGACAGAAGCAATCTCAGAAACTCCTTTGTGATGTCTGCATTCAACTCACCGAGTGGAACATTCCTCTTGATAGAGCAGTTTGGAAACACTCTTTCTGTAGAATCAGCTTGTTTGTATTTGGACCTCCTTGAGGCCTTCGTTGGAAACGGGTTTTCATCTTATAAACACAGACAGAAGAATTCTCAGAGTCTTCTTTGTGATGTGTGCTTTCAACTCACTGAGATAAAGATTTCTCTTGATAGAGCAATTTGGAAACACTCTTTTTGTAGAATTTGCAAGGGTACATTGAGAGCGCTTTCAGGCCTATGGTAGAAAAGGGAATATCTTTCCATAAAAGGTAGACAGAAGCAATCTCAGAAACTACTTTGTGATGTGTGCATTCAACTCACCGAGTGCAACATTCCTCTTGATAGAGCAGTTTGGAAACATTGTTTCTGTAGAATCTGCAAGTGGATATATGGACCGCTTTGAGGCCTTCGTTGGAAACGGGATTTCTTCCTATAAACCCAGACAGAAGAATTCTCAGAGATTTCTTTGTGATGTGTGAATTCAACTCACAGTGTGGATCCTTCCTTTTGATAGAGCAGTTTTGAAACACCGTTTTTGTAGTATTTCCAAGCGGATATTTGGAACGCCTTGAAGCGTATGGTAGAAAAGGAAATATCTTCCCATAAAACCTAGACAGAACCAATCTCAGAAACGACTTTGTGATGTCTGCATTCAACTCACAGTAGTTGAACATTTCTCTTGATAGAGCAGTTTTGAAACCCTCTTTCTGAAGGATCTGCAAGTGGATATTTGGAACTCCTTTGGGTCTTCGTTGGAAACGGGATTTCTTCGTATAAATCTAGACAGAAGAATTCTCCGAAACTTCTTTGGTTGTGTGCATTCAAGTCACAGAGTGGAACCTTCCTTTGGATAGAGCAGTTTGAAACGCTGTGGTTGTAGTATTTCCAAGCGGATATTAGAGCGCCTTGAAGCCTATGGTAGAAAAGGAAATATCTTCCCATAAAACCTAGACGGAAGCAATCTCAGAAACTACTGTGTGATGGCTGCATTCCACACACACGGTGGAACATTTCTCTTGATAGAGCAGTTTTGAAACACTCTTTCTGTAGAATCTGCAAGTGGATAATTGGACCGCCTTGAGGCCTTCGTTGGAAACGGGATTTCTTCATGTTACTCTAGACAGAAGAATTCTCAAACACTGCTATGTGATGTTTGCATTCAAGTCACAGAGTGCAACATTCCTCTTGATAGAGCAGTTGGGAAACACTCCTTTTGTAGAATTTGCAATGGGATATTTGGACTTCTTTGAGGCCTTCGTTGGAAACGGGATTTCTTCGTATGAATCTAGACAGAAGAATTCTCAGAAACTTCCTTGTGATGTGTGCATTCAACTCAGCGAGTGGCACCTTCCTTTGGATACAGCAGTTTTGAAACACTGTTTTTGTAGTATTTCCAAGCGGATATTTAGAGCGCCTTGAAGCCTATGCTAGAAATGGAAATATCTCCCCATAAAACCAAGACAGAAGCAATCTCAGAAACTAATGTGTGATGGCTGCATTCCACACACACGGTGGACCATTTCTCTTGATAGAGCAGTTTTGAAACACTCTTTCTGTAGAATCTGCAAGTGGATAATTGGACCTCCTAGAGGCCTTCGTTGGAAATGGGATTTCTTCATCTAAACCTACAGAGAAGAATTCTCAGTAACTTCTTCGGATGTGTGCATTCGACTCACAGAATGGAACATTCCGTTTGATAGAGCAGTTTTGAGACACCGTTTTTGTAGAATTCCCAAGTGGATATTTAGAGCACTTTGAAGTCTCTGCTAGAAAAGGAAACATCTTCATGTAAAAAGTAGATAGAATCGTTCTCAGAAAGTGCTTAGTGACGTGTGCGTTCAACTCACAGAGTTTAACGTTTCTTTTGATAGAGCGTTTCTGAAACACCCTGCTTGTAGTAGCTGCAAGTGGATATTTGGACCTATTTGAGGCCTTCTTTGGAAACGGGATTTCTTCATGTAACTCTAGATTGAAGAATTTTCAGAAACTCCTTTGTGATGTTTGCATTCAATTCAAAGAGTGAAACTTCCCTTTCCACAGAGCAGTTTTGAAACACTGTTTTTGTAGGATTTCCAAGGGGATATTTATAGCGCATTGATCCTATGGCAGAAAAAGAAACATCTTCCTATAAAAACTAGACAGAATAATTCTCAGAATCTGCTTTGCGATGTGTGCGTTCAACCCACAGAGTAAAACTTTTCTTTTGATAGAGCAGTTTTGAAACACTCTTTTTGTAGTATTTGCATGTGTATATTTAGAGCGCATTGAAGCCCAAAGTAGAAAAGGAAATAACTTCACCTAAAACCTAGACAGAAGCAATCTCAGAAACTACTTTGTGATGTGTACATTCAACTCACAGAGCGGAACTTTCCTCTTTATAGAGCAGTGTTGAAACACTCTTTTTGTAGAAACTGCAAGTGGATATTTGGACCTCTTTGAGGCCTTCGTTGGAAACGGGATTTCTTCCTATAACCCTAGACAGAAGAATTTTCAGAAACCTCATTGTGATGTGTGCGTTCATCTCACAGAGTGGAGTGTTCCGTTTGATAGAGAAGTTTTGAAACCCTGTTCTTGTAGGATTTCCAAGTGGATATTTAGACCACTTTGAAGCCTATGATAGAAAAGGAAACATCTTCATGGAAAACATAGATAGAATCATTCTCAGAAACAACTTTGTGATGTGTGCGTTGAACTCACCGTCTTTAACCTTTCTTTTGGTAGAGAAGTTTTGAAACACTCTCTTTGTAAAGTCTACGAGTGGATATTTTGAGCCCTTGGAGGCATTCTTTGGAAAAGGGAATGTCTTCACATAAAAGGCAGACAGAAGTGTTCTCAGAAACTGCTTTGTGATGTCTGTGTTCAACTCACAGAGTTTAACATTTCCTTTGAGAGAGCGGTTTAGTAACACTCTCTTTGTAGAATTTGGAAGTGTATACTAAGAGCGCTTTGAGGCCTATGGTAGAAAAGGAAATATCTTTCCATAAAAGCTAGACAGAAGCAATCTCAGAAACTCCTTTGTGATGTCTGCATTCAACTCACCGAGTGGAACATTCCTCTTGATAGAGCAGTTTGGAAACACTCTTTCTGTAGAATCAGCTTGTTTGTATTTGGACCTCCTTGAGGCCTTCGTTGGAAACGGGTTTTCATCTTATAAACCCAGACAGAAGAATTCTCAGAGTCTTCTTTGTGATGTGTGCTTTCAACTCACCGAGATAAAGATTTCTCTTGATAGAGCAATTTGGAAACACTCTTTTTGTAGAATTTGCAAGGGTACATTGAGAGCGCTTTCAGGCCTATGGTAGAAAAGGGAATATCTTTCCATAAAAGGTAGACAGAAGCAATCTCAGAAACTACTTTGTGATGTGTGCATTCAACTCACCGAGTGCAACATTCCTCTTGACCGAGCAGTTTGGAAACATTGTTTCTGTAGAATCTGCAAGTGGATATATGGACCACTTTGAGGCCTTCGTTGGAAACGGGATTTCTTCCTATAAACCCAGACAGAAGAATTCTCAGAGATTTCTTTGTGATGTGTGAATTCAACTCACAGTGTGGATCCTTCCTTTTGATAGAGCAGTTTTGAAACACTGTTTTTGTAGTATTTCCAAGCGGATATTTGGAACGCCTTGAAGCGTATGGTAGAAAAGGAAATATCTTCCCATAAAACCTAGACAGAACCAATCTCAGAAACGACTTTGTGATGTCTGCATTCAACTCACAGAGTTGAACATTTCTCTTGATAGAGCAGTTTTGAAACCCTCTTTCTGAAGGATCTGCAAGTGGATATTTGGAACTCCTTTGGGTCTTCGTTGGAAACGGGATTTCTTCGTATAAATCTAGACAGAAGAATTCTCCGAAACTTCTTTGGTTGTGTGCATTCAAGTCACAGAGTGGAACCTTCCTTTGGATAGAGCAGTTTGAAACGCTGTGGTTGTAGTATTTCCAAGCGGATATTAGAGCGCCTTGAGGCCTATGGTAGAAAAGGAAATATCTTCCCATAAAACCTAGACGGAAGCAATCTCAGAAACTACTGTGTGATGGCTGCATTCCACACACACGGTGGAACATTTCTCTTGATAGAGCAGTTTTGAAACACTCTTTCTGTAGAATCTGCAAGTGGATAATTGGACCGCCTTGAGGCCTTCTTTGGAAACGGGATTTCTTCATGTTACTCTAGATAGAAGAATTCTCAAACACTACTATGTGATGTTTGCATTCAAGTCACAGAGTGCCACATTCCTCTTGATAGAGCAGTTGGGAAACACTCATTTTGCATAATTTGCAATGGGATATTTGGACTTCTTTGAGGCCTTCGTTGGAAACGGGATTTCTTCGTATGAATCTAGACAGAAGAATTCTCAGAAACTTCCTTGTGATGTGTGCATTCAACTCAGCGAGTGGCACCTTCCTGTGGATACAGCAGTTTTGAAACACTGTTTTTGTAGTATTTCCAAGCGGATATTTAGAGCACCTTGAAGCCTATGCTAGAAATGGAAATATCTCCCCATAAAACCAAGACAGAAGCCATTTTTGAAACTAATGTGTGATGGCTGCATTCCACACACACGGTGGACCATTTCTCTTGATAGAGCAGTTTTGAAACACTCTTTCTGTAGAATCTGCAAGTGGATAATTGGACCTCCTAGAGGCCTTCGTTGGAAATGGGATTTCTTCATCTAAACCTACAGAGAAGAATTCTCAGTAACTTCTTCGGATGTGTGCATTCGACTCACAGAATGGAATATTCCCTTTGATAGAGCAGTTTTGAGACACCGTTTTTGTAGAATTCCCAAGTGGATATTTAGAGCACTTTGAAGTCTCTGTTAGAAAAGGAAACATCTTCATGTAAAAAGTAGATAGAATCGTTCTCAGAAAGTGCTTAGTGACGTGTGCGTTCAACTCACAGAGTTTAACGTTTCTTTTGATAGAGCGTTCCTGAAACACCCTTCTTGTAGTAGCTGCAAGTGGATATTTGGACCTATTTGAGGCCTTCTTTGGAAACGGGATTTCTTCATGTAACTCTAGATTGAAGAATTTTCAGAAACTCCTTTGTGATGTGTGCATTCAATTCAAAGAGTGAAACGTCCCTTTTCACAGAGCAGTTTTGAAACACTGTTTTTGTAGGATTTCCAAGGGGATATTTATAGCGCATTGATCCTATGGCAGAAAAAGAAACATCTTCCTATAAAAACTAGACAGAATAATTCTCAGAATCTGCTTTGCGATGTGTGCGTTCAACCCACAGAGTAAAACTTTTCTTTTGATAGAGCAGTTTTGAAACACTCTTTTTGTAGTATTTGCATGTGTATATTTAGAGCGCATTGAAGCCCACAGTAGAAAAGGGAATAACTTCACCTAAAACCTAGACAGAAGCAATCTCAGAAACTACTTTGTGATGTGTACATTCAACTCACAGAGTGGAACTTTCCTCTTTATAGAGCAGTGTTGAAACACTCTTTTTGTAGAAACTGCAAGTGGATATTTGGACCTCTTTGAGGCCTTCGTTGGAAACGGGATTTCTTCCTATAACCCTAGACAGAAGAATTTTCAGAAACCTCATTGTGATGTGTGCGTTCATCTCACAGAGTGGAGTCTTCCGTTTGATAGAGAAGTTTTGAAACCCTGTTCTTGTAGGATTTCCAAGTGGATATTTAGACCACTTTGAAGCCTATGATAGAAAAGGAAACATCTTCATGGAAAACATAGATAGAATCATTCTCAGAAACAACTTTGTGATGTGTGCGTTGAACTCACCGTCTTTAACCTTTCTTTTGGTAGAGAAGTTTTGAAACACTCTCTTTGTAAAGTCTACAAGTGGATATTTTGAGCCCTTGGAGGCATTCTTTGGAAAAGGGAATGTCTTCACATAAAAGGCAGACAGAAGTGTTCTCAGAAACTGCTTTGTGATGTCTGTGTTCAACTCACAGAGTTTAACATTTCCTTTGAGAGAGCGGTTTAGTGACACTCTCTTTGTAGAATTTGGAAGTGTATACTAAGAGCGCTTTGAGGCCTATGGTAGAAAAGGAAATATCTTTCCATAAAAGCTAGACACAAGCAATCTCAGAAACTCCTTTGTGATGTCTGCATTCAACTCACCGAGTGGAACATTCCTCTTGATAGAGCAGTTTGGAAACACTCTTTCTGTAGAATCAGCTTGTTTGTATTTGGACCTCCTTGAGGCCTTCGTTGGAAACGGGTTTTCATCTTATAAACCCAGACAGAAGAATTCTCAGAGTCTTCTTTGTGATGTGTGCTTTCAACTCACCGAGATAAAGATTTCTCTTGATTGAGCAATTTGGAAACACTCTTTTTGTAGAATTTGCAAGGGTACATTGAGAGCGCTTTCAGGCCTATGGTAGAAAAGGGAATATCTTTCCATAAAAGGTAGACAGAAGCAATCTCAGAAACTACTTTGTGATGTGTGCATTCAACTCACCGAGTGCAACATTCCTCTTGATAGAGCAGTTTGGAAACATTGTTTCTGTAGAATCTGCAAGTGGATATATGGACCGCTTTGAGGCCTTCGTTGGAAACGGGATTTCTTCCTATAAACCCAGACAGAAGAATTCTCAGAGATTTCTTTGTGATGTGTGAATTCAACTCACAGTGTGGATCCTTCCTTTTGATAGAGCAGTTTTGAAACACTGTTTTTGTAGTATTTCCAAGCGGATATTTGGAACGCCTTGAAGCGTATGGTAGAAAAGGAAATATCTTCCCATAAAACCTAGACAGAACCCATCTCAGAAACGACTTTGTGATGTCTGCATTCAACTCACAGAGTTGAACATTTCTCTTGATAGAGCAGTTTTGAAACCCTCTTTCTGAAGGATCTGCAAGTGGATATTTGGAACTCCTTTGGGTCTTCGTTGGAAACGGGATTTCTTCGTATAAATCCAGACAGAAGAATTCTCCGAAACTTCTTTGGTTGTGTGCATTCAAGTCACAGAGTGGAACCTTCCTTTGGATAGAGCAGTTTGAAACGCTGTGGTTGTAGTATTTCCAAGCGGATATTAGAGCGCCTTGAGGCCTATGGTAGAAAAGGAAATATCTTCCCATAAAACCTAGACGGAAGCAATCTCAGAAACTACTGTGTGATGGCTGCATTCCACACACACGGTGGAACATTTCTCTTGATAGAGCAGTTTTGAAACACTCTTTCTGTAGAATCTGCAAGTGGATAATTGGACCGCCTTGAGGCCTTCGTTGGAAACGGGATTTCTTCATGTTACTCTAGACAGAATAATTCTCAAACACTGCTATATGATGTTTGCATGCAAGTCACAGAGTGCAACATTCCTCTTGATAGAGCAGTTGGGAAACACTCCTTTTGTAGAATTTGCAATGGGATATTTGGACTTCTTTGAGGCCTTCGTTGGAAACGGGATTTCTTCGTATGAATCTAGACAGAAGAATTCTCAGAAACTTCCTTGTGATGTGTGCATTCAACTCAGCGAGTGGCACCTTCCTTTGGATACAGCAGTTTTGAAACACTGTTTTTGTAGTATTTCCAAGCGGATATTTAGAGCGCCTTGAAGCCTATGCTAGAAATGGAAATATCTCCCCATAAAACCAAGACAGAAGCAATATCAGAAACTAATGTGTGATGGCTGCATTCCACACACACGGTGGACCATTTCTCTTGATAGAGCAGTTTTGAAACACTCTTTCTGTAGAATCTGCAAGTGGATAATTGGACCTCCTAGAGGCCTTCGTTGGAAATGGGATTTCTTCATCTAAACCTACAGAGAAGAATTCTCAGTAACTTCTTCGGATGTGTGCATTCGACTCACAGAATGGAACATTCCGTTTGATAGAGCAGTTTTGAGACACCGTTTTTGTAGAATTCCCAAGTGGATATTTAGAGCACTTTGAAGTCTCTGCTAGAAAAGGAAACACCTTCATGTAAAAAGTAGATAGAATCGTTCTCAGAAAGTGCTTAGTGACGTGTGCGTTCAACTCACAGAGTTTAACGTTTCTTTTGATAGAGCGTTTCTGAAACACCCTTCTTGTAGTAGCTGCAAGTGGATATTTGGACCTATTTGAGGCCTTCTTTGGAAACGGGATTTCTTCATGTAACTCTCGTTTGAAGAATTTTCAGAAACTCCTTTGTGATGTGTGCATTCAATTCAAAGAGTGAAACCTCCCTTTTCACAGAGCAGTTTTGAAACACTGTTTTTGTAGGACTTCCAAGGGGATATTTATAGCGCATTGAGCCTATGGCAGAAAAAGAAACATCTTCCTATAAAAACTAGACAGAATAATTCTCAGAATCTGCTTTGCGATGTGTGCGTTCAACCCACAGAGTAAAACTTTTCTTTTGATAGAGCAGTTTTGAAACACTCTTTTTGTAGTATTTGCATGTGTATATTTAGAGCGCATTGAAGCCCACAGTAGAAAAGGAAATAACTTCACCTAAAACCTAGACAGAAGCAATCTCAGAAACTACTTTGTGAAGTGTACATTCAACTCACAGAGTGGAACTTTCCTCTTTATAGAGCAGTGTTGAAACACTCTTTTTGTAGAAACTGCAAGTGGATATTTGGACCTCTTTGAGGCCTTCGTTGGAAACGGGATTTCTTCCTATAACCCTAGACAGAAGAATTTTCAGAAACCTCATTGTGATGTGTGCTGTTCATCTCACAGAGTGGAGTCTTCCGTTTGATAGAGAAGTTTTGAAACCCTGTTCTTGTAGGATTTCCAAGTGGATATTTAGACCACTTTGAAGCCTATGATAGAAAAGGAAACATCTTCATGGAAAACATAGATAGAATCATTCTCAGAAACAACTTTGTGATGTGTGCGTTGAACTCACCGTCTTTAACCTTTCTTTTGGTAGAGAAGTTTTGAAACACTCTCTTTGTAAAGTCTACAAGTGGATATTTTGAGCCCTTGGAGGCATTCTTTGGAAAAGGGAATGTCTTCACATAAAAGGCAGACAGAAGTGTTCTCAGAAACTGCTTTGTGATGTCTGTGTTCAACTCACAGAGTTTAACATTTCCTTTGAGAGAGCGGTTTAGTAACACTCTCTTTGTAGAATTTGGAAGTGTATACTAAGAGCGCTTTGAGGCCTATGGTAGAAAAGGAAATATCTTTCCATAAAAGCTAGACAGAAGCAATCTCAGAAACTCCTTTGTGATGTCTGCATTCAACTCACCGAGTGGAACATTCCTCTTGATAGAGCAGTTTGGAAACACTCTTTCTGTAGAATCAGCTTGTTTGTATTTGGACCTCCTTGAGGCCTTCGTTGGAAACGGGTTTTCATCTTATAAACCCAGACAGAAGAATTCTCAGAGTCTTCTTTGTGATGTGTGCTTTCAACTCACCGAGATAAAGATTTCTCTTGATAGAGCAATTTGGAAACACTCTTTTTGTAGAATTTGCAAGGGTACATTGAGAGCGCTTTCAGGCCTATGGTAGAAATGGGAATATCTTTCCATAAAAGGTAGACAGAAGCAATCTCAGAAACTACTTTGTGATGTGTGCATTCAACTCACCGAGTGCAACATTCCTCTTGACCGAGCAGTTTGGAAACATTGTTTCTGTAGAATCTGCAAGTGGATATTTGGACCTCTTTGAGGCCTTCGTTGGAAACGGGATTTCTTCCTATAAACCCAGACAGAAGAATTCTCAGAGACTTCTTTGTGATGTGTGAATTCAACTCACAGTGTGGATCCTTCCTTTTGATAGAGCAGTTTTGAAACACTGTTTTTGTAGTATTTCCAAGCGGATATTTGGAACGCCTTGAAGCGTATGGTAGAAAAGGAAATATCTTCCCATAAAACCTAGACAGAACCAATCTCAGAAACGACTTTGTGATGTCTGCATTCAACTCACAGAGTTGAACATTTCTCTTGATAGAGCAGTTTTGAAACCCTCTTTCTGAAGGATCTGCAAGTGGATATTTGGAACTCCTTTGGGTCTTCGTTGGAAACGGGATTTCTTCGTATAAATCTAGACAGAAGAATTCTCCGAAACATCTTTGGTTGTGTGCATTCAACTCACAGAGTGGAACCTTCCTTTGGATAGAGCAGTTTGAAACGCTGTGGTTGTAGTATTTCCAAGCGGATATTAGAGCGCCTTGAGGCCTATGGTAGAAAAGGAAATATCTTCCCATAAAACCTAGACGGAAGCAATCTCAGAAACTACTGTGTGATGGCTGCATTCCACACACACGGTGGAACATTTCTCTTGATAGAGCAGTTTTGAAACACTCTTTCTGTAGAATCTGCAAGTGGATAATTGGACCGCCTTGAGGCCTTCGTTGGAAACGGGATTTCTTCATGTTACTCTAGACAGAAGAATTCTCAAACACTGCTATGTGATGTTTGCATGCAAGTCACAGAGTGCAACATTCCTCTTGATAGAGCAGTTGGGAAACACTCCTTTTGTAGAATTTGCAATGGGATATTTGGACTTCTTTGAGGCCTTCGTTGGAAACGGGATTTCTTCGTATGAATCTAGACAGAAGAATTCTCAGAAACTTTCCTTGTGATGTGTGCATTCAACTCAGCGAGTGGCACCTTCCTTTGGATACAGCAGTTTTGAAACACTGTTTTTGTAGTATTTCCAAGCGGATATTTAGAGCGCCTTGAAGCCTATGCTAGAAATGGAAATATCTCCCCATAAAACCAAGACAGAAGCAATCTCAGAAACTAATGTGTGATGGCTGCATTCCACACACACGGTGGACCATTTCTCTTGATAGAGCAGTTTTGAAACACTTTTTCTGTAGAATCTGCAAGTGGATAATTGGACCTCCTAGAGGCCTTCGTTGGAAACGGGATTTCTTCATCTAAACCTACAGAGAAGAATTCTCAGTAACTTCTTCGGATGTGTGCATTCGACTCACAGAATGGAACATTCCCTTTGATAGAGCAGTTTTGAGACACCGTTTTTGTAGAATTCCCAAGTGGATATTTAGAGCACTTTGAAGTCTCTGCTAGAAAAGGAAACATCTTCATGTAAAAAGTAGATAGAATCGTTCTCAGAAAGTGCTTAGTGACGTGTGCGTTCAACTCACAGAGTTTAACGTTTCTTTTGATAGAGCGTTTCTGAAACACCCTTCTTGTAGTAGCTGCAAGTGGATATTTGGACCTATTTGAGGCCTTCTTTGGAAACGGGATTTCTTCATGTAACTCTAGATTGAAGAATTTTCAGAAACTCCTTTGTGATGTGTGCATTCAATTCAAAGAGTGAAACCTCCCTTTTCACAGAGCAGTTTTGAAACACTGTTTTTGTAGGATTTCCAAGGGGATATTTATAGCGCATTGAGCCTATGGCAGAAAAAGAAACATCTTCCTATAAAAACTAGACAGAATAATTCTCAGAATCTGCTTTGCGATGTGTGCGTTCATCTCACAGAGTAAAACTTTTCTTTTGATAGAGCAGTTTTGAAACACTCTTTTTGTAGTATTTGCATGTGTATATTTAGAGCGCATTGAAGCACACAGTAGAAAAGGAAATAACTTCACCTAAAACCTAGACAGAAGCAATCTCAGAAACTACTTTGTGATGTGTACATTCAACTCACAGAGTGGAACTTTCCTCTTTATAGAGCAGTGTTGAAACACTCTTTTTGTAGAAACTGCAAGTGGATATTTGGACCTCTTTGAGGCCTTCGTTGGAAACGGGATTTCTTCCTATAACCCTAGACAGAAGAATTTTCAGAAACCTCATTGTGATGTGTGCGTTCATCTCACAGAGTGGAGTCTTCCGTTTGATAGAGAAGTTTTGAAACCCTGTTCTTGTAGGATTTCCAAGTGGATATTTAGACCACTTTGAAGCCTATGATAGAAAAGGAAACATCTTCATGGAAAACATAGATAGAGTCATTCTCAGAAACAACTTTGTGATGTGTGCGTTGAACTCACAGTCTTTAACCTTTCTTTTAGTAGAGAAGTTTTGAAACACTCTCTTTGTAAAGTCTACAAGTGGATATTTTGAGCCCTTGGAGGCATTCTTTGGAAAAGGGAATGTCTTCACGTAAAAGGCAGACAGAAGTGTTCTCAGAAATTGCTTTGTGATGTCTGTGTTCAACTCACAGAGTTTAACATTTCCTGTGATGGAGCGGTTTAGTAACCCTCTCTTTGTAGAATTTGGAAGTGTATACTAAGAGCGCTTTGAGGCCTATGGTAGAAAAGGAAATATCTTTCCATAAAAGCTAGACACAAGCAATCTCAGAAACTCCTTTGTGATGTCTGCATTCAACTCACCGAGTGGAACATTCCTCTTGATAGAGCAGTTTGGAAACACTCTTTCTGTAGAATCAGCTTGTTTGTATTTGGACCTCCTTGAGGCCTTCGTTGGAAACGGGTTTTCATCTTATAAACCCAGACAGAAGAATTCTCAGAGTCTTCTTTGTGATGTGTGCTTTCAACTCACCGAGATAAAGATTTCTCTTGATAGAGCAATTTGGAAACACTCTTTTTGTAGAATTTGCAAGGGTACATTGAGAGCGCTTTCAGGCCTATGGTAGAAAAGGGAATATCTTTCCATAAAAGGTAGACAGAAGCAATCTCAGAAACTACTTTGTGATGTGTGCATTCAACTCACCGAGTGCAACATTCCTCTTGACCGAGCAGTTTGGAAACATTGTTTCTGTAGAATCTGCAAGTGGATATTTGGACCTCTTTGAGGCCTTCGTTGGAAACGGGATTTCTTCCTATAAACCCAGACAGAAGAATTCTCAGAGACTTCTTTGTGATGTGTGAATTCAACTCACAGTGTGGATCCTTCCTTTTGATAGAGCAGTTTTGAAACACTGTTTTTGTAGTATTTCCAAGCGGATATTTGGAACGCCTTGAAGCGTATGGTAGAAAAGGAAATATCTTCCCATAAAACCTAGACAGAACCAATCTCAGAAACGACTTTGTGATGTCTGCATTCAACTCACAGAGTTGAACATTTCTCTTGATAGAGCAGTTTTGAAACCCTCTTTCTGAAGGATCTGCAAGTGGATATTTGGAACTCCTTTGGGTCTTCGTTGGAAACGGGATTTCTTCGTATAAATCTAGACAGAAGAATTCTCCGAAACTTCTTTGGTTGTGTGCATTCAAGTCACAGAGTGGAACCTTCCTTTGGATAGAGCAGTTTGAAACGCTGTGGTTGTAGTATTTCCAAGCGGATATTAGAGCGCCTTGAGGCCTATGGTAGAAAAGGAAATATCTTCCCATAAAACCTAGACGGAAGCAATCTCAGAAACTACTGTGTGATGGCTGCATTCCACACACACGGTGGAACATTTCTCTTGATAGAGCAGTTTTGAAACACTCTTTCTGTAGAATCTGCAAGTGGATAATTGGACCGCCTTGAGGCCTTCGTTGGAAACGGGATTTCTTCATGTTACTCTAGACAGAAGAATTCTCAAACACTGCTATGTGATGTTTGCATGCAAGTCACAGAGTGCAACATTCCTCTTGATAGAGCAGTTGGGAAACACTCCTTTTGTAGAATTTGCAATGGGATATTTGGACTTCTTTGAGGCCTTCGTTGGAAACGGGATTTCTTCGTATGAATCTAGACAGAAGAATTCTCAGAAACTTCCTTGTGATGTGTGCATTCAACTCAGCGAGTGGCACCTTCCTTTGGATACAGCAGTTTTGAAACACTGTTTTTGTAGTATTTCCAAGCGGATATTTAGAGCGCCTTGAAGCCTATGCTAGAAATGGAAATATCTCCCCATAAAACCAAGACAGAAGCAATCTCAGAAACTAATGTGTGATGGCTGCATTCCACACACACGGTGGACCATTTCTCTTGATAGAGCAGTTTTGAAACACTCTTTCTGTAGAATCTGCAAGTGGATAATTGGACCTCCTAGATGCCTTCGTTGGAAACGGGATTTCTTCATCTAAACCTACAGAGAAGAATTCTCAGTAACTTCTTCGGATGTGTGCATTCGACTCACAGAATGGAACATTCCCTTTGATAGAGCAGTTTTGAGACACCGTTTTTGTAGAATTCCCAAGTGGATATTTAGAGCACTTTGAAGTCTCTGCTAGAAAAGGAAACATCTTCATGTAAAAAGTAGATAGAATCGTTCTCAGAAAGTGCTTAGTGACGTGTGCGTTCAACTCACAGAGTTTAACGTTTCTTTTGATAGAGCGTTTCTGAAACACCCTTCTTCTAGTAGCTGCAAGTGGATATTTGGACCTATTTGAGGCCTTCTTTGGAAACGGGATTTCTTCATGTAACTCTCGTTTGAAGAATTTTCAGAAACTCCTTTGTGATGTGTGCATTCAATTCAAAGAGTGAAACCTCCCTTTTCACAGAGCAGTTTTGAAACACTGTTTTTGTAGGATTTCCAAGGGGATATTTATAGCGCATTGATCCTATGGCAGAAAAAGAAACATCTTCCTATAAAAACTAGACAGAATAATTCTCAGAATCTGCTTTGCGATGTGTGCGTTCAACTCACAGAGTAAAACTTTTCTTTTGATAGAGCAGTTTTGAAACACTTTTTGTAGTATTTGCATGTGTATATTTAGAGCGCATTGAAGCCCACAGTAGAAAAGGAAATAACTTCACCTAAAACCTAGACAGAAGCAATCTCAGAAACTACTTTGTGATGTGTACATTCAACTCACAGAGTGGAACTTTCCTCTTTATAGAGCAGTGTTGAAACACTCTTTTTGTAGAAACTGCAAGTGGATATTTGGACCTCTTTGAGGCCTTCGTTGGAAACGGGATTTCTTCCTATAACCCTAGACAGAAGAATTTTCAGAAACCTCATTGTGATGTGTGCGTTCATCTCACAGAGTGGAGTCTTCCGTTTGATAGAGAAGTTTTGAAACCCTGTTCTTGTAGGATTTCCAAGTGGATATTTAGACCACTTTGAAGCCTATGATAGAAAAGGAAACATCTTCATGGAAAACATAGATAGAATCATTCTCAGAAACAACTTTGTGATGTGTGCGTTGAACTCACCGTCTTTAACCTTTCTTTTGGTAGAGAAGTTTTGAAACACTCTCTTTGTAAAGTCTACAAGTGGATATTTTGAGCCCTTGGAGGCATTCTTTGGAAAAGGGAATGTCTTCACATAAAAGGCAGACAGAAGTGTTCTCAGAAACTGCTTTGTGATGTCTGTGTTCAACTCACAGAGTTTAACATTTCCTTTGAGAGAGCGGTTTAGTAACACTCTCTTTGTAGAATTTGGAAGTGTATACTAAGAGCGCTTTGAGGCCTATGGTAGAAAAGGAAATATCTTTCCATAAAAGCTAGACAGAAGCAATCTCAGAAACTCCTTTGTGATGTCTGCATTCAACTCACCGAGTGGAACATTCCTCTTGATAGAGCAGTTTGGAAACACTCTTTCTGTAGAATCAGCTTGTTTGTATTTGGACCTCCTTGAGGCCTTCGTTGGAAACGGGTTTTCATCTTATAAACCCAGACAGAAGAATTCTCAGAGTCTTCTTTGTGATGTGTGCTTTCAACTCACCGAGATAAAGATTTCTCTTGATAGAGCAATTTGGAAACACTCTTTTTGTAGAATTTGCAAGGGTACATTGAGAGCGCTTTCAGGCCTATGGTAGAAAAGGGAATATCTTTCCATAAAAGGTAGACAGAAGCAATCTCAGAAACTACTTTGTGATGTGTGCATTCAACTCACCGAGTGCAACATTCCTCTTGATAGAGCAGTTTGGAAACATTGTTTCTGTAGAATCTGCAAGTGGATATATGGACCGCTTTGAGGCCTTCGTTGGAAACGGGATTTCTTCCTATAAACCCAGACAGAAGAATTCTCAGAGATTTCTTTGTGATGTGTGAATTCAACTCACAGTGTGGATCCTTCCTTTTGATAGAGCAGTTTTGAAACACCGTTTTTGTAGTATTTCCAAGCGGATATTTGGAACGCCTTGAAGCGTAAGGTAGAAAAGGAAATATCTTCCCATAAAACCTAGACAGAACCCATCTCAGAAACGACTTTGTGATGTCTGCATTCAACTCACAGAGTTGAACATTTCTCTTGATAGAGCAGTTTTGAAACCCTCTTTCTGAAGGATCTGCAAGTGGATATTTGGAACTCCTTTGGGTCTTCGTTGGAAACGGGATTTCTTCGTATAAATCCAGACAGAAGAATTCTCCGAAACTTCTTTGGTTGTGTGCATTCAAGTCACAGAGTGGAACCTTCCTTTGGATAGAGCAGTTTGAAACGCTGTGGTTGTAGTATTTCCAAGCGGATATTAGAGCGCCTTGAAGCCTATGGTAGAAAAGGAAATATCTTCCCATAAAACCTAGACGGAAGCAATCTCAGAAACTACTGTGTGATGGCTGCATTCCACACACACGGTGAAACATTTCTCTTGATAGAGCAGTTTTGAAACACTCTTTCTGTAGAATCTGCAAGTGGATAATTGGACCGCCTTGAGGCCTTCGTTGGAAACGGGATTTCTTCATGTTACTCTAGACAGAAGAATTCTCAAACACTGCTATGTGATGTTTGCATTCACGTCACAGAGTGCAACATTCCTCTTGATAGAGCAGTTGGGAAACACTCCTTTTGTAGAATTTGCAATGGGATATTTGGACTTCTTTGAGGCCTTCGTTGGAAACGGGATTTCTTCGTATGAATCTAGACAGAAGAATTCTCAGAAACTTCCTTGTGATGTGTGCATTCAACTCAGCGAGTGGCACCTTCCTTTGGATACAGCAGTTTTGAAACCCTGTTTTTGTACTATTTCCAAGCGGATATTTAGAGCGCCTTGAAGCCTATGCTAGAAATGGAAATATCTCCCCATAAAACCAAGACAGAAGCAATCTCAGAAACTAATGTGTGATGGCTGCATTCCACACACACGGTGGACCATTTCTCTTGATAGAGCAGTTTTGAAACACTCTTTCTGTAGAATCTGCAAGTGGATAATTGGACCTCCTAGAGGCCTTCGTTGGAAACGGGATTTCTTCATCTAAACCTACAGAGAAGAATTCTCAGTAACTTCTTCGGATGTGTGCATTCGACTCACAGAATGGAACATTCCCTTTGATAGAGCAGTTTTGAGACACCGTTTTTGTAGAATTCCCAAGTGGATATTTAGAGCACTTTGAAGTCTCTGCTAGAAAAGGAAACATCTTCATGTAAAAAGTAGATAGAATCGTTCTCAGAAAGTGATTAGTGACGTGTGCGTTCAACTCACAGAGTTTAACGTTTCTTTTGATAGAGCGTTTCTGAAACACCCTTCTTGTAGTAGCTGCAAGTAGATATTTGGACCTATTTGAGGCCTTCTTTGGAAACGGGATTTCTTCATGTAACTCTAGATTGAAGAATTTTCAGAAACTCCTTTGTGATGTGTGCATTCAATTCAAAGAGTGAAACCTCCCTTTTCACAGAGCAGTTTTGAAACACTGTTTTTGTAGGATTTCCAAGGGGATATTTATAGCGCATTGATCCTATGGCAGAAAAACAAACATCTTCCTATAAAAACTAGACATAATAATTCTCAGAATCTGCTTTGCGATGTGTGCGTTCAACCCACAGAGTAAAACTTTTCTTTTGATAGAGCAGTTTTGAAACACTCTTTTTGTAGTATTTGCATGTGTATATTTAGAGCGCATTGAAGCCCACAGTAGAAAAGGAAATAACTTCACCTAAAACCTAGACAGAAGCAATCTCAGAAACTACTTTGTGATGTGTACATTCAACTCACAGAGTGGAACTTTCCTCTTTATAGAGCAGTGTTGAAACACTCTTTTTGTAGAAACTGCAAGTGGATATTTGGACCTCTTTGAGGCCTTCGTTGGAAACGGGATTTCTTCCTATAACCCTAGACAGAAGAATTTTCAGAAACCTCATTGTGATGTGTGCGTTCATCTCACAGAGTGGAGTCTTCCGTTTGATAGAGAAGTTTTGAAACCCTGTTCTTGTAGGATTTCCAAGTGGATATTTAGACCACTTTGAAGCCTATGATAGAAAAGGAAACATCTTCATGGAAAACATAGATAGAATCATTCTCAGAAACAACTTTGTGATGTGTGCGTTGAACTCACCGTCTTTAACCTTTCTTTTGGTAGAGAAGTTTTGAAACACTCTCTTTGTAAAGTCTACAAGTGGATATTTTGAGCCCTTGGAGGCATTCTTTGGAAAAGGGAATGTCTTCACATAAAAGGCAGACAGAAGTGTTCTCAGAAACTGCTTTGTGATGTCTGTGTTCAACTCACAGAGTTTAACATTTCCTTTGAGAGAGCGGTTTAGTAACACTCTCTTTGTAGAATTTGGAAGTGTATACTAAGAGCGCTTTGAGGCCTATGGTAGAAAAGGAAATATCTTTCCATAAAAGCTAGACAGAAGCAATCTCAGAAACTCCTTTGTGATGTCTGCATTCAACTCACCGAGTGGAACATTCCTCTTGATAGTGCAGTTTGGAAACACTCTTTCTGTAGAATCAGCTTGTTTGTATTTGGACCTCCTTGAGGCCTTCGTTGGAAACGGGTTTTCATCTTATAAACCCAGACAGAAGAATTCTCAGAGTCTTCTTTGTGATGTGTGCTTTCAACTCACCGAGATAAAGATTTCTCTTGATAGAGCAATTTGGAAACACTCTTTTTGTAGAATTTGCAAGGGTACATTGAGAGCGCTTTCAGGCCTATGGTAGAAAAGGGAATATCTTTCCATAAAAGGTAGACAGAAGCAATCTCAGAAACTACTTTGTGATGTGTGCATTCAACTCACCGAGTGCAACATTCCTCTTGATAGAGCAGTTTGGAAACATTGTTTCTGTAGAATCTGCAAGTGGATATATGGACCGCTTTGAGGCCTTCGTTGGAAACGGGATTTCTTCCTATAAACCCAGACAGAAGAATTCTCAGAGATTTCTTTGTGATGTGTGAATTCAACTCACAGTGTGGATCCTTCCTTTTGATAGAGCAGTTTTGAAACACTGTTTTTGTAGTATTTCCAAGCGGATATTTGGAACGCCTTGAAGCGTATGGTAGAAAAGGAAATATCTTCCCATAAAACCTAGACAGAACCCATCTCAGAAACGACTTTGTGATGTCTGCATTCAACTCACAGAGTTGAACATTTCTCTTGATAGAGCAGTTTTGAAACCCTCTTGCTGAAGGATCTGCAAGTGGATATTTGGAACTCCTTTGGGTCTTCGTTGGAAACGGGATTTCTTCGTATAAATCCAGACAGAAGAATTCTCCGAAACTTCTTTGGTTGTGTGCATTCAAGTCACAGAGTGGAACCTTCCTTTGGATAGAGCAGTTTGAAACGCTGTGGTTGTAGTATTTCCAAGCGGATATTAGATCGCCTTGAAGCCTATGGTAGAAAAGGAAATATCTTCCCATAAAACCTAGACGGAAGCAATCTCAGAAACTACTGTGTGATGGCTGCATTCCACACACACGGTGGAACATTTCTCTTGATAGAGCAGTTTTGAAACACTCTTTCTGTAGAATCTGCAAGTGGATAATTGGACCGCCTTGAGGCCTTCGTTGGAAACGGGATTTCTTCATGTTACTCTAGACAGAAGAATTCTCAAACACTGCTATGTGATGTTTGCATTCAAGTCACAGAGTGCAACATTCCTCTTGATAGAGCAGTTGGGAAACACTCCTTTTGTAGAATTTGCAATGGGATATTTGGACTTCTTTGAGGCCTTCGTTGGAAACGGGATTTCTTCGTATGAATCTAGACAGAAGAATTCTCAGAAACTTCCTTGTGATGTGTGCATTCAACTCAGCGAGTGGCACCTTCCTTTGGATACAGCAGTTTTGAAACACTGTTTTTGTACTATTTCCAAGCGGATATTTAGAGCGCCTTGAAGCCTATGCTAGAAATGGAAATATCTCCCCATAAAACCAAGACAGAAACAATCTCAGAAACTAATGTGTGATGGCTGCATTCCACACACACGGTGGACCATTTCTCTTGATAGAGCAGTTTTGAAACACTCTTTCTGTAGAATCTGCAAGTGGATAATTGGACCTCCTAGAGGCCCTTCGTTGGAAACGGGATTTCTTCATCTAAACCTACAGAGAAGAATTCTCAGTAACTTCTTCGGATGTGTGCATTCGACTCACAGAATGGAACATTCCGTTTGATAGAGCAGTTTTGAGACACCGTTTTTGTAGAATTCCCAAGTGGATATTTAGAGCACTTTGAAGTCTCTGCTAGAAAAGGAAACATCTTTCATGTAAAAAGTAGATAGGATCGTTCTCAGAAAGTGCTTAGTGACGTGTGCGTTCAACTCACAGAGTTTAACGTTTCTTTTGATAGAGCGTTTCTGAAACACCCTTCTTGTAGTAGCTGCAAGTGGATATTTGGACCTATTTGAGGCCTTCTTTGGAAACGGGATTTCTTCATGTAACTCTAGATTGAAGAATTTTCAGAAACTCCTTTGTGATGTGTGCATTCAATTCAAAGAGTGAAACCTCCCTTTTCACAGAGCAGTTTTGAAACACTGTTTTTGTAGGATTTCCAAGGGGATATTTATAGCGCATTGAGCCTATGGCAGAAAAAGAAACATCTTCCTATAAAAACTAGACAGAATAATTCTCAGAATCTGCTTTGCGATGTGTGCGTTCAACTCACAGAGTAAAACTTTTCTTTTGATAGAGCAGTTTTGAAACACTCTTTTTGTAGTATTTGCATGTGTATATTTAGAGCGCATTGAAGCCCACAGTAGAAAAGGAAATAACTTCACCTAAAACCTAGACAGAAGCAATCTCAGAAACTACTTTGTGATGTGTACATTCAACTCACAGAGTGGAACTTTTCTCTTTATAGAGCAGTGTTGAAACACTCTTTTTGTAGAAACTGCAAGTGGATATTTGGACCTCTTTGAGGCCTTCGTTGGAAACGGGATTTCTTCCTATAACCCTAGACAGAAGAATTTTCAGAAACCTCATTGTGATGTGTGCGTTCATCTCACAGAGTGGAGTCTTCCGTTTGATAGAGAAGTTTTGAAACCCTGTTCTTGTAGGATTTCCAAGTGGATATTTAGACCACTTTGAAGCCTATGATAGAAAAGGAAACATCTTCATGGAAAACATAGATAGAATCATTCTCAGAAACAACTTTGTGATGTGTGCGTTGAACTCACCGTCTTTAACCTTTCTTTTGGTAGAGAAGTTTTGAAACACTCTCTTTGTAAAGTCTACAAGTGGATATTTTGAGCCCTTGGAGGCATTCTTTGGAAAAGGGAATGTCTTCACATAAAAGGCAGACAGAAGTGTTCTCAGAAACTGCTTTGTGATGTCTGTGTTCAACTCACAGAGTTTAACATTTCCTTTGAGAGAGCGGTTTAGTAACACTCTCTTTGTAGAATTTGGAAGTGTATACTAAGAGCGCTTTGAGGCCTATGGTAGAAAAGGAAATATCTTTCCATAAAAGCTAGACAGAAGCAATCTCAGAAACTCCTTTGTGATGTCTGCATTCAACTCACCGAGTGGAACATTCCTCTTGATAGAGCAGTTTGGAAACACTCTTTCTGTAGAATCAGCTTGTTTGTATTTGGACCTCCTTGAGGCCTTCGTTGGAAACGGGTTTTCATCTTATAAACCCAGACAGAAGAATTCTCAGAGTCTTCTTTGTGATGTGTGCTTTCAACTCACCGAGATAAAGATTTCTCTTGATAGAGCAATTTGGAAACACTCTTTTTGTAGAATTTGCAAGGGTACATTGAGAGCGCTTTCAGGCCTATGGTAGAAAAGGGAATATCTTTCCATAAAAGGTAGACAGAAGCAATCTCAGAAACTACTTTGTGATGTGTGCATTCAACTCACCGAGTGCAACATTCCTCTTGACCGAGCAGTTTGGAAACATTGTTTCTGTAGAATCTGCAAGTGGATATTTGGACCTCTTTGAGGCCTTCGTTGGAAACGGGATTTCTTCCTATAAACCCAGACAGAAGAATTCTCAGAGACTTCTTTGTGATGTGTGAATTCAACTCACAGTGTGGATCCTTCCTTTTGATAGAGCAGTTTTGAAACACTGTTTTTGTAGTATTTCCAAGCGGATATTTGGAACGCCTTGAAGCGTATGGTAGAAAAGGAAATATCTTCCCATAAAACCTAGACAGAACCAATCTCAGAAACGACTTTGTGATGTCTGCATTCAACTCACAGAGTTGAACATTTCTCTTGATAGAGCAGTTTTGAAACCCTCTTTCTGAAGGATCTGCAAGTGGATATTTGGAACTCCTTTGGGTCTTCGTTGGAAACGGGATTTCTTCGTATAAATCTAGACAGAAGAATTCTCCGAAACTTCTTTGGTTGTGTGCATTCAAGTCACAGAGTGGAACCTTCCTTTGGATAGAGCAGTTTGAAACGCTGTGGTTGTAGTATTTCCAAGCGGATATTAGAGCGCCTTGAGGCCTATGGTAGAAAAGGAAATATCTTCCCATAAAACCTAGACGGAAGCAATCTCAGAAACTACTGTGTGATGGCTGCATTCCACACACACGGTGGAACATTTCTCTTGATAGAGCAGTTTTGAAACACTCTTTCTGTAGAATCTGCAAGTGGATAATTGGACCGCCTTGAGGCCTTCGTTGGAAACGGGATTTCTTCATGTTACTCTAGACAGAAGAATTCTCAAACACTGCTATGTGATGTTTGCATTCAAGTCACAGAGTGCAACATTCCTCTTGATAGAGCAGTTGGGAAACACTCCTTTTGTAGAATTTGCAATGGGATATTTGGACTTCTTTGAGGCCTTCGTTGGAAAGGGGATTTCTTCGTATGAATCTAGACAGAAGAATTCTCAGAAACTTCCTTGTGATGTGTGCATTCAACTCAGCGAGTGGCACCTTCCTTTGGATACAGCAGTTTTGAAACACTGTTTTTGTACTATTTCCAAGCGGATATTTAGAGCGCCTTGAAGCCTATGCTAGAAATGGAAATATCTCCCCATAAAACCAAGACAGAAGCAATCTCAGAAACTAATGTGTGATGGCTGCATTCCACACACACGGTGGACCATTTCTCTTGATAGAGCAGTTTTGAAACACTCTTTCTGTAGAATCTGCAAGTGGATAATTGGACCTCCTAGAGGCCTTCGTTGGAAACGGGATTTCTTCATCTAAACCTACAGAGAAGAATTCTCAGTAACTTCTTCGGATGTGTGCATTCGACTCACAGAATGGAACATTCCGTTTGATAGAGCAGTTTTGAGACACCGTTTTTGTAGAATTCCCAAGTGGATATTTAGAGCACTTTGAAGTCTCTGCTAGAAAAGGAAACATCTTCATGTAAAAAGTAGATAGAATCGTTCTCAGAAAGTGCTCAGTGACGTGTGTGTTCAACTCACAGAGTTTAACGTTTCTTTTGATAGAGCGTTTCTGAAACACCCTTCTTGTAGTAGCTGCAAGTGGATATTTGGACCTATTTGAGGCCTTCTTTGGAAACGGGATTTCTTCATGTAACTCTAGATTGAAGAATTTTCAGAAACTCCTTTGTGATGTGTGCATTCAATTCAAAGAGTGAAACCTCCCTTTTCACAGAGCAGTTTTGAAACACTGTTTTTGTAGGATTTCCAAGGGGATATTTATAGCGCATTGATCCTATGGCAGAAAAAGAAACATCTTCCTATAAAAACTAGACAGAATAATTCTCAGAATCTGCTTTGCGATGTGTGCGTTCAACTCACAGAGTAAAACTTTTCTTTTGATAGAGCAGTTTTGAAACACTCTTTTTGTAGTATTTGCATGTGTATATTTAGAGCGCATTGAAGCCCACAGTAGAAAAGGAAATAACTTCACCTAAAACCTAGACAGAAGCAATCTCAGAAACTACTTTGTGATGTGTACATTCAACTCACAGAGTGGAACTTTCCTCTTTATAGAGCAGTGTTGAAACACTCTTTTTGTAGAAACTGCAAGTGGATATTTGGACCTCTTTGAGGCCTTCGTTGGAAACGGGATTTCTTCCTATAACCCTAGACAGAAGAATTTTCAGAAACCTCATTGTGATGTGTGCGTTCATCTCACAGAGTGGAGTCTTCCGTTTGATAGAGAAGTTTTGAAACCCTGTTCTTGTAGGATTTCCAAGTGGATATTTAGACCACTTTGAAGCCTATGATAGAAAAGGAAACATCTTCATGGAAAACATAGATAGAATCATTCTCAGAAACAACTTTGTGATGTGTGCGTTGAACTCACCGTCTTTAACCTTTCTTTTGGTAGAGAAGTTTTGAAACACTCTCTTTGTAAAGTCTACAAGTGGATATTTTGAGCCCTTGGAGGCATTCTTTGGAAAAGGGAATGTCTTCACATAAAAGGCAGACAGAAGTGTTCTCAGAAACTGCTTTGTGATGTCTGTGTTCAACTCACAGAGTTTAACATTTCCTTTGAGAGAGCGGTTTAGTAACACTCTCTTTGTAGAATTTGGAAGTGTATACTAAGAGCGCTTTGAGGCCTATGGTAGAAAAGGAAATATCTTTCCATAAAAGCTAGACAGAAGCAATCTCAGAAACTCCTTTGTGATGTCTGCATTCAACTCACCGAGTGGAACATTCCTCTTGATAGAGCAGTTTGGAAACACTCTTTCTGTAGAATCAGCTTGTTTGTATTTGGACCTCCTTGAGGCCTTCGTTGGAAACGGGTTTTCATCTTATAAACCCAGACAGAAGAATTCTCAGAGTCTTCTTTGTGATGTGTGCTTTCAACTCACCGAGATAAAGATTTCTCTTGATAGAGCAATTTGGAAACACTCTTTTTGTAGAATTTGCAAGGGTACATTGAGAGCGCTTTCAGGCCTATGGTAGAAAAGGGAATATCTTTCCATAAAAGGTAGACAGAAGCAATCTCAGAAACTACTTTGTGATGTGTGCATTCAACTCACCGAGTGCAACATTCCTCTTGACCGAGCAGTTTGGAAACATTGTTTCTGTAGAATCTGCAAGTGGATATTTGGACCTCTTTGAGGCCTTCGTTGGAAACGGGATTTCTTCCTATAAACCCAGACAGAAGAATTCTCAGAGATTTCTTTGTGATGTGTGAATTCAACTCACAAGTGTGGATCCTTCCTTTTGATAGAGCAGTTTTGAAACACTGTTTTTGTAGTATTTCCAAGCGGATATTTGGAACGCCTTGAAGCGTATGGTAGAAAAGGAAATATCTTCCCATAAAACCTAGACAGAACCCATCTCAGAAACGACTTTGTGATGTCTGCATTCAACTCACAGAGTTGAACATTTCTCTTGATAGAGCAGTTTTGAAACCCTCTTTCTGAAGGATCTGCAAGTGGATATTTGGAACTCCTTTGGGTCTTCGTTGGAAACGGGATTTCTTCGTATAAATCCAGACAGAAGAATTCTCCGAAACTTCTTTGGTTGTGTGCATTCAAGTCACAGAGTGGAACCTTCCTTTGGATAGAGCAGTTTGAAACGCTGTGGTTGTAGTATTTCCAAGCGGATATTAGAGCGCCTTGAAGCCTATGGTAGAAAAGGAAATATCTTCCCATAAAACCTAGACGGAAGCAATCTCAGAAACTACTGTGTGATGGCTGCATTCCACACACACGGTGGAACATTTCTCTTGATAGAGCAGTTTTGAAACACTCTTTCTGTAGAATCTGCAAGTGGATAATTGGACCGCCTTGAGGCCTTCGTTGGAAACGGGATTTCTTCATGTTACTCTAGACAGAAGAATTCTCAAACACTGCTATGTGATGTTTGCATTCAAGTCACAGAGTGCAACATTCCTCTTGATAGAGCAGTTGGGAAACACTCCTTTTGTAGAATTTGCAATGGGATATTTGGACTTCTTTGAGGCCTTCGTTGGAAACGGGATTTCTTCGTATGAATCTAGACAGAAGAATTCTCAGAAACTTCCTTGTGATGTGTGCATTCAACTCAGCGAGTGGCACCTTCCTTTGGATACAGCAGTTTTGAAACACTGTTTTTGTAGTATTTCCAAGCGGATATTTAGAGCGCCTTGAAGCCTATGCTAGAAATGGAAATATCTCCCCATAAAACCAAGACAGAAGCAATCTCAGAAACTAATGTGTGATGGCTGCATTCCACACACACGGTGGACCATTGCTCTTGATAGAGCAGTTTTGAAACACTCTTTCTGTAGAATCTGCAAGTGGATAATTGGACCTCCTAGAGGCCTTCGTTGGAAACGGGATTTGCTTCATCTAAACCTACAGAGAAGAATTCTCAGTAACTTCTTCGGATGTGTGCATTCGACTCACAGAATGGAACATTCCGTTTGATAGAGCAGTTTTGAGACACCGTTTTTGTAGAATTCCCAAGTGGATATTTAGAGCACTTTGAAGTCTCTGCTAGAAAGGGAAACATCTTCATGTAAAAAGTAGATAGAATCGTTCTCAGAAAGTGCTTAGTGACGTGTGCGTTCAACTCACAGAGTTTAACGTTTCTTTTGATAGAGCGTTTCTGAAACACCCTTCTTGTAGTAGCTGCAAGTGGATATTTGGACCTATTTGAGGCCTTCTTTGGAAACGGGATTTCTTCATGTAACTCTAGATTGAAGAATTTTCAGAAACTCCTTTGTGATGTGTGCATTCAATTCAAAGAGTGAAACCTCCCTTTTCACAGAGCAGTTTTGAAACACTGTTTTTGTAGGATTTCCAAGGGGATATTTATAGCGCATTGAGCCTATGGCAGAAAAAGAAACATCTTCCTATAAAAACTAGACAGAATAATTCTCAGAATCTGCTTTGCGATGTGTGCGTTCAACCCACAGAGTAAAACTTTTCTTTTGATAGAGCAGTTTTGAAACACTCTTTTTGTAGTATTTGCATGTGTATATTTAGAGCGCATTGAAGCCCACAGTAGAAAAGGAAATAACTTCACCTAAAACCTAGACAGAAGCAATCTCAGAAACTACTTTGTGATGTGTACATTCAACTCACAGAGTGGAACTTTCCTCTTTATAGAGCAGTGTTGAAACACTCTTTTTGTAGAAACTGCAAGTGGATATTTGGACCTCTTTGAGGCCTTCGTTGGAAACGGGATTTCTTCCTATAACCCTAGACAGAAGAATTTTCAGAAACCTCATTGTGATGTGTGCGTTCATCTCACAGAGTGGAGTCTTCCGTTTGATAGAGAAGTTTTGAAACCCTGTTCTTGTAGGATTTCCAAGTGGATATTTAGACCACTTTGAAGCCTATGATAGAAAAGGAAACATCTTCATGGAAAACATAGATAGAATCATTCTCAGAAACAACTTTGTGATGTGTGCGTTGAACTCACCGTCTTTAACCTTTCTTTTGGTAGAGAAGTTTTGAAACACTCTCTTTGTAAAGTCTACAAGTGGATATTTTGAGCCCTTGGAGGCATTCTTTGGAAAAGGGAATGTCTTCACATAAAAGGCAGACAGAAGTGTTCTCAGAAACTGCTTTGTGATGTCTGTGTTCAACTCACAGAGTTTAACATTTCCTTTGAGAGAGCGGTTTAGTAACACTCTCTTTGTAGAATTTGGAAGTGTATACTAAGAGCGCTTTGAGGCCTATGGTAGAAAAGGAAATATCTTTCCATAAAAGCTAGACAGAAGCAATCTCAGAAACTCCTTTGTGATGTCTGCATTCAACTCACCGAGTGGAACATTCCTCTTGATAGAGCAGTTTGGAAACACTCTTTCTGTAGAATCAGCTTGTTTGTATTTGGACCTCCTTGAGGCCTTCGTTGGAAACGGGTTTTCATCTTATAAACCCAGACAGAAGAATTCTCAGAGTCTTCTTTGTGATGTGTGCTTTCAACTCACCGAGATAAAGATTTCTCTTGATAGAGCAATTTGGAAACACTCTTTTTGTAGAATTTGCAAGGGTACATTGAGAGCGCTTTCAGGCCTATGGTAGAAAAGGGAATATCTTTCCATAAAAGGTAGACAGAAGCAATCTCAGAAACTACTTTGTGATGTGTGCATTCAACTCACCGAGTGCAACATTCCTCTTGATAGAGCAGTTTGGAAACATTGTTTCTGTAGAATCTGCAAGTGGATATATGGACCGCTTTGAGGCCTTCGTTGGAAACGGGATTTCTTCCTATAAACCCAGACAGAAGAATTCTCAGAGATTTCTTTGTGATGTGTGAATTCAACTCACAGTGTGGATCCTTCCTTTTGATAGAGCAGTTTTGAAACACTGTTTTTGTAGTATTTCCAAGCGGATATTTGGAACGCCTTGAAGCGTATGGTAGAAAAGGAAATATCTTCCCATAAAACCTAGACAGAACCCATCTCAGAAACGACTTTGTGATGTCTGCATTCAACTCACAGAGTTGAACATTTCTCTTGATAGAGCAGTTTTGAAACCCTCTTTCTGAAGGATCTGCAAGTGGATATTTGGAACTCCTTTGGGTCTTCGTTGGAAACGGGATTTCTTCGTATAAATCCAGACAGAAGAATTCTCCGAAACTTCTTTGGTTGTGTGCATTCAAGTCACAGAGTGGAACCTTCCTTTGGATAGAGCAGTTTGAAACGCTGTGGTTGTAGTATTTCCAAGCGGATATTAGAGCGCCTTGAGGCCTATGGTAGAAAAGGAAATATCTTCCCATAAAACCTAGACGGAAGCAATCTCAGAAACTACTGTGTGATGGCTGCATTCCACACACACGGTGGAACATTTCTCTTGATAGAGCAGTTTTGAAACACTCTTTCTGTAGAATCTGCAAGTGGATAATTGGACCGCCTTGAGGCCTTCGTTGGAAACGGGATTTCTTCATGTTACTCTAGACAGAAGAATTCTCAAACACTGCTATGTGATGTTTGCATTCAAGTCACAGAGTGCAACATTCCTCTTGATAGAGCAGTTGGGAAACACTCCTTTTGTAGAATTTGCAATGGGATATTTGGACTTCTTTGAGGCCTTCGTTGGAAACGGGATTTCTTCGTATGAATCTAGACAGAAGAATTCTCAGAAACTTCCTTGTGATGTGTGCATTCAACTCAGCGAGTGGCACCTTCCTTTGGATACAGCAGTTTTGAATCACTGTTTTTGTGCTATTTCCAAGCGGATATTTAGAGCGCCTTGAAGCCTATGCTAGAAATGGAAATATCTCCCCATAAAACCAAGACAGAAGCAATCTCAGAAACTAATGTGTGATGGCTGCATTCCACACACACGGTGGACCATTTCTCTTGATAGAGCAGTTTTGAAACACTCTTTCTGTAGAATCTGCAAGTGGATAATTGGACCTCCTAGAGGCCTTCGTTGGAAACGGGATTTCTTCATCTAAACCTACAGAGAAGAATTCTCAGTAACTTCTTCGGATGTGTGCATTCGACTCACAGAATGGAACATTCCCTTTGATAGAGCAGTTTTGAGACACCGTTTTTGTAGAATTCCCAAGTGGATATTTAGAGCACTTTGAAGTCTCTGCTAGAAAAGGAAACATCTTCATGTAAAAAGTAGATAGAATCGTTCTCAGAAAGTGCTTAGTGACGTGTGCGTTCAACTCACAGAGTTTAACGTTTCTTTTGATAGAGCGTTTCTGAAACACCCTTCTTGTAGTAGCTGCAAGTGGATATTTGGACCTATTTGAGGCCTTCTTTGGAAACGGGATTTCTTCATGTAACTCTAGATTGAAGAATTTTCAGAAACTCCTTTGTGATGTGTGCATTCAATTCAAAGAGTGAAACCTCCCTTTTCACAGAGCAGTTTTGAAACACTGTTTTTGTAGGACTTCCAAGGGGATATTTATAGCGCATTGATCCTATGGCAGAAAAAGAAACATCTTCCTATAAAAACTAGACAGAATAATTCTCAGAATCTGCTTTGCGATGTGTGCGTTCAACCCACAGAGTAAAACTTTTCTTTTGATAGAGCAGTTTTGAAACACTCTTTTTGTAGTATTTGCATGTGTATATTTAGAGCGCATTGAAGCCCAAAGTAGAAAAGGAAATAACTTCACCTAAAACCTAGACAGAAGCAATCTCAGAAACTACTTTGTGATGTGTACATTCAACTCACAGAGTGGAACTTTCCTCTTTATAGAGCAGTGTTGAAACACTCTTTTTGTAGAAACTGCAAGTGGATATTTGGACCTCTTTGAGGCCTTCGTTGGAAACGGGATTTCTTCCTATAACCCTAGACAGAAGAATTTTCAGAAACCTCATTGTGATGTGTGCGTTCATCTCACAGAGTGGAGTCTTCCGTTTGATAGAGAAGTTTTGAAACCCTGTTCTTGTAGGATTTCCAAGTGGATATTTAGACCACTTTGAAGCCTATGATAGAAAAGGAAACATCTTCATGGAAAACATAGATAGAATCATTCTCAGAAACAACTTTGTGATGTGTGCGTTGAACTCACCGTCTTTAACCTTTCTTTTGGTAGAGAAGTTTTGAAACACTCTCTTTGTAAAGTCTACAAGTGGATATTTTGAGCCCTTGGAGGCATTCTTTGGAAAAGGGAATGTCTTCACATAAAAGGCAGACAGAAGTGTTCTCAGAAACTGCTTTGTGATGTTTGTGTTCAACTCACAGAGTTTAACATTTCCTTTGAGAGAGCGGTTTAGTAACACTCTCTTTGTAGAATTTGGAAGTGTATACTAAGAGCGCTTTGAGGCCTATGGTAGAAAAGGAAATATCTTTCCATAAAAGCTAGACAGAAGCAATCTCAGAAACTCCTTTGTGATGTCTGCATTCAACTCACCGAGTGGAACATTCCTCTTGATAGAGCAGTTTGGAAACACTCTTTCTGTAGAATCAGCTTGTTTGTATTTGGACCTCCTTGAGGCCTTCGTTGGAAACGGGTTTTCATCTTATAAACCCAGACAGAAGAATTCTCAGAGTCTTCTTTGTGATGTGTGCTTTCAACTCACCGAGATAAAGATTTCTCTTGATAGAGCAATTTGGAAACACTCTTTTTGTAGAATTTGCAAGGGTACATTGAGAGCGCTTTCAGGCCTATGGTAGAAAAGGGAATATCTTTCCATAAAAGGTAGACAGAAGCAATCTCAGAAACTACTTTGTGATGTGTGCATTCAACTCACCGAGTGCAACATTCCTCTTGATAGAGCAGTTTGGAAACATTGTTTCTGTAGAATCTGCAAGTGGATATATGGACCGCTTTGAGGCCTTCGTTGTAAACGGGATTTCTTCCTATAAACCCAGACAGAAGAATTCTCAGAGACTTCTTTGTGATGTGTGAATTCAACTCACAGTGTGGATCCTTCCTTTTGATAGAGCAGTTTTGAAACACTGTTTTTGTAGTATTTCCAAGCGGATATTTGGAACGCCTTGAAGCGTATGGTAGAAAAGGAAATATCTTCCCATAAAACCTAGACAGAACCAATCTCAGAAACGACTTTGTGATGTCTGCATTCAACTCACAGAGTTGAACATTTCTCTTGATAGAGCAGTTTTGAAACCCTCTTTCTGAAGGATCTGCAAGTGGATATTTGGAACTCCTTTGGGTCTTCGTTGGAAACGGGATTTCTTCGTATAAATCTAGACAGAAGAATTCTCCGAAACTTCTTTGGTTGTGTGCATTCAAGTCACAGAGTGGAACCTTCCTTTGGATAGAGCAGTTTGAAACGCTGTGGTTGTAGTATTTCCAAGCGGATATTAGAGCGCCTTGAGGCCTATGGTAGAAAAGGAAATATCTTCCCATAAAACCTAGACGGAAGCAATCTCAGAAACTACTGTGTGATGGCTGCATTCCACACACACGGTGGAACATTTCTCTTGATAGAGCAGTTTTGAAACACTCTTTCTGTAGAATCTGCAAGTGGATAATTGGACCGCCTTGAGGCCTTCGTTGGAAACGGGATTTCTTCATGTTACTCTAGACAGAAGAATTCTCAAACACTGCTATGTGATGTTTGCATTCAAGTCACAGAGTGCAACATTCCTCTTGATAGAGCAGTTGGGAAACACTCCTTTTGTAGAATTTGCAATGGGATATTTGGACTTCTTTGAGGCCTTCGTTGGAAACGGGATTTCTTCGTATGAATCTAGACAGAAGAATTCTCAGAAACTTCCTTGTGATGTGTGCATTCAACTCAGCGAGTGGCACCTTCCTTTGGATACAGCAGTTTTGAAACACTGTTTTTGTAGTATTTCCAAGCGGATATTTAGAGCGCCTTGAAGCCTATGCTAGAAATGGAAATATCTCCCCATAAAACCAAGACAGAAGCAATCTCAGAAACTAATGTGTGATGGCTGCATTCCACACACACGGTGGACCATTTCTCTTGATAGAGCAGTTTTGAAACACTCTTTCTGTAGAATCTGCAAGTGGATAATTGGACCTCCTAGAGGCCTTCGTTGGAAACGGGATTTCTTCACCTAAACCTACAGAGAAGAATTCTCAGTAACTTCTTCGGATGTGTGCATTCGACTCACAGAATGGAACATTCCCTTTGATAGAGCAGTTTTGAGACACCGTTTTTGTAGAATTCCCAAGTGGATATTTAGAGCACTTTGAAGTCTCTGCTAGAAAAGGAAACATCTTCATGTAAAAAGTAGATAGAATCGTTCTCAGAAAGTGCTTAGTGACGTGTGTGTTCAACTCACAGAGTTTAACGTTTCTTTTGATAGAGCGTTTCTGAAACACCCTGCTTGTAGTAGCTGCAAGTGGATATTTGGACCTATTTGAGGCCTTCTTTGGAAACGGGATTTCTTCATGTAACTCTAGTTTGAAGAATTTTCAGAAACTCCTTTGTGATGTGTGCATTCAATTCAAAGAGTGAAACCTCCCTTTTCACAGAGCAGTTTTGAAACACTGTTTTTGTAGGATTTCCAAGGGGATATTTATAGCGCATTGAGCCTACGGCAGAAAAAGGAACATCTTCCTATAAAAACTAGACAGAATAATTCTCAGAATCTGCTTTGCGATGTGTGCGTTCAACCCACAGAGTAAAACTTTTCTTTTGATAGAGCAGTTTTGAAACACTCTTTTTGTAGTATTTGCATGTGTATATTTAGAGCGCATTGAAGCCCACAGTAGAAAAGGAAATAACTTCACCTAAAACCTAGACAGAAGCAATCTCAGAAACTACTTTGTGATGTGTACATTCAACTCACAGAGTGGAACTTTCCTCTTTATAGAGCAGTGTTGAAACACTCTTTTTCTAGAAACTGCAAGTGGATATTTGGACCTCTTTGAGGCCTTCGTTGGAAACGGGATTTCTTCCTATAACCCTAGACAGAAGAATTTTCAGAAACCTCATTGTGATGTGTGCGTTCATCTCACAGAGTGGAGTGTTCCGTTTGATAGAGAAGTTTTGAAACCCTGTTCTTGTAGGATTTCCAAGTGGATATTTAGACCACTTTGAAGCCTATGATAGAAAAGGAAACATCTTCATGGAAAACATAGATAGAATCATTCTCAGAAACAACTTTGTGATGTGTGCGTTGAACTCACCGTCTTTAACCTTTCTTTTGGTAGAGAAGTTTTGAAACACTCTCTTTGTAAAGTCTACAAGTGGATATTTTGAGCCCTTGGAGGCATTCTTTGGAAAAGGGAATGTCTTCACATAAAAGGCAGACAGAAGTGTTCTCAGAAACTGCTTTGTGATGTCTGTGTTCAACTCACAGAGTTTAACATTTCCTTTGAGAGAGCGGTTTAGTAACACTCTCTTTGTAGAATTTGGAAGTGTATACTAAGAGCACTTGGAGGCCTATGGTAGAAAAGGAAATATCTTTCCATAAAAGCTAGACAGAAGCAATCTCAGAAACTCCTTTGTGATGTCTGCATTCAGCTCACCGAGTGGAACATTCCTCTTGATAGAGCAGTTTGGAAACACTCTTTCTGTAGAATCAGCTTGTTTGTATTTGGACCTCCTTGAGGCCTTCGTTGGAAACGGGTTTTCATCTTATAAACCCAGACAGAAGAATTCTCAGAGTCTTCTTTGTGATGTGTGCTTTCAACTCACCGAGATAAAGATTTCTCTTGATAGAGCAATTTGGAAACACTCTTTTTGTAGAATTTGCAAGGGTACATTGAGAGCGCTTTCAGGCCTATGGTAGAAAAGGGAATATCTTTCCATAAAAGGTAGACAGAAGCAATCTCAGAAACTACTTTGTGATGTGTGCATTCAACTCCCCGAGTGCAACATTCCTCTTGATAGAGCAGTTTGGAAACATTGTTTCTGTAGAATCTGCAAGTGGATATATGGACCGCTTTGAGGCCTTCGTTGGAAACGGGATTTCTTCCTATAAACCCAGACAGAAGAATTCTCAGAGATTTCTTTGTGATGTGTGAATTCAACTCACAGTGTGGATCCTTCCTTTTGATAGAGCAGTTTTGAAACACTGTTTTTGTAGTATTTCCAAGCGGATATTTGGAACGCCTTGAAGCGTATGGTAGAAAAGGAAATATCTTCCCATAAAACCTAGACAGAACCCATCTCAGAAACGACTTTGTGATGTCTGCATTGAACTCACAGAGTTGAACATTTCTCTTGATAGAGCAGTTTTGAAACCCTCTTTCTGAAGGATCTGCAAGTGGATATTTGGAACTCCTTTGGGTCTTCGTTGGAAACGGGATTTCTTCGTATAAATCCAGACAGAAGAATTCTCCGAAACTTCTTTGGTTGTGTGCATTCAAGTCACAGAGTGGAACCTTCCTTTGGATAGAGCAGTTTGAAACGCTGTGGTTGTAGTATTTCCAAGCGGATATTAGAGCGCCTTGAAGCCTATGGTAGAAAAGGAAATATCTTCCCATAAAACCTAGACGGAAGCAATCTCAGAAACTACTGTGTGATGGCTGCATTCCACACACACGGTGGAACATTTCCTCTTGATAGAGCAGTTTTGAAACACTCTTTCTGTAGAATCTGCAAGTGGATAATTGGACCGCCTTGAGGCCTTCGTTGGAAACGGGATTTCTTCATGTTACTCTAGACAGAAGAATTCTCAAACACTGCTGTGTGATGTTTGCATGCAAGTCACAGAGTGCAACATTCCTCTTGATAGAGCAGTTGGGAAACACTCCTTTTGTAGAATTTGCAATGGGATATTTGGACTTCTTTGAGGCCTTCGTTGGAAACGGGATTTCTTCGTATGAATCTAGACAGAAGAATTCTCAGAAACTTCCTTGTGATGTGTGCATTCAACTCAGCGAGTGGCACCTTCCTTTGGATACAGCAGTTTTGAAACACTGTTTTTGTAGTATTTCCAAGCGGATATTTAGAGCGCCTTGAAGCCTATGCTAGAAATGGAAATATCTCCCCATAAAACCAAGACAGAAGCAATCTCAGAAACTAATGTGTGATGGCTGCATTCCACACACACGGTGGACCATTTCTCTTGATAGAGCAGTTTTGAAACACTCTTTCTGTAGAATCTGCAAGTGGATAATTGGACCTCCTAGAGGCCTTCGTTGGAAACGGGATTTCTTCACCTAAACCTACAGAGAAGAATTCTCAGTAACTTCTTCGGATGTGTGCATTCGACTCACAGAATGGAACATTCCGTTTGATAGAGCAGTTTTGAGACACCGTTTTTGTAGAATTCCCAAGTGGATATTTAGAGCACTTTGAAGTCTCTGCTAGAAAAGGAAACACCTTCATGTAAAAAGTAGATAGAATCGTTCTCAGAAAGTGCTTAGTGACGTGTGCGTTCAACTCACAGAGTTTAACGTTTCTTTTGATAGAGCGTTTCTGAAACACCCTTCTTGTAGTAGCTGCAAGTGGATATTTGGACCTATTTGAGGCCTTCTTTGGAAACGGGATTTCTTCATGTAACTCTCGTTTGAAGAATTTTCAGAAACTCCTTTGTGATGTGTGCATTCAATTCAAAGAGTGAAACCTCCCTTTTCACAGAGCAGTTTTGAAACACTGTTTTTGTAGGATTTCCAAGGGGATATTTATAGCGCATTGAGCCTACGGCAGAAAAAGAAACATCTTCCTATAAAAACTAGACAGAATAATTCTCAGAATCTGCTTTGCGATGTGTGCGTTCAACCCACAGAGTAAAACTTTTCTTTTGATAGAGCAGTTTTCAAACACTCTTTTTGTAGTATTTGCATGTGTATATTTAGAGCGCATTGAAGCCCACAGTAGAAAAGGAAATAACTTCACCTAAAACCTAGACAGAAGCAATCTCAGAAACTACTTTGTGATGTGTACATTCAACTCACAGAGTGGAACTTTCCTCTTTATAGAGCAGTGTTGAAACACTCTTTTTGTAGAAACTGCAAGTGGATATTTGGACCTCTTTGAGGCCTTCGTTGGAAACGGGATTTCTTCCTATAACCCTAGACAGAAGAATTTTCAGAAACCTCATTGTGATGTGTGCGTTCATCTCACAGAGTGGAGTCTTCCGTTTGATAGAGAAGTTTTGAAACCCTGTTCTTGTAGGATTTCCAAGTGGATATTTAGACCACTTTGAAGCCTATGATAGAAAAGGAAACATCTTCATGGAAAACATAGATAGAATCATTCTCAGAAACAACTTTGTGATGTGTGCGTTGAACTCACCGTCTTTAACCTTTCTTTTGGTAGAGAAGTTTTGAAACACTCTCTTTGTAAAGTCTACAAGTGGATATTTTGAGCCCTTGGAGGCATTCTTTGGAAAAGGGAATGTCTTCACATAAAAGGCAGACAGAAGTGTTCTCAGAAACTGCTTTGTGATGTCTGTGTTCAACTCACAGAGTTTAACATTTCCTTTGAGAGAGCGGTTTAGTAACACTCTCTTTGTAGAATTTGGAAGTGTATACTAAGAGCGCTTTGAGGCCTATGGTAGAAAAGGAAATATCTTTCCATAAAAGCTAGACAGAAGCAATCTCAGAAACTCCTTTGTGATGTCTGCATTCAACTCACCGAGTGGAACATTCCTCTTGATAGAGCAGTTTGGAAACACTCTTTCTGTAGAATCAGCTTGTTTGTATTTGGACCTCCTTGAGGCCTTCGTTGGAAACGGGTTTTCATCTTATAAACCCAGACAGAAGAATTCTCAGAGTCTTCTTTGTGATGTGTGCTTTCAACTCACCGAGATAAAGATTTCTCTTGATAGAGCAATTTGGAAACACTCTTTTTGTAGAATTTGCAAGGGTACATTGAGAGCGCTTTCAGGCCTATGGTAGAAAAGGGAATATCTTTCCATAAAAGGTAGACAGAAGCAATCTCAGAAACTACTTTGTGATGTGTGCATTCAACTCACCGAGTGCAACATTCCTCTTGATAGAGCAGTTTGGAAACATTGTTTCTGTAGAATCTGCAAGTGGATATATGGACCGCTTTGAGGCCTTCATTGGAAACGGGATTTCTTCCTATAAACCCAGACAGAAGAATTCTCAGAGATTTCTTTGTGATGTGTGAATTCAACTCACAGTGTGGATCCTTCCTTTTGATAGAGCAGTTTTGAAACACTGTTTTTGTAGTATTTCCAAGCGGATATTTGGAACGCCTTGAAGCGTATGGTAGAAAAGGAAATATCTTCCCATAAAACCTAGACAGAACCCATCTCAGAAACGACTTTGTGATGTCTGCATTCAACTCACAGAGTTGAACATTTCTCTTGATAGAGCAGTTTTGAAACCCTCTTTCTGAAGGATCTGCAAGTGGATATTTGGAACTCCTTTGGGTCTTCGTTGGAAACGGGATTTCTTCGTATAAATCCAGACAGAAGAATTCTCCGAAACTTCTTTGGTTGTGTGCATTCAAGTCACAGAGTGGAACCTTCCTTTGGATAGAGCAGTTTGAAACGCTGTGGTTGTAGTATTTCCAAGCGGATATTAGAGCGCCTTGAAGCCTATGGTAGAAAAGGAAATATCTTCCCATAAAACCTAGACGGAAGCAATCTCAGAAACTACTGTGTGATGGCTGCATTCCACACACACGGTGGAACATTTCTCTTGATAGAGCAGTTTTGAAACACTCTTTCTGTAGAATCTGCAAGTGGATAATTGGACCGCCTTGAGGCCTTCGTTGGAAACGGGATTTCTTCATGTTACTCTAGACAGAAGAATTCTCAAACACTGCTATGTGATGTTTGCATGCAAGTCACAGAGTGCAACATTCCTCTTGATAGAGCAGTTGGGAAACACTCCTTTTGTAGAATTTGCAATGGGATATTTGGACTTCTTTGAGGCCTTCGTTAGAAACGGGATTTCTTCGTATGAATCTAGACAGAAGAATTCTCAGAAACTTCCTTGTGATGTGTGCATTCAACTCAGCGAGTGGCACCTTCCTTTGGATACAGCAGTTTTGAAACACTGTTTTTGTAGTATTTCCAAGCGGATATTTAGAGCGCCTTGAAGCCTATGCTAGAAATGGAAATATCTCCCCATAAAACCAAGACAGAAGCAATCTCAGAAACTAATGTGTGATGGCTGCATTCCACACACACGGTGGACCATTTCTCTTGATAGAGCAGTTTTGAAACACTCTTTCTGTAGAATCTGCAAGTGGATAATTGGACCTCCTAGAGGCCTTCGTTGGAAATGGGATTTCTTCATCTAAACCTACAGAGAAGAATTCTCAGTAACTTCTTCGGATGTGTGCATTCGACTCACAGAATGGAACATTCCCTTTGATAGAGCAGTTTTGAGACACCGTTTTTGTAGAATTCCCAAGTGGATATTTAGAGCACTTTGAAGTCTCTGCTAGAAAAGGAAACATCTTCATGTAAAAAGTAGATAGAATCGTTCTCAGAAAGTGCTTAGTGACGTGTGTGTTCAACTCACAGAGTTTAACGTTTCTTTTGATAGAGCGTTTCTGAAACACCCTGCTTGTAGTAGCTGCAAGTGGATATTTGGACCTATTTGAGGCCTTCTTTGGAAACGGGATTTCTTCATGTAACTCTAGATTGAAGAATTTTCAGAAACTCCTTTGTGATGTGTGCATTCAATTCAAAGAGTGAAACCTCCCTTTCCACAGAGCAGTTTTGAAACACTGTTTTTGTAGGATTTCCAAGGGGATATTTATAGCGCATTGAGCCTACGGCAGAAAAAGAAACATCTTCCTATAAAAACTAGACAGAATAATTCTCAGAATCTGCTTTGCGATGTGTGCGTTCAACCCACAGAGTAAAACTTTTCTTTTGATAGAGCAGTTTTGAAACACTCTTTGTAGTATTTGCATGTGTATATTTAGAGCGCATTGAAGCCCACAGTAGAAAAGGAAATAACTTCACCTAAAACCTAGACAGAAGCAATCTCAGAAACTACTTTGTGATGTGTACATTCAACTCACAGAGTGGAACTTTCCTCTTTATAGAGCAGTGTTGAAACACTCTTTTTGTAGAAACTGCAAGTGGATATTTGGACCTCTTTGAGGCCTTCGTTGGAAACGGGATTTCTTCCTATAACCCTAGACAGAAGAATTTTCAGAAACCTCATTGTGATGTGTGCGTTCATCTCACAGAGTGGAGTGTTCCGTTTGATAGAGAAGTTTGGAAACCCTGTTCTTGTAGGATTTCCAAGTGGATATTTAGACCACTTTGAAGCCTATGATAGAAAAGGAAACATCTTCATGGAAAACATAGATAGAATCATTCTCAGAAACAACTTTGTGATGTGTGCGTTGAACTCACCGTCTTTAAACTTTCTTTTGGTAGAGAAGTTTTGAAACACTCTCTTTGTAAAGTCTACAAGTGGATATTTTGAGCCCTTGGAGGCATTCTTTGGAAAAGGGAATGTCTTCACCTAAAAGGCAGACAGAAGTGTTCTCAGAAACTGCTTTGTGATGTCTGTGTTCAACTCACAGAGTTTAACATTTCCTTTGAGAGAGCGGTTTAGTAACACTCTCTTTGTAGAATTTGGAAGTGTATACTAAGAGCGCTTTGAGGCCTATGGTAGAAAAGGAAATATCTTTCCATAAAAGCTAGACAGAAGCAATCTCAGAAACTCCTTTGTGATGTCTGCATTCAACTCACCGAGTGGAACATTCCTCTTGATAGAGCAGTTTGGAAACACTCTTTCTGTAGAATCAGCTTGTTTGTATTTGGACCTCCTTGAGGCCTTCGTTGGAAACGGGTTTTCATCTTATAAACCCAGACAGAAGAATTCTCAGAGTCTTCTTTGTGATGTGTGCTTTCAACTCACCGAGATAAAGATTTCTCTTGATAGAGCAATTTGGAAACACTCTTTTTGTAGAATTTGCAAGGGTACATTGAGAGCGCTTTCAGGCCTATGGTAGAAAAGGGAATATCTTTCCATAAAAGGTAGACAGAAGCAATCTCAGAAACTACTTTGTGATGTGTGCATTCAACTCACCGAGTGCAACATTCCTCTTGATAGAGCAGTTTGGAAACATTGTTTCTGTAGAATCTGCAAGTGGATATATGGACCGCTTTGAGGCCTTCGTTGGAAACGGGATTTCTTCCTATAAACCCAGACAGAAGAATTCTCAGAGACTTCTTTGTGATGTGTGAATTCAACTCACAGTGTGGATCCTTCCTTTTGATAGAGCAGTTTTGAAACACTGTTTTTGTAGTATTTCCAAGCGGATATTTGGAACGCCTTGAAGCGTAAGGTAGAAAAGGAAATATCTTCCCATAAAACCTAGACAGAACCCATCTCAGAAACGACTTTGTGATGTCTGCATTCAACTCACAGAGTTGAACATTTCTCTTGATAGAGCAGTTTTGAAACCCTCTTTCTGAAGGAGCTGCAAGTGGATATTTGGAACTCCTTTGGGTCTTCGTTGGAAACGGGATTTCTTCGTATAAATCCAGACAGAAGAATTCTCCGAAACTTCTTTGGTTGTGTGCATTCAAGTCACAGAGTGGAACCTTCCTTTGGATAGAGCAGTTTGAAACGCTGTGGTTGTAGTATTTCCAAGCGGATATTAGAGCGCCTTGAAGCCTATGGTAGAAAAGGAAATATCTTCCCATAAAACCTAGACGGAAGCAATCTCAGAAACTACTGTGTGATGGCTGCATTCCACACACACGGTGGAACATTTCTCTTGATAGAGCAGTTTTGAAACACTCTTTCTGTAGAATCTGCAAGTGGATAATTGGACGGCCTTGAGGCCTTCGTTGGAAACGGGATTTCTTCATGTTACTCTAGACAGAAGAATTCTCAAACACTGCTATGTGATGTTTGCATTCAAGTCACAGAGTGCAACATTCCTCTTGATAGAGCAGTTGGGAAACACTCCTTTTGTAGAATTTGCAATGGGATATTTGGACTTCTTTGAGGCCTTCGTTGGAAACGGGATTTCTTCGTATGCATCTAGACAGAAGAATTCTCAGAAACTTCCTTGTGATGTGTGCATTCAACTCAGCGAGTGGCACCTTCCTTTCGATACAGCAGTTTTGAAACACTGTTTTTGTAGTATTTCCAAGCGGATATTTAGAGCGCCTTGAAGCCTATGCTAGAAATGGAAATATCTCCCCATAAAACCAAGACAGAAGCAATCTCAGAAACTAATGTGTGATGGCTGCATTCCACACACACGGTGGACCATTTCTCTTGATAGAGCAGTTTTGAAACACTCTTTCTGTAGAATCTGCAAGTGGATAATTGGACCTCCTAGAGGCCTTCGTTGGAAACGGGATTTCTTCATCTAAACCTACAGAGAAGAATTCTCAGTAACTTCTTCGGATGTGTGCATTCGACTCACAGAATGGAACATTCCCTTTGATAGAGCAGTTTTGAGACACCGTTTTTGTAGAATTCCCAAGTGGATATTTAGAGCACTTTGAAGTCTCTGCTAGAAAAGGAAACATCTTCATGTAAAAAGTAGATAGAATCGTTCTCAGAAAGTGCTTAGTGACGTGTGCGTTCAACTCACAGAGTTTAACGTTTCTTTTGATAGAGCGTTTCTGAAACACCCTTCTTGTAGTAGCTGCAAGTGGATATTTGGACCTATTTGAGGCCTTCTTTGGAAACGGGATTTCTTCATGTAACTCTAGATTGAAGAATTTTCAGAAACTCCTTTGTGATGTGTGCATTCAATTCAAAGAGTGAAACCTCCCTTTTCACAGAGCAGTTTTGAAACACTGTTTTTGTAGGACTTCCAAGGGGATATTTATAGCGCATTGAGCCTATGGCAGAAAAAGAAACATCTTCCTATAAAAACTAGACAGAATAATTCTCAGAATCTGCTTTGCGATGTGTGCGTTCAACCCACAGAGTAAAACTTTTCTTTTGATAGAGCAGTTTTGAAACACTCTTTTTGTAGTATTTGCATGTGTATATTTAGAGCGCATTGAAGCCCACAGTAGAAAAGGAAATAACTTCACCTAAAACCTAGACAGAAGCAATCTCAGAAACTACTTTGTGATGTGTACATTCAACTCACAGAGTGGAACTTTCCTCTTTATAGAGCAGTGTTGAAACACTCTTTTTGTAGAAACTGCAAGTGGATATTTGGACCTCTTTGAGGCCTTCGTTGGAAACGGGATTTCTTCCTATAACCCTAGACAGAAGAATTTTCAGAAACCTCATTGTGATGTGTGCGTTCATCTCACAGAGTGGAGTCTTCCGTTTGATAGAGAAGTTTTGAAACCCTGTTCTTGTAGGATTTCCAAGTGGATATTTAGACCACTTTGAAGCCTATGATAGAAAAGGAAACATCTTCATGGAAAACATAGATAGAATCATTGTCAGAAACAACTTTGTGATGTGTGCGTTGAACTCACCGTCTTTAACCTTTCTTTTGGTAGAGAAGTTTTGAAACACTCTCTTTGTAAAGTCTACAAGTGGATATTTTGAGCCCTTGGAGGCATTCTTTGGAAAAGGGAATGTCTTCACATGAAAGGCAGACAGAAGTGTTCTCAGAAACTGCTTTGTGATGTCTGTGTTCAACTCACAGAGTTTAACATTTCCTTTGAGAGAGCGGTTTAGTAACACTCTCTTTGTAGAATTTGGAAGTGTATACTAAGAGCGCTTTGAGGCCTATGGTAGAAAAGGAAATATCTTTCCATAAAAGCTAGACAGAAGCAATCTCAGAAACTCCTTTGTGATGTCTGCATTCAACTCACCGAGTGGAACATTCCTCTTGATAGAGCAGTTTGGAAACACTCTTTCTGTAGAATCAGCTTGTTTGTATTTGGACCTCCTTGAGGCCTTCGTTGGAAACGGGTTTTCATCTTATAAACCCAGACAGAAGAATTCTCAGAGTCTTCTTTGTGATGTGTGCTTTCAACTCACCGAGATAAAGATTTCTCTTGATAGAGCAATTTGGAAACACTCTTTTTGTAGAATTTGCAAGGGTACATTGAGAGCGCTTCAGGCCTATGGTAGAAAAGGGAATTCTTTCCATAAAAGGTAGACAGAAGCAATCTCAGAAACTACTTTGTGATGTGTGCATTCAACTCACCGAGTGCAACATTCCTCTTGATAGAGCAGTTTGGAAACATTGTTTCTGTAGAATCTGCAAGTGGATATATGGACCTCTTTGAGGCCTTCGTTGGAAACGGGATTTCTTCCTATAAACCCAGACAGAAGAATTCTCAGAGATTTCTTTGTGATGTGTGAATTCAACTCACAGTGTGGATCCTTCCTTTTGATAGAGCAGTTTTGAAACACCGTTTTTGTAGTATTTCCAAGCGGATATTTGGAACGCCTTGAAGCGTATGGTAGAAAAGGAAATATCTTCCCATAAAACCTAGACAGAACCCATCTCAGAAACGACTTTGTGATGTCTGCATTCAACTCGCAGAGTTGAACATTTCTCTTGATAGAGCAGTTTTGAAACCCTCTTTCTGAAGGATCTGCAAGTGGATATTTGGAACTCCTTTGGGTCTTCGTTGGAAACGGGATTTCTTCGTATAAATCCAGACAGAAGAATTCTCCAAAACTTCTTTGGTTGTGTGCATTCAAGTCACAGAGTGGAACCTTCCTTTGGATAGAGCAGTTTGAAACGCTGTGGTTGTAGTATTTCCAAGCGGATATTAGAGCGCCTTGAGGCCTATGGTAGAAAAGGAAATATCTTCCCATAAAACCTAGACGGAAGCAATCTCAGAAACTACTGTGTGATGGCTGCATTCCACACACACGGTGGAACATTTCTCTTGATAGAGCAGTTTTGAAACACTCTTTCTGTAGAATCTGCAAGTGGATAATTGGACCGCCTTGAGGCCTTCGTTGGAAACGGGATTTCTTCATGTTACTCTAGACAGAAGAATTCTCAAACACTGCTATGTGATGTTTGCATTCAAGTCACAGAGTGCAACATTCCTCTTGATAGAGCAGTTGGGAAACACTCCTTTTGTAGAATTTGCAATGGGATATTTGGACTTCTTTGAGGCCTTCGTTGGAAACGGGATTTCTTCGTATGAATCTAGACAGAAGAATTCTCAGAAACTTCCTTGTGATGTGTGCATTCAACTCAGCGAGTGGCACCTTCCTTTGGATACAGCAGTTTTGAAACACTGTTTTTGTAGTATTTCCAAGCGGATATTTAGAGCGCCTTGAAGCCTATGCTAGAAATGGAAATATCTCCCCATAAAACCAAGACAGAAGCAATCTCAGAAACTAATGTGTGATGGCTGCATTCCACACACACGGTGGACCATTTCTCTTGATAGAGCAGTTTTGAAACACTCTTTCTGTAGAATCTGCAAGTGGATAATTGGACCTCCTAGAGGCCTTCGTTGGAAACGGGATTTCTTCACCTAAACCTACAGAGAAGAATTCTCAGTAACTTCTTCGGATGTGTGCATTCGACTCACAGAATGGAACATTCCGTTTGATAGAGCAGTTTTGAGACACCGTTTTTGTAGAATTCCCAAGTGGATATTTAGAGCACTTTGAAGTCTCTGCTAGAAAAGGAAACATCTTCATGTAAAAAGTAGATAGAAATCGTTCTCAGAAAGTGCTTAGTGACGTGTGCGTTCAACTCACAGAGTTTAACGTTTCTTTTGATAGAGCGTTTCTGAAACACCCTTCTTGTAGTAGCTGCAAGTGGATATTTGTACCTATTTGAGGCCTTCTTTGGAAACGGGATTTCTTCATGTAACTCTAGATTGAAGAATTTTCAGAAACTCCTTTGTGATGTGTGCATTCAATTCAAAGAGTGAAACGTCCCTTTTCACAGAGCAGTTTTAAAACACTGTTTTTGTAGGATTTCCAAGGGGATATTTATAGCGCATTGAGCCTACGGCAGAAAAAGAAACATCTTCCTATAAAAACTAGACAGAATAATTCTCAGAATCTGCTTTGCGATGTGTGCGTTCAACCCACAGAGTAAAACTTTTCTTTTGATAGAGCAGTTTTGAAACACTCTTTTTGTAGTATTTGCATGTGTATATTTAGAGCGCATTGAAGCCCACAGTAGAAAAGGAAATAACTTCACCTAAAACCTAGACAGAAGCAATCTCAGAAACTACTTTGTGATGTGTACATTCAACTCACAGAGTGGAACTTTCCTCTTTATAGAGCAGTGTTGAAACACTCTTTTTGTAGAAACTGCAAGTGGATATTTGGACCTCTTTGAGGCCTTCGTTGGAAACGGGATTTCTTCCTATAACCCTAGACAGAAGAATTTTCAGAAACCTCATTGTGATGTGTGCGTTCATCTCACAGAGTGGAGTCTTCCGTTTGATAGAGAAGCTTTGAAACCCTGTTCTTGTAGGATTTCCAGGTGGATATTTAGACCACTTGGAAGCCTATGATAGAAAAGGAAACATCTTCATGGAAAACATAGATAGAATCATTCTCAGAAACAACTTTGTGATGTGTGCGTTGAACTCACCGTCTTTAACCTTTCTTTTGGTAGAGAAGTTTTGAAACACTCTCTTTGTAAAGTCTACAAGTGGATATTTTGAGCCCTTGGAGGCATTCTTTGGAAAAGGGGATGTCTTCACATAAAAGGCAGACAGAAGTGTTCTCAGAAACTGCTTTGTGATGTCTGTGTTCAACTCACAGAGTTTAACATTTCCTTTGAGAGAGCGGTTTAGTAACACTCTCTTTGTAGAATTTGGAAGTGTATACTAAGAGCGCTTTGAGGCCTATGGTAGAAAAGGAAATATCTTTCCATAAAAGCTAGACAGAAGCAATCTCAGAAACTCCTTTGTGATGTCTGCATTCAACTCACCGAGTGGAACATTCCTCTTGATAGAGCAGTTTGGAAACACTCTTTCTGTAGAATCAGCTTGTTTGTATTTGGACCTCCTTGAGGCCTTCGTTGGAAACGGGTTTTCATCTTATAAACCCAGACAGAAGAATTCTCAGAGTCTTCTTTGTGATGTGTGCTTTCAACTCACCGAGATAAAGATTTCTCTTGATAGAGCAATTTGGAAACACTCTTTTTGTAGAATTTGCAAGGGTACATTGAGAGCGCTTTCAGGCCTATGGTAGAAAAGGGAATATCTTTCCATAAAAGGTAGACAGAAGCAATCTCAGAAACTACTTTGTGATGTGTGCATTCAACTCACCGAGTGCAACATTCCTCTTGACCGAGCAGTTTGGAAACATTGTTTCTGTAGAATCTGCAAGTGGATATTTGGACCTCTTTGAGGCCTTCGTTGGAAACGGGATTTCTTCCTATAAACCCAGACAGAAGAATTCTCAGAGACTTCTTTCTGATGTGTGAATTCAACTCACAGTGTGGATCCTTCCTTTTGATAGAGCAGTTTTGAAACACTGTTTTTGTAGTATTTCCAAGCGGATATTTGGAACGCCTTGAAGCGTATGGTAGAAAAGGAAATATCTTCCCATAAAACCTAGACAGAACCCATCTCAGAAACGACTTTGTGATGTCTGCATTCAACTCACAGAGTTGAACATTTCTCTTGATAGAGCAGTTTTGAAACCCTCTTTCTGAAGGATCTGCAAGTGGATATTTGGAACTCCTTTGGGTCTTCGTTGGAAACGCGATTTCTTCGTATAAATCCAGACAGAGAATTCTCCGAAACTTCTTTGGTTGTGTGCATTCAAGTCACAGAGTGGAACCTTCCTTTGGATAGAGCAGTTTGAAACGCTGTGGTTGTAGTATTTCCAAGCGGATATTAGAGCGCCTTGAGGCCTATGGTAGAAAAGGAAATATCTTCCCATAAAACCTAGACGGAAGCAATCTCAGAAACTACTGTGTGATGGCTGCATTCCACACACACGGTGGAACATTTCTCTTGATAGAGCAGTTTTGAAACACTCTTTCTGTAGAATCTGCAAGTGGATAATTGGACCGCCTTGAGGCCTTCGTTGGAAACGGGATTTCTTCATGTTACTCTAGACAGAAGAATTCTCAAACACTGCTATGTGATGTTTGCATTCAAGTCACAGAGTGCAACATTCCTCTTGATAGAGCAGTTGGGAAACACTCCTTTTGTAGAATTTGCAATGGGATATTTGGACTTCTTTGAGGCCTTCGTTGGAAACGGGATTTCTTCGTATGAATCTAGACAGAAGAATTCTCAGAAACTTCCTTGTGATGTGTGCATTCAACTCAGCGAGTGGCACCTTCCTTTGGATACAGCAGTTTTGAAACACTGTTTTTGTACTATTTCCAAGCGGATATTTAGAGCGCCTTGAAGCCTATGCTAGAAATGGAAATATCTCCCCATAAAACCAAGACAGAAGCAATCTCAGAAACTAATGTGTGATGGCTGCATTCCACACACACGGTGGACCATTTCTCTTGATAGAGCAGTTTTGAAACACTCTTTCTGTAGAATCTGCAAGTGGATAATTGGACCTCCTAGAGGCCTTCGTTGGAAACGGGATTTCTTCATCTAAACCTACAGAGAAGAATTCTCAGTAACTTCTTCGGATGTGTGCATTCGACTCACAGAATGGAACATTCCGTTTGATAGAGCAGTTTTGAGACACCGTTTTTGTAGAATTCCCAAGTGGATATTTAGAGCACTTTGAAGTCTCTGCTAGAAAAGGAAACATCTTCATGTAAAAAGTAGATAGAATCGTTCTCAGAAAGTGCTTAGTGACGTGTGTGTTCAACTCACAGAGTTTAACGTTTCTTTTGATAGAGCGTTTCTGAAACACCCTGCTTGTAGTAGCTGCAAGTGGATATTTGGACCTATTTGAGGCCTTCTTTGGAAACGGGATTTCTTCATGTAACTCTAGTTTGAAGAATTTTCAGAAACTCCTTTGTGATTTGTGCATTCAATCCAAAGAGTGAAACCTCCCTTTTCACAGAGCAGTTTTGAAACACTGTTTTTGTAGGATTTCCAAGGGGATATTTATACCGCATTGAGCCTACGGCAGAAAAAGAAACATCTTCCTATAAAAACTAGACAGAATAATTCTCAGAATCTGCTTTATGATGTGTGCGTTCAACCCACAGAGTAAAACTTTTCTTTTGATAGAGCAGTTTTGAAACACTCTTTTTGTAGTATTTGCATGTGTATATTTAGAGCGCATTGAAGCCCACAGTAGAAAAGGAAATAACTTCACCTAAAACCTAGACAGAAGCAATCTCAGAAACTACTTTGTGATGTGTACATTCAACTCACAGAGTGGAACTTTCCTCTTTATAGAGCAGTGTTGAAACACTCTTTTTGTAGAAACTGCAAGTGGATATTCGGACCTCTTTGAGGCCTTCGTTGGAAACGGGATTTCTTCCTATAACCCTAGACAGAAGAATTTTCAGAAACCTCATTGTGATGTGTGCGTTCATCTCACAGAGTGGAGTGTTCCGTTTGATAGAGAAGTTTTGAAACCCTGTTCTTGTAGGATTTCCAAGTGGATATTTAGACCACTTTGAAGCCTATGATAGAAAAGGAAACATCTTCATGGAAAACATAGATAGAATCATTCTCAGAAACAACTTTGTGATGTGTGCGTTGAACTCACCGTCTTTAACCTTTCTTTTGGTAGAGAAGTTTTGAAACACTCTCTTTGTAAAGTCTACGAGTGGATATTTTGAGCCCTTGGAGGCATTCTTTGGAAAAGGGAATGTCTTCACATAAAAGGCAGACAGAAGTGTTCTCAGAAACTGCTTTGTGATGTCTGTGTTCAACTCACAGAGTTTAACATTTCCTTTGAGAGAGCGGTTTAGTAACACTCTCTTTGTAGAATTTGGAAGTGTATACTAAGAGCGCTTTGAGGCCTATGGTAGAAAAGGAAATATCTTTCCATAAAAGCTAGACAGAAGCAATCTCAGAAACTCCTTTGTGATGTCTGCATTCAACTCACCGAGTGGAACATTCCTCTTGATAGAGCAGTTTGGAAACACTCTTTCTGTAGAATCAGCTTGTTTGTATTTGGACCTCCTTGAGGCCTTCGTTGGAAACGGGTTTTCATCTTATAAACCCAGACAGAAGAATTCTCAGAGTCTTCTTTGTGATGTGTGCTTTCAACTCACCGAGATAAAGATTTCTCTTGATAGAGCAATTTGGAAACACTCTTTTTGTAGAATTTGCAAGGGTACATTGAGAGCGCTTTCAGGCCTATGGTAGAAAAGGGAATATCTTTCCATAAAAGGTAGACAGAAGCAATCTCAGAAACTACTTTGTGATGTGTGCATTCAACTCACCGAGTGCAACATTCCTCTTGATAGAGCAGTTTGGAAACATTGTTTCTGTAGAATCTGCAAGTGGATATATGGACCGCTTTGAGGCCTTCGTTGGAAACGGGATTTCTTCCTATAAACCCAGACAGAAGAATTCTCAGAGATTTCTTTGTGATGTGTGAATTCAACTCACAGTGTGGATCCTTCCTTTTGATAGAGCAGTTTTGAAACACCGTTTTTGTAGTATTTCCAAGCGGATATTTGGAACGCCTTGAAGCGTATGGTAGAAAAGGAAATATCTTCCCATAAAACCTAGACAGAACCAATCTCAGAAACGACTTTGTGATGTCTGCATTCAACTCACAGAGTTGAACATTTCTCTTCATAGAGCAGTTTTGAAACCCTCTTTCTGAAGGATCTGCAAGTGGATATTTGGAACTCCTTTGGGTCTTCGTTGGAAACGGGATTTCTTCGTATAAATCCAGACAGAAGAATTCTCCGAAACTTCTTTGGTTGTGTGCATTCAAGTCACAGGGTGGAACCTTCCTTTGGGTAGAGCAGTTTGAAACGCTGTGGTTGTAGTATTTCCAAGCGGATATTAGAGCGCCTTGAAGCCTATGGTAGAAAAGGAAATATCTTCCCATAAAACATAGACGGAAGCAATCTCAGAAACTACTGGGTGATGGCTGCATTCCACACACACGGTGGAACATTTCTCTTGATAGAGCAGTTTTGAAACACTCTTTCTGTAGAATCTGCAAGTGGATAATTGGACCGCATTGAGGCCTTCGTTGGAAACGGGATTTCTTCATGTTACTCTAGATAGAAGAATTCTCAAACACTACTATGTGATGTTTGCATTCAAGTCACAGAGTGCAACATTCCTCTTGATAGAGTAGTTGGGAAACACTCCTTTTGTAGAATTTGCAATGGGATATTTGGACTTCTTTGAGGCCTTCGTTGGAAACAGGATTTCTTCGTATAAATCTAGACAGAAGAATTCTCAGAAACTTCTTTGTGATGTGTGCATTCAACTCAGCGAGTGGCACCTTCCTTTGGATACAGCAGTTTTGAAACACTGTTTTTGAAAAATTTCCAAGCGGATATTTAGAGCGCCTTGAAGCCTACGCTAGAAATGGAAATATCTCCCCATAAAAACAAGACAGAAGCAATCTCAGAAACTAATGTGTGATGGCTGCATTCCACACACACGGTGGACCTTTTCTCTTGATAGAGCAGTTTTGAAACACTCTTTCTGTAGAATCTGCAACTGGATAATTGGACCTCCTAGAGGCCTTCGTTGGAAACGGGATTTCTTCATCTAAACCTACAGAGAAGAATTCTCAGTAACTTCTTCGGATGTGTGCATTCGACTCACAGAATGGAACATTCCCTTTGATGGAGCAGGTTTGAGACACCGTTTTTGTAGAATTCCCAAGTGGATATTTAGAGCACTTTGAAGTCTCTGCTAGAAAAGGAAACATCTTCATGTAAAAAGTAGATAGAATCGTTCTCAGAAAGTGCTTAGTGACGTGTGCGTTCAACTCACAGAGTTTAACGTTTCTTTTGATAGAGCGTTTCTGAAACACCCTGCTTGTAGTAGCTGCAAGTGGATATTTGGACCTATTTGAGGCCTTCTTTGGAAACGGGATTTCTTCATGTAACTCTAGATTGAAGAATTTTCAGAAACTCCTTTGTGAAGTGTGCATTCAATTCAAAGAGTGAAACCTCCCTTTTCACAGAGCAGTTTTGAAACACTGTTTTTGTAGGATTTCCAAGGGGATATTTATAGCGCATTGAGCCTATGGCAGAAAAAGAAACATCTTCCTATAAAAACTAGACAGAATAATTCTCAGAATCTGCTTTGCGATGTGTGCGTTCAACTCACAGAGTAAAACTTTTCTTTTGATAGAGCAGTTTTGAAACACTCTTTTTGTAGTATTTGCATGTGTATATTTAGAGCGCATTGAAGCACACAGTAGAAAAGGAAATAACTTCACCTAAAACCTAGACAGAAGCAATCTCAGAAACTATTTTGTGATGTGTACATTCAACTCACAGAGTGGAACTTTCCTCTTTATAGAGCAGTGTTGAAACACTCTTTTTGTAGAAACTGCAAGTGGATATTTGGACCTCTTTGAGGCCTTCGTTGGAAACGGGATTTCTTCCTATAACCCTAGACAGAAGAATTTTCAGAAACCTCATTGTGATGTGTGCGTTCATCTCACAGAGTGGAGTCTTCCGTTTGATAGAGAAGTTTTGAAACCCTGTTCTTGTAGGATTTCCAAGTGGATATTTAGACCACTTTGAAGCCTATGATAGAAAAGGAAACATCTTCATGGAAAACATAGATAGAATCATTCTCAGAAACAACTTTGTGATGTGTGCGTTGAACTCACCGTCTTTAACCTTTCTTTTGGTAGAGAAGTTTTGAAACACTCTCTTTGTAAAGTCTACAAGTGGATATTTTGAGCCCTTGGAGGCATTCTTTGGAAAAGGGGATGTCTTCACATAAAAGGCAGACAGAAGTGTTCTCAGAAACTGCTTTGTGATGTCTGTGTTCAACTCACAGAGTTTAACATTTCCTTTGAGAGAGCGGTTTAGTAACACTCTCTTTGTAGAATTTGGAAGTGTATACTAAGAGCGCTTTGAGGCCTATGGTAGAAAAGGAAATATCTTTCCATAAAAGCTAGACAGAAGCAATCTCAGAAACTCCTTTGTGATGTCTGCATTCAACTCACCGAGTGGAACATTCCTCTTGATAGAGCAGTTTGGAAACACTCTTTCTGTAGAATCAGCTTGTTTGTATTTGGACCTCCTTGAGGCCTTCGTTGGAAACGGGTTTTCATCTTATAAACCCAGACAGAAGAATTCTCAGAGTCTTCTTTGTGTTGTGTGCTTTCAACTCACCGAGATAAAGATTTCTCTTGATAGAGCAATTTGGAAACACTCTTTTTGTAGAATTTGCAAGGGTACATTGAGAGCGCTTTCAGGCCTATGGTAGAAAAGGGAATATCTTTCCATAAAAGGTAGACAGAAGCAATCTCAGAAACTACTTTGTGATGTGTGCATTCAACTCACCGAGTGCAACATTGCTCTTGATAGAGCAGTTTGGAAACATTGTTTCTGTAGAATCTGCAAGTGGATATATGGACCGCTTTGAGGCCTTCGTTGGAAACGGGATTTCCTCCTATAAACCCAGACAGAAGAATTCTCAGAGATTTCTTTGTGATGTGTGAATTCAACTCACAGTGTGGATCCTTCCTTTTGATAGAGCAGTTTTGAAACACCGTTTTTGTAGTATTTCCAAGCGGATATTTGGAACGCCTTGAAGCGTATGGTAGAAAAGGAAATATCTTCCCATAAAACCTAGACAGAACCCATCTCAGAAACGACTTTGTGATGTCTGCATTCAACTCGCAGAGTTGAACATTTGTCTTGATAGAGCAGTTTTGAAACCCTCTTTCTGAAGGATCTGCAAGTGGATATTTGGAACTCCTTTGGGTCTTCGTTGGAAACGGGATTTCTTCGTATAAATCCAGACAGAAGAATTCTCCGAAACTTCTTTGGTTGTGTGCATTCAAGTCACAGAGTGGAACCTTCCTTTGGATAGAGCAGTTTGAAACGCTGTGGTTGTAGTATTTCCAAGCGGATATTAGAGCGCCTTGAAGCCTATGGTAGAAAAGGAAATATCTTCCCATAAAACCTAGACGGAAGCAATCTCAGAAACTACTGTGTGATGGCTGCATTCCACACACACGGTGGAACATTTCTCTTGATAGAGCAGTTTTGAAACACTCTTTCTGTAGAATCTGCAAGTGGATAATTGGACCGCCTTGAGGCCTTCGTTGGAAACGGGATTTCTTCATGTTACTCTAGACAGAAGAATTCTCAAACACTGCTATGTGATGTTTGCATGCAAGTCACAGAGTGCAACATTCCTCTTGATAGAGCAGTTGGGAAACACTCCTTTTGTAGAATTTGCAATGGGATATTTGGACTTCTTTGAGGCCTTCGTTGGAAACGGGATTTCTTCGTATGAATCTAGACAGAAGAATTCTCAGAAACTTCCTTGTGATGTGTGCATTCAACTCAGCGAGTGGCACCTTCCTTTGGATACAGCAGTTTTGAAACACTGTTTTTGTAGTATTTCCAAGCGGATATTTAGAGCGCCTTGAAGCCTATGCTAGAAATGGAAATATCTCCCCATAAAACCAAGACAGAAGCAATCTCAGAAACTAATGTGTGATGGCTGCATTCCACACACACGGTGGACCATTTCTCTGGATAGAGCAGTTTTGAAACACTCTTTCTGTAGAATCTGCAAGTGGATAATTGGACCTCCTAGAGGCCTTCGTTGGAAACGGGATTTCTTCATCTAAACCTACAGAGAAGAATTCTCAGTAACTTCTTCGGATGTGTGCATTCGACTCACAGAATGGAACATTCCCTTTGATAGAGCAGTTTTGAGACACCGTTTTTGTAGAATTCCCAAGTGGATATTTAGAGCACTTTGAAGTCTCTGCTAGAAAAGGAAACATCTTCATGTAAAAAGTAGATAGAATCGTTCTCAGAAAGTGCTTAGTGACGTGTGCGTTCAACTCACAGAGTTTAACGTTTCTTTTGATAGAGCGTTTCTGAAACACCCTTCTTGTAGTAGCTGCAAGTGGATATTTGGACCTATTTGAGGCCTTCTTTGGAAACGGGATTTCTTCATGTAACTCTAGTTTGAAGAATTTTCAGAAACTCCTTTGTGATGTGTGCATTCAATTCAAAGAGTGAAACCTCCCTTTTCACAGAGCAGTTTTGAAACACTGTTTTTGTAGGATTTCCAAGGGGATATTTATAGCGCATTGAGCCTACGGCAGAAAAAGAAACATCTTCCTATAAAAACTAGACAGAATAATTCTCAGAATCTGCTTTGCGATGTGTGCGTTCAACCCACAGAGTAAAACTTTCTTTTGATAGAGCAGTTTTGAAACACTCTTTTTGTAGTATTTGCATGTGTATATTTAGAGCGCATTGAAGCCCACAGTAGAAAAGGAAATAACTTCACCTAAAACCTAGACAGAAGCAATCTCAGAAACTACTTTGTGATGTGTACATTCAACTCACAGAGTGGAACTTTCCTCTTTATAGAGCAGTGTTGAAACACTCTTTTTGTAGAAACTGCAAGTGGATATTTGGACCTCTTTGAGGCCTTCGTTGGAAACGGGATTTCTTCCTATAACCCTAGACAGAAGAATTTTCAGAAACCTCATTGTGATGTGTGCGTTCATCTCACAGAGTGGAGTCTTCCGTTTGATAGAGAAGTTTTGAAACCCTGTTCTTGTAGGATTTCCAAGTGGATATTTAGACCACTTTGAAGCCTATGATAGAAAAGGAAACATCTTCATGGAAAACATAGATAGAATCATTCTCAGAAACAACTTTGTGATGTGTGCGTTGAACTCACCGTCTTTAACCTTTCTTTTGGTAGAGAAGTTTTGAAACACTCTCTTTGTAAAGTCTACAAGTGGATATTTTGAGCCCTTGGAGGCATTCTTTGGAAAAGGGAATGTCTTCACATAAAAGGCAGACAGAACTGTTCTCAGAAACTGCTTTGTGATGTCTGTGTTCAACTCACATAGTTTAACATTTCCTTTGAGAGAGCAGTTTAGTAACACTCTCTTTGTAGAATTTGGAAGTGTATACTAAGAGTGCTTTGAGGCCTATGGTAGAAAAGGAAATATCTTTCCATAAAAGCTAGACAGAAGCAATCTCAGAAACTCCTTTGTGATGTCTGCATTCAACTCACCGAGTGGAACATTCCTCTTGATAGAGCAGTTTGGAAACACTCTTTCTGTAGAATCAGCTTGTTTGTATTTGGACCTCCTTGAGGCCTTCGTTGGAAACGGGTTTTCATCTTATAAACCCAGACAGAAGAATTCTCAGAGTCTTCTTTGTGATGTGTGCTTTCAACTCACCGAGATAAAGATTTCTCTTGATAGAGCAATTTGGAAACACTCTTTTTGTAGAATTTGCAAGGGTACATTGAGAGCGCTTTCAGGCCTATGGTAGAAAAGGGAATATCTTTCCATCAAAGGTAGACAGAAGCAATCTCAGAAACTACTTTGTGATGTGTGCATTCAACTCACCGAGTGCAACATTCCTCTTGATAGAGCAGTTTGGAAACATTGTTTCTGTAGAATCTGCAAGTGGATATATGGACCGCTTTGAGGCCTTCGTTGGAAACGGGATTTCTTCCTATAAACCCAGACAGAAGAATTCTCAGAGATTTCTTTGTGATGTGTGAATTCAACTCACAGTGTGGATCCTTCCTTTTGATAGAGCAGTTTTGAAACACCGTTTTTGTAGTATTTCCAAGCGGATATTTGGAACGCCTTGAAGCGTATGGTAGAAAAGGAAATATCTTCCCATAAAACCTAGACAGAACCAATCTCAGAAACGACTTTGTGATGTCTGCATTCAACTCACAGAGTTGAACATTTCTCTTGATAGAGCAGTTTTGAAACCCTCTTTCTGAAGGATCTGCAAGTGGATATTTGGAACTCCTTTGGGTCTTCGTTGGAAACGGGATTTCTTCGTATAAATCTAGACAGAAGAATTCTCCGAAACTTCTTTGGTTGTGTGCATTCAAGTCACAGAGTGGAACCTTCCTTTGGATAGAGCAGTTTGAAACGCTCTGGTTGTAGTATTTCCAAGCGGATATTAGAGCGCCTTGAAGCCTATGGTAGAAAAGGAAATATCTTCCCATAAAACCTAGACGGAAGCAATCTCAGAAACTACTGTGTGATGGCTGCATTCCACACACACGGTGGAACATTTCTCTTGATAGAGCAGTTTTGAAACACTCTTTCTGTAGAATCTGCAAGTGGATAATTGGACCGCCTTGAGGCCTTCGTTGGAAACGGGATTTCTTCATGTTACTCTAGACAGAAGAATTCTCAAACACTGCTATGTGATGTTTGCATTCAAGTCACAGAGTGCAACATTCCTCTTGATAGAGCAGTTGGGAAACACTCCTTTTGTAGAATTTGCAATGGGATATTTGGACTTCTTTGAGGCTTTCGTTGGAAACGGGATTTCTTCGTATGAATCTAGACAGAAGAATTCTCAGAAACTTCCTTGTGATGTGTGCATTCAACTCAGCGAGTGGCACCTTCCTTTGGATACAGCAGTTTTGAAACACTGTTTTTGTACTATTTCCAAGCGGATATTTAGAGCGCCTTGAAGCCTATGCTAGAAATGGAAATATCTCCCCATAAAACCAAGACAGAAGCAATCTCAGAAACTAATGTGTGATGGCTGCATTCCACACACACGGTGGACCATTTCTCTTGATAGAGCACTTTTGAAACACTCTTTCTGTAGAATCTGCAAGTGGATAATTGGACCTCCTAGAGGCCTTCGTTGGAAACGGGATTTCTTCATCTAAACCTACAGAGAAGAATTCTCAGTAACTTCTTCGGATGTGTGCATTCGACTCACACAATGGAACATTCCGTTTGATAGAGCAGTTTTGAGACACCGTTTTTGTAGAATTCCCAAGTGGATATTTAGAGCACTTTGAAGTCTCTGCTAGAAAAGGAAACATCTTCATGTAAAAAGTAGATAGAATCGTTCTCAGAAAGTGCTTAGTGACGTGTGTGTTCAACTCACAGAGTTTAACGTTTCTTTTGATAGAGCATTTCTGAAACACCCTTCTTGTAGTAGCTGCAAGTGGATATTTGGACCTATTTGAGGCCTTCTTTGGAAACGGGATTTCTTCATGTAACTCTAGATTGAAGAATTTTCAGAAACTCCTTTGTGATGTGTGCATTCAATTCAAAGAGTGAAACCTCCCTTTTCACAGAGCAGTTTTGAAACACTGTTTTTGTAGGACTTCCAAGGGGATATTTATAGCGCATTGATCCTATGGCAGAAAAAGAAACATCTTCCTATAAAAACTAGACAGAATAATTCTCAGAATCTGCTTTGCGATGTGTGCGTTCAACCCACAGAGTAAAACTTTTCTTTTGATAGAGCAGTTTTGAAACACTCTTTTTGTAGTATTTGCATGTGTATATTTAGAGCGCATTGAAGCCCACAGTAGAAAAGGAAATAACTTCACCTAAAACCTAGACAGAAGCAATCTCAGAAACTACTTTGTGATGTGTACATTCAACTCACAGAGTGGAACTTTCCTCTTTATAGAGCAGTGTTGAAACACTCTTTTTGTAGAAACTGCAAGTGGATATTTGGACCTCTTTGAGGCCTTCGTTGGAAACGGGATTTCTTCCTATAACCCTAGACAGAAGAATTTTCAGAAACCTCATTGTGATGTGTGCGTTCATCTCACAGAGTGGAGTCTTCCGTTTGATAGAGAAGTTTTGAAACCCTGTTCTTGTAGGATTTCCAAGTGGATATTTAGACCACTTTGAAGCCTATGATAGAAAAGGAAACATCTTCATGGAAAACATAGATAGAATCATTCTCAGAAACAACTTTGTGATGTGTGCGTTGAACTCACCGTCTTTAACCTTTCTTTTGGTAGAGAAGTTTTGAAACACTCTCTTTGTAAAGTCTACAAGTGGATATTTTGAGCCCTTGGAGGCATTCTTTGGAAAAGGGAATGTCTTCACATAAAAGGCAGACAGAAGTGTTCTCAGAAACTGCTTTGTGATGTCTGTGTTCAACTAACAGAGTGTAACATTTCCTTTGAGAGAGCGGTTTAGTAACACTCTCTTTGTAGAATTTGGAAGTGTATACTAAGAGCGCTTTGAGGCCTATGGTAGAAAAGGAAATATCTTTCCATAAAAGCTAGACAGAAGCAATCTCAGAAACTCCTTTGTGATGTCTGCATTCAACTCACCGAGTGGAACATTCCTCTTGATAGAGCAGTTTGGAAACACTCTTTCTGTAGAATCAGCTTGTTTGTATTTGGACCTCCTTGAGGCCTTCGTTGGAAACGGGTTTTCATCTTATAAACCCAGACAGAAGAATTCTCAGAGTCTTCTTTGTGATGTGTGCTTTCAACTCACCGAGATAAAGATTTCTCTTGATAGAGCAATTTGGAAACACTCTTTTTGTAGAATTTGCAAGGGTACATTGAGAGCGCTTTCAGGCCTATGGTAGAAAAGGTAGACAGAAGCAATCTCAGAAACTACTTTGTGATGTGTGCATTCAACTCACCGAGTGCAACATTCCTCTTGATAGAGCAGTTTGGAAACATTGTTTCTGTAGAATCTGCAAGTGGATATATGGACCGCTTTGAGGCCTTCGTTGGAAACGGGATTTCTTCCTATAAACCCAGACAGAAGAATTCTCAGAGATTTCTTTGTGATGTGTGAATTCAACTCACAGTGTGGATCCCTCCTTTTGATAGAGCAGTTTTGAAACACTGTTTTTGTAGTATTTCCAAGCGGATGTTTGGAACGCCTTGAAGCGTATGGTAGAAAAGGAAATATCTTCCCATAAAACCTAGACAGAACCCATCTCAGAAACGACTTTGTGATGTCTGCATTCAACTCACAGAGTTGAACATTTCTCTTGATAGAGCAGTTTTGAAACCCTCTTTCTGAAGGATCTGCAAGTGGATATTTGGAACTCCTTTGGGTCTTCGTTGGAAACGGGATTTCTTCGTATAAATCCAGACAGAAGAATTCTCCGAAACTTCTTTGGTTGTGTGCATTCAAGTCACAGAGTGGAACCTTCCTTTGGATAGAGCAGTTTGAAACGCTGTGGTTGTAGTATTTCCAAGCGGATATTAGAGCGCCTTGAAGCCTATGGTAGAAAAGGAAATATCTTCCCATAAAACCTAGACGGAAGCAATCTCAGAAACTACTGTGTGATGGCTGCATTCCACACACACGGTGGAACATTTCTCTTGATAGAGCAGTTTTGAAACACTCTTTCTGTAGAATCTGCAAGTGGATAATTGGACCGCCTTGAGGCCTTCGTTGGAAACGGGATTTCTTCATGTTACTCTAGACAGAAGAATTCTCAAACACTGCTATGTGATGTTTGCATTCAAGTCACAGAGTGCAACATTCCTCTTGATAGAGCAGTTGGGAAACACTCCTTTTGTAGAATTTGCAATGGGATATTTGGACTTCTTTGAGGCCTTCGTTGGAAACGGGATTTCTTCGTATGAATCTAGACAGAAGAATTCTCAGAAACTTCCTTGTGATGTGTGCATTCAACTCAGCGAGTGGCACCTTCCTTTGGATACAGCAGTTTTGAAACACTGTTTTTGTAGTATTTCCAAGCGGATATTTAGAGCGCCTTGAAGCCTATGCTAGAAATGGAAATATCTCCCCATAAAACCAAGACAGAAGCAATCTCAGAAACTAATGTGTGATGGCTGCATTCCACACACACGGTGGACCATTTCTCTTGATAGAGCAGTTTTGAAACACTCTTTCTGTAGAATCTGCAAGTGGATAATTGGACCTCCTAGAGGCCTTCGTTGGAAACGGGATTTCTTCATCTAAACCTACAGAGAAGAATTCTCAGTAACTTCTTCGGATGTGTGCATTCGACTCACAGAATGGAACATTCCCTTTGATAGAGCAGTTTTGAGACACCGTTTTTGTAGAATTCCCAAGTGGATATTTAGAGCACTTTGAAGTCTCTGCTAGAAAAGGAAACATCTTCATGTAAAAAGTAGATAGAATCGTTCTCAGAAAGTGCTTAGTGACGTGTGTGTTCAACTCACAGAGTTTAACGTTTCTTTTGATAGAGCGTTTCTGAAACACCCTTCTTGTAGTAGCTGCAAGTGGATATTTGGACCTATTTGAGGCCTTCTTTGGAAACGGGATTTCTTCATGTAACTCTAGTTTGAAGAATTTTCAGAAACTCCTTTGTGATGTGTGCATTCAATTCAAAGAGTGAAACGTCCCTTTTCACAGAGCAGTTTTGAAACACTGTTTTTGTAGGATTTCCAAGGGGATATTTATAGCGCATTGATCCTATGGCAGAAAAAGAAACATCTTCCTATAAAAACTAGACAGAATAATTCTCAGAATCTGCTTTGCGATGTGTGCGTTCAACTCACAGAGTAAAACTTTTCTTTTGATAGAGCAGTTTTGAAACACTCTTTTTGTAGTATTTGCATGTGTATATTTAGAGCGCATTGAAGCCCACAGTAGAAAAGGAAATAACTTCACCTAAAACCTAGACAGAAGCAATCTCAGAAACTCCTTTGTGATGTGTACATTCAACTCACAGAGTGGAACTTTCCTCTTTATAGAGCAGTGATGAAACACTCTTTTTGTAGAAACTGCAAGTGGATATTTGGACCTCTTTGAGGCCTTCGTTGGAAACGGGATTTCTTCCTATAACCCTAGACAGAAGAATTTTCAGAAACCTCATTGTGATGTGTGCGTTCATCTCACAGAGTGGAGTCTTCCGTTTGATAGAGAAGTTTTGAAACCCTGTTCTTGTAGGATTTCCAAGTGGATATTTAGACCACTTTGAAGCTTATGATAGAAAAGGAAACATCTTCATGGAAAACATAGATAGAATCATTCTCAGAAACAACTTTGTGATGTGTGCGTTGAACTCACCGTCTTTAACCTTTCTTTTGGTAGAGAAGTTTTGAAACACTCTCTTTGTAAAGTCTACAAGTGGATATTTTGAGCCCTTGGAGGCATTCTTTGGAAAAGGGAATGTCTTCACATAAAAGGCAGACAGAAGTGTTCTCAGAAACTGCTTTGTGATGTCTGTGTTCAACTCACAGAGTTTAACATTTCCTTAGAGAGAGCGGTTTAGTAACACTCTCTTTGTAGAATTTGGAAGTGTATACTAAGAGCGCTTTGAGGCCTATGGTAGAAAAGGAAATATCTTTCCATAAAAGCTAGACAGAAGCAATCTCAGAAACTCCTTTGTGATGTCTGCATTCAACTCACCGAGTGGAACATTCCTCTTGATAGAGCAGTTTGGAAACACTCTTTCTGTAGAATCAGCTTGTTTGTATTTGGACCTCCTTGAGGCCTTCGTTGGAAACGGGTTTTCATCTTATAAACCCAGACAGAAGAATTCTCAGAGTCTTCTTTGTGATGTGTGCTTTCAACTCACCGAGATAAAGATTTCTCTTGATAGAGCAATTTGGAAACACTCTTTTTGTAGAATTTGCAAGGGTACATTGAGAGCGCTTTCAGGCCTATGGTAGAAAAGGGAATATCTTTCCATAAAAGGTAGACAGAAGCAATCTCAGAAACTACTTTGTGATGTGTGCATTCAACTCACCGAGTGCAACATTCCTCTTGATAGAGCAGTTTGGAAACATTGTTTCTGTAGAATCTGCAAGTGGATATATGGACCGCTTTGAGGCCTTCGTTGGAAACGGGATTTCTTCCTATAAACCCAGACAGAAGAATTCTCAGAGATTTCTTTGTGATGTGTGAATTCAACTCACAGTGTGGATCCTTCCTTTTGATAGAGCAGTTTTGAAACACCGTTTTTGTAGTATTTCCAAGCGGATATTTGGAACGCCTTGAAGCGTATGGTAGAAAAGGAAATATCTTCCCATAAAACCTAGACAGAACCAATCTCAGAAACGACTTTGTGATGCCTGCATTCAACTCACAGAGTTGAACATTTCTCTTGATAGAGCAGTTTTGAAACCCTCTTTCTGAAGGATCTGCAAGTGGATATTTGGAACTCCTTTGGGTCTTCGTTGGAAACGGGATTTCTTCGTATAAATCCAGACAGAATTCTCCGAAACATCTTTGGTTGTGTGCATTCAACTCACAGAGTGGAACCTTCCTTTGGATAGAGCAGTTTGAAACGCTGTGGTTGTAGTATTTCCAAGCGGATATTAGAGCGCCTTGAGGCCTATGGTAGAAAAGGAAATATCTTCCCATAAAACCTAGACGGAAGCAATCTCAGAAACTACTGTGTGATGGCTGCATTCCCCACACACGGTGGAACATTTCTCTTGATAGAGCAGTTTTGAAACACTCTTTCTGTAGAATCTGCAAGTGGATAATTGGACCGCCTTGAGGCCTTCGTTGGAAACGGGATTTCTTCATGTTACTCTAGACAGAAGAATTCTCAAACACTGCTGTGTGATGTTTGCATGCAAGTCACAGAGTGCAACATTCCTCTTGATAGAGCAGTTGGGAAACACTCCTTTTGTAGAATTTGCAATGGGATATTTGGACTTCTTTGAGGCCTTCGTTGGAAACGGGATTTCTTCGTATGAATCTAGACAGAAGAATTCTCAGAAACTTCCTTGTGATGTGTGCATTCAACTCAGCGAGTGGCACCTTCCTTTGGATACAGCAGTTTTGAAACACTGTTTTTGTAGTATTTCCAAGCGGATATTTAGAGCGCCTTGAAGCCTATGATAGAAATGGAAATATCTCCCCATAAAACCAAGACAGAAGCAATCTCAGAAACTAATGTGTGATGGCTGCATTCCACACACACGGTGGACCATTTCTCTTGATAGAGCAGTTTTGAAACACTCTTTCTGTAGAATCTGCAAGTGGATAATTGGACCTCCTAGAGGCCTTCGTTGGAAACGGGATTTCTTCATCTAAACCTACAGAGAAGAATTCTCAGTAACTTCTTCGGATGTGTGCATTCGACTCACAGAATGGAACATTCCCTTTGGTAGAGCAGTTTTGAGACACCGTTTTTGTAGAATTCCCAAGTGGATATTTAGAGCACTTTGAAGTCTCTGCTAGAAAAGGAAACATCTTCATGTAAAAAGTAGATAGAATCGTTCTCAGAAAGTGCTTAGTGACGTGTGCGTTCAACTCACAGAGTTTAACGTTTCTTTTGATAGAGCGTTTCTGAAACACCCTTCTTGTAGTAGCTGCAAGTGGATATTTGGACCTATTTGAGGCCTTCTTTGGAAACGGGATTTCTTCATGTAACTCTAGATTGAAGAATTTTCAGAAACTCCTTTGTGATGTGTGCATTCAATTCAAAGAGTGAAACCTCCCTTTTCACAGAGCAGTTTTGAAACACTGTTTTTGTAGGATTTCCAAGGGGATATTTATAGCGCATTGAGCCTATGGCAGAAAAAGAAACATCTTCCTATAAAAACTAGACAGAATAATTCTCAGAATCTGCTTTGCGATGTGTGCGTTCAACTCACAGAGTAAAACTTTTCTTTTGATAGAGCAGTTTTGAAACACTCTTTTTGTAGTATTTGCATGTGTATATTTAGAGCGCATTGAAGCCCACAGTAGAAAAGGAAATAACTTCACCTAAAACCTAGACAGAAGCAATCTCAGAAACTACTTTGTGATGTGTACATTCAACTCACAGAGTGGAACTTTTCTCTTTATAGAGCAGTGTTGAAACACTCTTTTTGTAGAAACTGCAAGTGGATATTTGGACCTCTTTGAGGCCTTCGTTGGAAACGGGATTTCTTCCTATAACCCTAGACAGAAGAATTTTCAGAAACCTCATTGTGATGTGTGCGTTCATCTCACAGAGTGGAGTCTTCCGTTTGATAGAGAAGTTTTGAAACCCTGTTCTTGTAGGATTTCCAAGTGGATATTTAGACCACTTTGAAGCCTATGATAGAAAAGGAAACATCTTCATGGAAAACATAGATAGAATCATTCTCAGAAACAACTTTGTGATGTGTGCGTTGAACTCACCGTCTTTAACCTTTCTTTTGGTAGAGAAGTTTTGAAACACTCTCTTTGTAAAGTCTACAAGTGGATATTTTGAGCCCTTGGAGGCATTCTTTGGAAAAGGGAATGTCTTCACATAAAAGGCAGACAGAAGTGTTCTCAGAAACTGCTTTGTGATGTCTGTGTTCAACTCACAGAGTTTAACATTTCCTTTGAGAGAGCGGTTTAGTAACACTCTCTTTGTAGAATTTGGAAGTGTATACTAAGAGCGCTTTGAGGCCTATGGTAGAAAAGGAAATATCTTTCCATAAAAGCTAGACAGAAGCAATCTCAGAAACTCCTTTGTGATGTCTGCATTCAACTCACCGAGTGGAACATTCCTCTTGATAGAGCAGTTTGGAAACACTCTTTCTGTAGAATCAGCTTGTTTGTATTTGGACCTCCTTGAGGCCTTCGTTGGAAACGGGTTTTCATCTTATAAACCCAGACAGAAGAATTCTCAGAGTCTTCTTTGTGATGTGTGCTTTCAACTCACCGAGATAAAGATTTCTCTTGATAGAGCAATTTGGAAACACTCTTTTTGTAGAATTTGCAAGGGTACATTGAGAGCGCTTTCAGGCCTATGGTAGAAAAGGGAATATCTTTCCATAAAAGGTAGACAGAAGCAATCTCAGAAACTACTTTGTGATGTGTGCATTCAACTCACCGAGTGCAACATTCCTCTTGACCGAGCAGTTTGGAAACATTGTTTCTGTAGAATCTGCAAGTGGATATATGGACCGCTTTAAGGCCTTCGTTGGAAACGGGATTTCTTCCTATAAACCCAGACAGAAGAATTCTCAGAGACTTCTTTGTGATGTGTGAATTCAACTCACAGTGTGGATCCTTCCTTTTGATAGAGCAGTTTTGAAACACTGTTTTTGTAGTATTTCCAAGCGGATATTTGGAACGCCTTGAAGCGTATGGTAGAAAAGGAAATATCTTCCCATAAAACCTAGACAGAACCAGTCTCAGAAACGACTTTGTGATGTCTGCATTCAACTCACAGAGTTGAACATTTCTCTTGATAGAGCAGTTTTGAAACCCTCTTTCTGAAGGATCTGCAAGTGGATATTTGGAATTCCTTTGGGTCTTCGTTGGAAACGGGATTTCTTCGTATAAATCCAGACAGAAGAATTCTCCGAAACTTCTTTGGTTGTGTGCATTCAAGTCACAGAGTGGAACCTTCCTTTGGATAGAGCAGTTTGAAACGCTGTGGTTGTAGTATTTCCAAGCGGATATTAGAGCGCCTTGAGGCCTATGGTAGAAAAGGAAATATCTTCCCATAAAACCTAGACGGAAGCAATCTCAGAAACTACTGTGTGATGGCTGCATTCCACACACACGGTGGAACATTTCTCTTGATAGAGCAGTTTTGAAACACTCTTTCTGTAGAATCTGCAAGTGGATAATTGGACCGCCTTGAGGCCTTCGTTGGAAACGGGATTTCTTCATGTTACTCTAGACAGAAGAATTCTCAAACACTGCTGTGTGATGTTTGCATGCAAGTCACAGAGTGCAACATTCCTCTTGATAGAGCAGTTGGGAAACACTCCTTTTGTAGAATTTGCAATGGGATATTTGGACTTCTTTGAGGCCTTCGTTGGAAACGGGATTTCTTCGTATGAATCTAGACAGAAGAATTCTCAGAAACTTCCTTGTGATGTGTGCATTCAACTCAGCGAGTGGCACCTTCCTTTGGATACAGCAGTTTTGAAACACTGTTTTTGTAGTATTTCCAAGCGGATATTTAGAGCGCCTTGAAGCCTATGCTAGAAATGGAAATATCTCCCCATAAAACCAAGACAGAAGCAATCTCAGAAACTAATGTGTGATGGCTGCATTCCACACACACGGTGGACCATTTCTCTTGATAGAGCAGTTTTGAAACACTCTTTCTGTAGAATCTGCAAGTGGATAATTGGACCTCCTAGAGGCCTTCGTTGGAAACGGGATTTCTTCATCTAAACCTACAGAGAAGAATTCTCAGTAACTTCTTCGGATGTGTGCATTCGACTCACAGAATGGAACATTCCCTTTGATAGAGCAGTTTTGAGACACCGTTTTTGTAGAATTCCCAAGTGGATATTTAGAGCACTTTGAAGTCTCTGCTAGAAAAGGAAACATCTTCATGTAAAAAGTAGATAGAATCGTTCTCAGAAAGTGCTTAGTGACGTGTGCGTTCAACTCACAGAGTTTAACGTTTCTTTTGATAGAGCGTTTCTGAAACACCCTTCTTGTAGTAGCTGCAAGTGGATATTTGGACCTATTTGAGGCCTTCTTTGGAAACGGGATTTCTTCATGTAACTCTAGATTGAAGAATTTTCAGAAACTCCTTTGTGATGTGTGCATTCAATTCAAAGAGTGAAACCTCCCTTTTCACAGAGCAGTTTTGAAACACTGTTTTTGTAGGACTTCCAAGGGGATATTTATAGCGCATTGATCCTATGGCAGAAAAAGAAACATCTTCCTATAAAAACTAGACAGAATAATTCTCAGAATCTGCTTTGCGATGTGTGCGTTCAACCCACAGAGTAAAACTTTTCTTTTGATAGAGCAGTTTTGAAACACTCTTTTTGTAGTATTTGCATGTGTATATTTAGAGCGCATTGAAGCCCACAGTAGAAAAGGAAATAACTTCACCTAAAACCTAGACAGAAGCAATCTCAGAAACTACTTTGTGATGTGTACATTCAACTCACAGAGTGGAACTTTCCTCTTTATAGAGCAGTGTTGAAACACTCTTTTTGTAGAAACTGCAAGTGGATATTTGGACCTCTTTGAGGCCTTCGTTGGAAACGGGATTTCTTCCTATAACCCTAGACAGAAGAATTTTCAGAAACCTCATTGTGATGTGTGCGTTCATCTCACAGAGTGGAGTGTTCCGTTTGATAGAGAAGTTTTGAAACCCTGTTCTTGTAGGATTTCCAAGTGGATATTTAGACCACTTTGAAGCCTATGATAGAAAAGGAAACATCTTCATGGAAAACATAGATAGAATCATTCTCAGAAACAACTTTGTGATGTGTGCGTTGAACTCACCGTCTTTAACCTTTCTTTTGGTAGAGAAGTTTTGAAACACTCTCTTTGTAAAGTCTACGAGTGGATATTTTGAGCCCTTGGAGGCATTCTTTGGAAAAGGGAATGTCTTCACATAAAAGGCAGACAGAAGTGTTCTCAGAAACTGCTTTGTGATGTCTGTGTTCAACTCACAGAGTTTAACATTTCCTTTGAGAGAGCGGTTTAGTAACACTCTCTTTGTAGAATTTGGAAGTGTATACTAAGAGCGCTTTGAGGCCTATGGTAGAAAAGGAAATATCTTTCCATAAAAGCTAGACAGAAGCAATCTCAGAAACTCCTTTGTGATGTCTGCATTCAACTCACCGAGTGGAACATTCCTCTTGATAGAGCAGTTTGGAAACACTCTTTCTGTAGAATCAGCTTGTTTGTATTTGGACCTCCTTGAGGCCTTCGTTGGAAACGGGTTTTCATCTTATAAACCCAGACAGAAGAATTCTCACAGTCTTCTTTGTGATGTGTGCTTTCAACTCACCGAGATAAAGATTTCTCTTGTTAGAGCAATTTGGAAACACTCTTTTTGTAGAATTTGCAAGGGTACATTGAGAGCGCTTTCAGGCCTATGGTAGAAAAGGGAATATCTTTCCATAAAAGGTAGACAGAAGCAATCTCAGAAACTACTTTGTGATGTGTGCATTCAACTCACCGAGTGCAACATTCCTCTTGATAGAGCAGTTTGGAAACATTGTTTCTGTAGAATCTGCAAGTGGATATATGGACCGCTTTGAGGCCTTCGTTGGAAACGGGATTTCTTCCTATAAACCCAGACAGAAGAATTCTCAGAGATTTCTTTGTGATGTGTGAATTCAACTCACAGTGTGGATCCTTCCTTTTGATAGAGCAGTTTTGAAACACCGTTTTTGTAGTATTTCCAAGCGGATATTTGGAACGCCTTGAAGCGTATGGTAGAAAAGGAAATATCTTCCCATAAAACCTAGACAGAACCAATCTCAGAAACGACTTTGTGATGTCTGCATTCAACTCACAGAGTTGAACATTTCTCTTGATAGAGCAGTTTTGAAACCCTCTTTCTGAAGGATCTGCAAGTGGATATTTGGAACTCCTTTGGGTCTTCGTTGGAAACGGGATTTCTTCGTATAAATCCAGACAGAAGAATTCTCCGAAACTTCTTTGGTTGTGTGCATTCAAGTCACAGAGTGGAACCTTCCTTTGGATAGAGCAGTTTGAAACGCTCTGGTTGTAGTATTTCCAAGCGGATATTAGAGCGCCTTGAGGCCTATGGTAGAAAAGGAAATATCTTCCCATAAAACCTAGACGGAAGCAATCTCAGAAACTACTGTGTGATGGCTGCATTCCACACACACGGTGGAACATTTCTCTTGATAGAGCAGTTTTGAAACACTCTTTCTGTAGAATCTGCAAGTGGATAATTGGACCGCCTTGAGGCCTTCGTTGGAAACGGGATTTCTTCATGTTACTCTAGACAGAAGAATTCTCAAACACTGCTGTGTGATGTTTGCATGCAAGTCACAGAGTGCAACATTCCTCTTGATAGAGCAGTTGGGAAACACTCCTTTTGTAGAATTTGCAATGGGATATTTGGACTTCTTTGAGGCCTTCGTTGGAAACGGGATTTCTTCGTATGAATCTAGACAGAAGAATTCTCAGAAACTTCCTTGTGATGTGTGCATTCAACTCAGCGAGTGGCACCTTCCTTTGGATACAGCAGTTTTGAAACACTGTTTTTGTAGTATTTCCAAGCGGATATTTAGAGCGCCTTGAAGCCTATGCTAGAAATGGAAATATCTCCCCATAAAACCAAGACAGAAGCAATCTCAGAAACTAATGTGTGATGGCTGCATTCCACACACACGGTGGACCATTTCTCTTGATAGAGCAGTTTTGAAACACTCTTTCTGTAGAATCTGCAAGTGGATAATTGGACCTCCTAGAGGCCTTCGTTGGAAACGGGATTTCTTCATCTAAACCTACAGAGAAGAATTCTCAGTAACTTCTTCGGATGTGTGCATTCGACTCACAGAATGGAACATTCCCTTTGATGGAGCAGGTTTGAGACACCGTTTTTGTAGAATTCCCAAGTGGATATTTAGAGCACTTTGAAGTCTCTGCTAGAAAAGGAAACATCTTCATGTAAAAAGTAGATAGAATCGTTCTCAGAAAGTGCTTAGTGACGTGTGCGTTCAACTCACAGAGTTTAACGTTTCTTTTGATAGAGCGTTTCTGAAACACCCTTCTTGTAGTAGCTGCAAGTGGATATTTGGACCTATTTGAGGCCTTCTTTGGAAACGGGATTTCTTCATGTAACTCTAGATTGAAGAATTTTCAGAAACTCCTTTGTGATGTGTGCATTCAATTCAAAGAGTGAAACCTCCCTTTTCACAGAGCAGTTTTGAAACACTGTTTTTGTAGGATTTCCAAGGGGATATTTATAGCGCATTGAGCCTATGGCAGAAAAAGAAACATCTTCCTATAAAAACTAGACAGAATAATTCTCAGAATCTGCTTTGCGATGTGTGCGTTCAACTCACAGAGTAAAACTTTTCTTTTGATAGAGCAGTTTTGAAACACTCTTTTTGTAGTATTTGCATGTGTATATTTAGAGCGCATTGAAGCCCACAGTAGAAAAGGAAATAACTTCACCTAAAACCTAGACAGAAGCAATCTCAGAAACTACTTTGTGATGTGTACATTCAACTCACCGAGTGGAACTTTCCTCTTTATAGAGCAGTGTTGAAAGACTCTTTTTGTAGAAACTGCAAGTGGATATTTGGACCTCTTTGAGGCCTTCGTTGGAAACGGGATTTCTTCCTATAACCCTAGACAGAAGAATTTTCAGAAACCTCATTGTGATGTGTGCGTTCATCTCACAGAGTGGAGTCTTCCGTTTGATAGAGAAGTTTTGAAACCCTGTTCTTGTAGGATTTCCAAGTGGATATTTAGACCACTTTGAAGCCTATGATAGAAAAGGAAACATCTTCATGGAAAACATAGATAGAATCATTCTCAGAAACAACTTTGTGATGTGTGCGTTGAACTCACCGTCTTTAACCTTTCTTTTGGTAGAGAAGTTTTGAAACACTCTCTTTGTAAAGTCTACAAGTGGATATTTTGAGCCCTTGGAGGCATTCTTTGGAAAAGGGAATGTCTTCACATAAAAGGCAGACAGAAGTGGTCTCAGAAACTGCTTTGTGATGTCTGTGTTCAACTCACAGAGTTTAACATTTCCTTTGAGAGAGCGGTTTAGTAACACTCTGTAGAATTTGGAAGTGTATACTAAGAGCGCTTTGAGGCCTATGGTAGAAAAGGAAATATCTTTCCATAAAAGCTAGACAGAAGCAATCTCAGAAACCTCCTTTGTGATGTCTGCATTCAACTCACCGAGTGGAACATTCCTCTTGATAGAGCAGTTTGGAAACACTCTTTCTGTAGAATCAGCTTGTTTGTATTTGGACCTCCTTGAGGCCTTCGTTGGAAACGGGTTTTCATCTTATAAACCCAGACAGAAGAATTCTCAGAGTCTTCTTTGTGATGTGTGCTTTCAACTCACCGAGATAAAGATTTCTCTTGATAGAGCAATTTGGAAACACTCTTTTTGTAGAATTTGCAAGGGTACATTGAGAGCGCTTTCAGGCCTATGGTAGAAAAGGGAATATCTTTCCATAAAAGGTAGACAGAAGCAATCTCAGAAACTACTTTGTGATGTGTGCATTCAACTCACCGAGTGCAACATTCCTCTTGATAGAGCAGTTTGGAAACATTGTTTCTGTAGAATCTGCAAGTGGATATATGGACCGCTTTGAGGCCTTCGTTGGAAACGGGATTTCTTCCTATAAACCCAGACAGAAGAATTCTCAGAGATTTCTTTGTGATGTGTGAATTCAACTCACAGTGTGGATACTTCCTTTTGATAGAGCAGTTTGGAAACACCGTTTTTGTAGTATTTCCAAGCGGATATTTGGAACGCCTTGAAGCGTATGGTAGAAAAGGAAATATCTTCCCATAAAACCTAGACAGAACCCATCTCAGAAACGACTTTGTGATGTCTGCATTCAACTCGCAGAGTTGAACATTTGTCTTGATAGAGCAGTTTTGAAACCCTCTTTCTGAAGGATCTGCAAGTGGATATTTGGAACTCCTTTGGGTCTTCGTTGGAAACGGGATTTCTTCGTATAAATCCAGACAGAAGAATTCTCCGAAACTTCTTTGGTTGTGTGCATTCAAGTCACAGAGTGGAACCTTCCTTTGGATAGAGCAGTTTGAAACGCTGTGGTTGTAGTATTTCCAAGCGGATATTAGAGCGCCTTGAAGCCTATGGTAGAAAAGGAAATATCTTCCCATAAAACCTAGACGGAAGCAATCTCAGAAACTACTGTGTGATGGCTGCATTCCACACACACGGTGGAACATTTCTCTTGATAGAGCAGTTTTGAAACACTCTTTCTGTAGAATCTGCAAGTGGATAATTGGACCGCCTTGAGGCCGTCGTTGGAAACGGGATTTCTTCATGTTACTCTAGACAGAAGAATTCTCAAACACTGCTATGTGATGTTTGCATTCAAGTCACAGAGTGCAACATTCCTCTTGATAGAGCAGTTGGGAAACACTCCTTTTGTAGAATTTGCAATGGGATATTTGGACTTCTTTGAGGCCTTCATTGGAAACGGGATTTCTTCGTATGAATCTAGACAGAAGAATTCTCAGAAACTTCCTTGTGATGTGTGCATTCAACTCAGCGAGTGGCACCTTCCTTTGGATACAGCAGTTTTGAAACACTGTTTTTGTAGTATTTCCAAGCGGATATTTAGAGCGCCTTGAAGCCTATGCTAGAAATGGAAATATCTCCCCATAAAACCAAGACAGAAGCAATCTCAGAAACTAATGTGTGATGGCTGCATTCCACACACACGGTGGACCATTTCTCTTGATAGAGCAGTTTTGAAACACTCTTTCTGTAGAATCTGCAAGTGGATAATTGGACCTCCTAGAGGCCTTCGTTGGAAACGGGATTTCTTCATCTAAACCTACAGAGAAGAATTCTCAGTAACTTCTTCGGATGTGTGCATTCGACTCACAGAATGGAACATTCCCTTTGATAGAGCAGTTTTGAGACACCGTTTTTGTAGAATTCCCAAGTGGATATTTAGAGCACTTTGAAGTCTCTGCTAGAAAAGGAAACATCTTCATGTAAAAAGTAGATAGAATCGTTCTCAGAAAGTGCTTAGTGACGTGTGCGTTCAACTCACAGAGTTTAACGTTTCTTTTGATAGAGCGTTTCTGAAACACCCTTCTTGTAGTAGCTGCAAGTGGATATTTGGACCTATTTGAGGCCTTCTTTGGAAACGGGATTTCTTCATGTAACTCTAGATTGAAGAATTTTCAGAAACTCCTTTGTGATGTGTGCATTCAATTCAAAGAGTGAAACCTCCCTTTTCACAGAGCAGTTTTGAAACACTGTTTTTGTAGGACTTCCAAGGGGATATTTATAGCGCATTGAGCCTATGGCAGAAAAAGAAACATCTTCCTATAAAAACTAGACAGAATAATTCTCAGAATCTGCTTTGCGATGTGTGCGTTCAACCCACAGAGTAAAACTTTTCTTTTGATAGAGCAGTTTTGAAACACTCTTTTTGTAGTATTTGCATGTGTATATTTAGAGCGCATTGAAGCCCACAGTAGAAAAGGAAATAACTTCACCTAAAACCTAGACAGAAGCAATCTCAGAAACTACTTTGTGATGTGTACATTCAACTCACAGAGTGGAACTTTCCTCTTTATAGAGCAGTGTTGAAACACTCTTTTTGTAGAAACTGCAAGTGGATATTTGGACCTCTTTGAGGCCTTCGTTGGAAACGGGATTTCTTCCTATAACCCTAGACAGAAGAATTTTCAGAAACCTCATTGTGATGTGTGCGTTCATCTCACAGAGTGGAGTCTTCCGTTTGATAGAGAAGTTTTGAAACCCTGTTCTTGTAGGATTTCCAAGTGGATATTTAGACCACTTTGAAGCCTATGATAGAAAAGGAAACATCTTCATGGAAAACATAGATAGAATCATTCTCAGAAACAACTTTGTGATGTGTGCGTTGAACTCACCGTCTTTAAACTTTCTTTTGGTAGAGAAGTTTTGAAACACTCTCTTTGTAAAGTCTACAAGTGGATATTTTGAGCCCTTGGAGGCATTCTTTGGAAAAGGGAATGTCTTCACATAAAAGGCAGACAGAAGTGTTCTCAGAAACTGCTTTGTGATGTCTGTGTTCAACTAACAGAGTGTAACATTTCCTTTGAGAGAGCGGTTTAGTAACACTCTCTTTGTAGAATTTGGAAGTGTATACTAAGAGCGCTTTGAGGCCTATGGTAGAAAAGGAAATATCTTTCCATAAAAGCTAGACAGAAGCAATCTCAGAAACTCCTTTGTGATGTCTGCATTCAACTCACCGAGTGGAATATTCCTCTTGATAGAGCAGTTTGGAAACACTCTTTCTGTAGAATCAGCTTGTTTGTATTTGGACCTCCTTGAGGCCTTCGTTGGAAACGGGTTTTCATCTTATAAACCCAGACAGAAGAATTCTCAGAGTCTTCTTTGTGATGTGTGCTTTCAACTCACCGAGATAAAGATTTCTCTTGATAGAGCAATTTGGAAACACTCTTTTTGTAGAATTTGCAAGGGTACATTGAGAGCGCTTTCAGGCCTATGGTAGAAAAGGGAATATCTTTCCATAAAAGGTAGACAGAAGCAATCTCAGAAACTACTTTGTGATGTGTGCATTCAACTCACCGAGTGCAACATTCCTCTTGACCGAGCAGTTTGGAAACATTGTTTCTGTAGAATCTGCAAGTGGATATTTGGACCTCTTTGAGGCCTTCGTTGGAAACGGGATTTCTTCCTATAAACCCAGACAGAAGAATTCTCAGAGACTTCTTTGTGATGTGTGAATTCAACTCACAGTGTGGATCCTTCCTTTTGATAGAGCAGTTTTGAAACACTGTTTTTGTAGTATTTCCAAGCGGATATTTGGAACGCCTTGAAGCGTATGGTAGAAAAGGAAATATCTTCCCATAAAACCTAGACAGAACCAATCTCAGAAACGACTTTGTGATGTCTGCATTCAACTCACAGAGTTGAACATTTCTCTTGATAGAGCAGTTTTGAAACCCTCTTTCTGAAGGATCTGCAAGTGGATATTTGGAACTCCTTTGGGTCTTCGTTGGAAAAGGGATTTCTTCGTATAAATCCAGACAGAAGAATTCTCCGAAACTTCTTTGGTTGTGTGCATTCAAGCCACAGAGTGGAACTTTCCTTTGGATAGAGCAGTTTGAAACGCTGTGGTTGTAGTATTTCCAAGCGGATATTAGAGCGCCTTGAGGCCTATGGTAGAAAAGGAAATATCTTCCCATAAAACCTAGACGGAAGCAATCTCAGAAACTACTGTGTGACGGCTGCATTCCACACACACGGTGGAACATTTCTCTTGATAGAGCAGTTTTGAAACACTCTTTCTGTAGAATCTGCAAGTGGATAATTGGACCGCCTTGAGGCCTTCGTTGGAAACGGGATTTCTTCATGTTACTCTAGATAGAAGAATTCTCAAACACTACTATGTGATGTTTGCATTCAAGTCACAGAGTGCAACATTCCTCTTGATAGAGCAGTTGGGAAACACTCCTTTTGTAGAATTTGCAATGGGATATTTGGACTTCTTTGAGGCCTTCGTTGGAAACGGGATTTCTTCGTATGAATCTAGACAGAAGAATTCTCAGAAACTTCTTTGTGATGTGTGCATTCAACTCAGCGAGTGGCACCTTCCTTTGGATACAGCAGTTTTGAAACACTGTTTTTGTAGTATTTCCAAGCGGATATTTAGAGCGCCTTGAAGCCTATGCTAGAAATGGAAATATCTCCCCATAAAACCAAGACAGAAGCAATCTCAGAAACTAAAGTGTGATGGCTGCATTCCACACACACTGTGTACCATTTCTCTTGATAGAGCAGTTTTGAAACACTCTTTCTGTAGAATCTGCAAGTGGATAATTGGACCTCCTAGAGGCCTTCGTTGGAAACGGGATTTCTCCATCTAAACCTACAGAGAAGAGTTCTCAGTAACTTCTTCGGATGTGTGCATTCGACTCACAGAATGGAACATTCCCTTTGATAGAGCAGTTTTGAGACACCGTTTTTGTAGAATTCCCAAGTGGATATTTAGAGCACTTTGAAGTCTCTGCTAGAAAAGGAAACATCTTCATGTAAAAAGTAGATAGAATCGCTCTCAGAAAGTGCTTAGTGACGTGTGCGTTCAACTCACAGAGTGTAACGTTTCTTTTGATAGAGCGTTTCTGAAACACCCTTCTTGTAGTAGCTGCAAGTGGATATTTGGACCTATTGGAGGCCTTCTTTGGAAACGGGATTTCTTCATGTAACTGTAGATTGAAGAATTCTCAGAAACTCCTTTGTGATGTGTGCATTCAATTCAAAGAGTGAAACCTCTCTTTTCACAGAGCAGTTTTGAAACACTGTTTTTGTAGGATTTCCAAGGGGATATTTATAGCGCATTGAGCCTACGGCAGAAAAAGAAACACCTTCCTATAAAAACTGGACAGAATAATTCTCAGAATCTGCTTTGCGATGTGTGCGTTCAACTCACAGAGTAAAACTTTTCTTTTGATAGAGCAGTTTTGAAACACTCTTTTTGTAGTATTTGCATGTGTATATTTAGAGCGCATTGAAGCCCACAGTAGAAAAGGAAATAACTTCACCTAAAACCTAGACAGAAGCAATCTCAGAAACTACTTTGTGATGTGTACATTCAACTCACCGAGTGGAACTTTCCTCTTTATAGAGCAGTGTTGAAAGACTCTTTTTGTAGAAACTGCAAGTGGATATTTGGACCTCTTTGAGGCCTTCGTTGGAAACGGGATTTCTTCCTATAACCCTAGACAGAAGAATTTTCAGAAACCTCATTGTGATGTGTGCGTTCATCTCACAGAGTGGAGTCTTCCGTTTGATAGAGAAGTTTTGAAACCCTGTTCTTGTAGGATTTCCAAGTGGATATTTAGACCACTTTGAAGCCTATGATAGAAAAGGAAACATCTTCATGGAAAACATAGATAGAATCATTCTCAGAAACAACTTTGTGATGTGTGCGTTGAACTCACCGTCTTTAACCTTTCTTTTGGTAGAGAAGTTTTGAAACACTCTCTTTGTAAAGTCTACAAGTGGATATTTTGAGCCCTTGGAGGCATTCTTTGGAAAAGGGAATGTCTTCACATAAAAGGCAGACAGAAGTGTTCTCAGAAACTGCTTTGTGATGTCTGTGTTCAACTCACAGAGTTTAACATTTCCTTTGAGAGAGCGGTTTAGTAACACTCTCTTTGTAGAATTTGGAAGTGTATACTAAGAGCGCTTTGAGGCCTATGGTAGAAAAGGAAATATCTTTCCATAAAAGCTAGACAGAAGCAATCTCAGAAACTCCTTTGTGATGTCTGCATTCAACTCACCGAGTGGAACATTCCTCTTGATAGAGCAGTTTGGAAACACTCTTTCTGTAGAATCAGCTTGTTTGTATTTGGACCTCCTTGAGGCCTTCGTTGGAAACGGGTTTTCATCTTATAAACCCAGACAGAAGAATTCTCAGAGTCTTCTTTGTGATGTGTGCTTTCAACTCACCGAGATAAAGATTTCTCTTGATAGAGCAATTTGGAAACACTCTTTTTGTAGAATTTGCAAGGGTACATTGAGAGCGCTTCAGGCCTATGGTAGAAAAGGGAATTCTTTCCATAAAAGGTAGACAGAAGCAATCTCAGAAACTACTTTGTGATGTGTGCATTCAACTCACCGAGTGCAACATTCCTCTTGATAGAGCAGTTTGGAAACATTGTTTCTGTAGAATCTGCAAGTGGATATATGGACCTCTTTGAGGCCTTCGTTGGAAACGGGATTTCTTCCTATAAACCCAGACAGAAGAATTCTCAGAGATTTCTTTGTGATGTGTGAATTCAACTCACAGTGTGGATCCTTCCTTTTGATAGAGCAGTTTTGAAACACCGTTTTTGTAGTATTTCCAAGCGGATATTTGGAACGCCTTGAAGCGTATGGTAGAAAAGGAAATATCTTCCCATAAAACCTAGACAGAACCCATCTCAGAAACGACTTTGTGATGTCTGCATTCAACTCACAGAGTTGAACATTTCTCTTGATAGAGCAGTTTTGAAACCCTCTTTCTGAAGGATCTGCAAGTGGATATTTGGAACTCCTTTGGGTCTTCGTTGGAAACGGGATTTCTTCGTATAAATCCAGACAGAAGAATTCTCCGAAACTTCTTTGGTTGTGTGCATTCAAGTCACAGAGTGGAACCTTCCTTTGGATAGAGCAGTTTGAAACGCTGTGGTTGTAGTATTTCCAAGCGGATATTAGAGCGCCTTGAAGCCTATGGTAGAAAAGGAAATATCTTCCCATAAAACCTAGACGGAAGCAATCTCAGAAACTACTGTGTGATGGCTGCATTCCACACACACGGTGGAATATTTCTCTTGATAGAGCAGTTTTGAAACACTCTTTCTGTAGAATCTGCAAGTGGATAATTGGACCGCCTTGAGGCCTTCGTTGGAAACGGGATTTCTTCATGTTACTCTAGACAGAAGAATTCTCAAACACTGCTGTGTGATGTTTGCATTCAAGTCACAGAGTGCAACATTCCTCTTGATAGAGCAGTTGGGAAACACTCCTTTTGTAGAATTTGCAATGGGATATTTGGACTTCTTTGAGGCCTTCGTTGGAAACGGGATTTCTTCGTATGAATCTAGACAGAAGAATTCTCAGAAACTTCCTTGTGATGTGTGCATTCAACTCAGCGAGTGGCACCTTCCTTTGGATACAGCAGTTTTGAAACACTGTTTTTGTAGTATTTCCAAGCGGATATTTAGAGCGCCTTGAAGCCTATGCTAGAAATGGAAATATCTCCCCATAAAACCAAGACAGAAGCAATCTCAGAAACTAATGTGTGATGGCTGCATTCCACACACACGGTGGACCATTTCTCTTGATAGAGCAGTTTTGAAACACTCTTTCTGTAGAATCTGCAAGTGGATAATTGGACCTCCTAGAGGCCTTCGTTGGAAACGGGATTTCTTCATCTAAACCTACAGAGAAGAATTCTCAGTAACTTCTTCGGATGTGTGCATTCGACTCACAGAATGGAACATTCCCTTTGATAGAGCAGTTTTGAGACACCGTTTTTGTAGAATTCCCAAGTGGATATTTAGAGCACTTTGAAGTCTCTGCTAGAAAAGGAAACATCTTCATGTAAAAAGTAGATAGAATCGTTCTCAGAAAGTGCTTAGTGACGTGTGTGTTCAACTCACAGAGTTTAACGTTTCTTTTGATAGAGCGTTTCTGAAACACCCTTCTTGTAGTAGCTGCAAGTGGATATTTGGACCTATTTGAGGCCTTCTTTGGAAACGGGATTTCTTCATGTAACTCTAGTTTGAAGAATTTTCAGAAACTCCTTTGTGATGTGTGCATTCAATTCAAAGAGTGAAACCTCCCTTTTCACAGAGCAGTTTTGAAACACTGTTTTTGTAGGATTTCCAAGGGGATATTTATAGCGCATTGAGCCTACGGCAGAAAAAGAAACATCTTCCTATAAAAACTAGACAGAATAATTCTCAGAATCTGCTTTGCGATGTGTGCGTTCAACCCACAGAGTAAAACTTTTCTTTTGACAGAGCAGTTTTGAAACACTCTTTTTGTAGTATTTGCATGTGTATATTTAGAGCGCATTGAAGCCCACAGTAGAAAAGGAAATAACTTCACCTAAAACCTAGACAGAAGCAATCTCAGAAACTACTTTGTGATGTGTACATTCAACTCACAGAGTGGAACTTTCCTCTTTATAGAGCAGTGTTGAAACACTCTTTTTGTAGAAACTGCAAGTGGATATTTGGACCTCTTTGAGGCCTTCGTTGGAAACGGGATTTCTTCCTATAACCCTAGACAGAAGAATTTTCAGAAACCTCATTGTGATGTGTGCGTTCATCTCACAGAGTGGAGTCTTCCGTTTGATAGAGAAGTTTTGAAACCCTGTTCTTGTAGGATTTCCAAGTGGATATTTAGACCACTTTGAAGCCTATGATAGAAAAGGAAACATCTTCATGGAAAACATAGATAGAATCATTGTCAGAAACAACTTTGTGATGTGTGCGTTGAACTCACCGTCTTTAACCTTTCTTTTGGTAGAGAAGTTTTGAAACACTCTCTTTGTAAAGTCTACAAGTGGATATTTTGAGCCCTTGGAGGCATTCTTTGGAAAAGGGAATGTCTTCACATAAAAGGCAGACAGAAGTGTTCTCAGAAACTGCTTTGTGATGTCTGTGTTCAACTCACAGAGTTTAACATTTCCTTTGAGAGAGCGGTTTAGTAACACTCTCTTTGTAGAATTTGGAAGTGTATACTAAGAGCGCTTTGAGGCCTATGGTAGAAAAGGAAATAACTTTCCATAAAAGCTAGACAGAAGCAATCTCAGAAACTCCTTTGTGATGTCTGCATTCAACTCACCGAGTGGAACATTCCTCTTGATAGAGCAGTTTGGAAACACTCTTTCTGTAGAATCAGCTTGTTTGTATTTGGACCTCCTTGAGGCCTTCGTTGGAAACGGGTTTTCATCTTATAAACCCAGACAGAAGAATTCTCAGAGTCTTCTTTGTGATGTGTGCTTTCAACTCACCGAGATAAAGATTTCTCTTGATAGAGCAATTTGGAAACACTCTTTTTGTAGAATTTGCAAGGTTACATTGAGAGCGCTTTCAGGCCTATGGTAGAAAAGGGAATATCTTTCCATAAAAGGTAGACAGAAGCAATCTCAGAAACTACTTTGTGATGTGTGCATTCAACTCACCGAGTGCAACATTCCTCTTGATAGAGCAGTTTGGAAACATTGTTTCTGTAGAATCTGCAAGTGGATATATGGACCGCTTTGAGGCCTTCGTTGGAAACGGGATTTCTTCCTATAAACCCAGACAGAAGAATTCTCAGAGATTTCTTTGTGATGTGTGAATTCAACTCACAGTGTGGATCCTTCCTTTTGATAGAGCAGTTTTGAAACACTGTTTTTGTAGTATTTCCAAGCGGATATTTGGAACGCCTTGAAGCGTAAGGTAGAAAAGGAAATATCTTCCCATAAAACCTAGACAGAACCCATCTCAGAAACGACTTTGTGATGTCTGCATTCAACTCACAGAGTTGAACATTTCTCTTGATAGAGCAGTTTTGAAACCCTCTTTCTGAAGGAGCTGCAAGTGGATATTTGGAACTCCTTTGGGTCTTCGTTGGAAACGGGATTTCTTCGTATAAATCCAGACAGAAGAATTCTCCGAAACTTCTTTGGTTGTGTGCATTCAAGTCACAGAGTGGAACCTTCCTTTGGATAGAGCAGTTTGAAACGCTGTGGTTGTAGTATTTCCAAGCGGATATTAGAGCGCCTTGAAGCCTATGGTAGAAAAGGAAATATCTTCCCATAAAACCTAGACGGAAGCAATCTCAGAAACTACTGTGTGATGGCTGCATTCCACACACACGGTGGAACATTTCTCTTGATAGAGCAGTTTTGAGACACTCTTTCTGTAGAATCTGCAAGTGGATAATTGGACCGCCTTGAGGCCTTCGTTGGAAACGGGATTTCTTCATGTTACTCTAGACAGAAGAATTCTCAAACACTGCTATGTGATGTTTGCATTCAAGTCACAGAGTGCAACATTCCTCTTGATAGAGCAGTTGGGAAACACTCCTTTTGTAGAATTTGCAATGGGATATTTGGACTTCTTTGAGGCCTTCGTTGGAAACGGGATTTCTTCGTATGAATCTAGACAGAAGAATTCTCAGAAACTTCCTTGTGATGTGTGCATTCAACTCAGCGAGTGGCACCTTCCCTTTGGATACAGCAGTTTTGAAACACTGTTTTTGTAGTATTTCCAAGCGGATATTTAGAGCGCCTTGAAGCCTATGCTAGAAATGGAAATATCTCCCCATAAAACCAAGACAGAAGCAATCTCAGAAACTAATGTGTGATGGCTGCATTCCACACACACGGTGGACCATTTCTCTTGATAGAGCAGTTTTGAAACACTCTTTCTGTAGAATCTGCAAGTGGATAATTGGACCTCCTAGAGGCCTTCGTTGGAAATGGGATTTCTTCATCTAAACCTACAGAGAAGAATTCTCAGTAACTTCTTCGGATGTGTGCATTCGACTCACAGAATGGAACATTCCCTTTGATAGAGCAGTTTTGAGACACCGTTTTTGTAGAATTCCCAAGTGGATATTTAGAGCACTTTGAAGTCTCTGCTAGAAAAGGAAACATCTTCATGTAAAAAGTAGATAGAATCGTTCTCAGAAAGCGCTTAGTGACGTGTGCGTTCAACTCACAGAGTTTAACGTTTCTTTTGATAGAGCGTTTCTGAAACACCCTTCTTGTAGTAGCTGCAAGTGGATATTTGGACCTATTTGAGGCCTTCTTTGGAAACGGGATTTCTTCATGTAACTCTAGTTTGAAGAATTTTCAGAAACTCCTTTGTGATGTGTGCATTCAATTCAAAGAGTGAAACCTCCCTTTTCACAGAGCAGTTTTGAAACACTGTTTTTGTAGGATTTCCAAGGTGATATTTATAGCGCATTGAGCCTACGGCAGAAAAAGAAACATCTTCCTATAAAAACTAGACAGAATAATTCTCAGAATCTGCTTTGCGATGTGTGCGTTCAACCCACAGAGTAAAAGTTTTCTTTTGATAGAGCAGTTTTGAAACACTCTTTTTGTAGTATTTGCATGTGTATATTTAGAGCGCATTGAAGCCCACAGTAGAAAAGGAAATAACTTCACCTAAAACCTAGACAGAAGCAATCTCAGAAACTACTTTGTGATGTGTACATTCAACTCACAGAGTGGAACTTTCCTCTTTATAGAGCAGTGTTGAAACACTCTTTTTGTGGAAACTGCAAGTGGATATTTGGACCTCTTTGAGGCCTTCGTTGGAAACGGGATTTCTTCCTATAACCCTAGACAGAAGAATTTTCAGAAACCTCATTGTGATGTGTGCGTTCATCTCACAGAGTGGAGTCTTCCGTTTGATAGAGAAGTTTTGAAACCCTGTTCTTGTAGGATTTCCAAGTGGATATTTAGACCACTTTGAAGCCTATGATAGAAAAGGAAACATCTTCATGGAAAACGTAGATAGAATCATTCTCAGAAACAACTTTGTGATGTGTGCGTTGAACTCACCGTCTTTAACCTTTCTTTTGGTAGAGAAGTTTTGAAACACTCTCTTTGTAAAGTCTACAAGTGGATATTTTGAGCCCTTGGAGGCATTCTTTGGAAAAGGGAATGTCTTCACATAAAAGGCAGACAGAAGTGTTCTCAGAAACTGCTTTGTGATGTCTGTGTTCAACTCACAGAGTTTAACATTTCCTTTGAGAGAGCGGTTTAGTAACACTCTCTTTGTAGAATTTGGAAGTGTATACTAAGAGCGCTTTGAGGCCTATGGTAGAAAAGGAAATATCTTTCCATAAAAGCTAGACAGAAGCAATCTCAGAAACTCCTTTGTGATGTCTGCATTCAACTCACCGAGTGGAACATTCCTCTTGATAGAGCAGTTTGGAAACACTCTTTCTGTAGAATCAGCTTGTTTGTATTTGGACCTCCTTGAGGCCTTCGTTGGAAACGGGTTTTCATCTTATAAACCCAGACAGAAGAATTCTCAGAGTCTTCTTTGTGATGTGTGCTTTCAACTCACCGAGATAAAGATTTCTCTTGATAGAGCAATTTGGAAACACTCTTTTTGTAGAATTTGCAAGGGTACATTGAGAGCGCTTTCAGGCCTATGGTAGAAAAGGGAATATCTTTCCATAAAAGGTAGACAGAAGCAATCTCAGAAACTACTTTGTGATGTGTGCATTCAACTCACCGAGTGCAACATTCCTCTTGACCGAGCAGTTTGGAAACATTGTTTCTGTAGAATCTGCAAGTGGATATTTGGACCTCTTTGAGGCCTTCGTTGGAAACGGGATTTCTTCCTATAAACCCAGACAGAAGAATTCTCAGAGACTTCTTTGTGATGTGTGAATTCAACTCACAGTGTGGATCCTTCCTTTTGATAGAGCAGTTTTGAAACACTGTTTTTGTAGTATTTCCAAGCGGATATTTGGAACGCCTTGAAGCGTATGGTAGAAAAGGAAATATCTTCCCATAAAACCTAGACAGAACCAATCTCAGAAACGACTTTGTGATGTCTGCATTCAACTCACAGAGTTGAACATTTCTCTTGATAGAGCAGTTTTGAAACCCTCTTTCTGAAGGATCTGCAAGTGGATATTTGGAACTCCTTTGGGTCTTCGTTGGAAACGGGATTTCTTCGTATAAATCTAGACAGAAGAATTCTCCGAAACTTCTTTGGTTGTGTGCATTCAAGTCACAGAGTGGAACCTTCCTTTGGATAGAGCAGTTTGAAACGCTGTGGTTGTAGTATTTCCAAGCGGATATTAGAGCGCCTTGAGGCCTATGGTAGAAAAGGAAATATCTTCCCATAAAACCTAGACGGAAGCAATCTCAGAAACTACTGTGTGATGGCTGCATTCCACACACACGGTGGAACATTTCTCTTGATAGAGCAGTTTTGAAACACTCTTTCTGTAGAATCTGCAAGTGGATAATTGGACCGCCTTGAGGCCTTCGTTGGAAACGGGATTTCTTCATGTTACTCTAGACAGAAAGAATTCTCAAACACTGCTATGTGATGTTTGCATTCAAGTCACAGAGTGCAACATTCCTCTTGATAGAGCAGTTGGGAAACACTCCTTTTGTAGAATTTGCAATGGGATATTTGGACTTCTTTGAGGCCTTCGTTGGAAACGGGATTTCTTCGTATGAATCTAGACAGAAGAATTCTCAGAAACTTCCTTGTGATGTGTGCATTCAACTCAGCGAGTGGCACCTTCCTTTGGATACAGCAGTTTTGAAACACTGTTTTTGTACTATTTCCAAGCGGATATTTAGAGCGCCTTGAAGCCTATGCTAGAAATGGAAATATCTCCCCATAAAACCAAGACAGAAGCAATCTCAGAAACTAATGTGTGATGGCTGCATTCCACACACACGGTGGACCATTTCTCTTGATAGAGCAGTTTTGAAACACTCTTTCTGTAGAATCTGCAAGTGGATAGTTGGACCTCCTAGAGGCCTTCGTTGGAAACGGGATTTCTTCATCTAAACCTACAGAGAAGAATTCTCAGTAACTTCTTCGGATGTGTGCATTCGACTCACAGAATGGAACATTCCGTTTGATAGAGCAGTTTTGAGACACCGTTTTCGTAGAATTCCCAAGTGGATATTTAGAGCACTTTGAAGTCTCTGCTAGAAAAGGAAACATCTTCATGTAAAAAGTAGATAGAATCGTTCTCAGAAAGTGGTTAGTGACGTGTGTGTTCAACTCACAGAGTTTAACGTTTCTTTTGATAGAGCGTTTCTGAAACACCCTGCTTGTAGTAGCTGCAAGTGGATATTTGGACCTATTTGAGGCCTTCTTTGGAAACGGGATTTCTTCATGTAACTCTAGTTTGAAGAATTTTCAGAAACTCCTTTGTGATGTGTGCATTCAATTCAAAGAGTGAAACCTCCCTTTTCACAGAGCAGTTTTGAAACACTGTTTTTGTAGGATTTCCAAGGGGATATTTATAGCGCATTGAGCCTATGGCAGAAAAAGAAACATCTTCCTATAAAAACTAGACAGAATAATTCTCAGAATCTGCTTTGCGATGTGTGCGTTCAACCCACAGAGTAAAACTTTTCTTTTGATAGAGCAGTTTTGAAACACTCTTTTTGTAGTATTTGCATGTGTATATTTAGAGCGCATTGAAGCCCAAAGTAGAAAAGGAAATAACTTCACCTAAAACCTAGACAGAAGCAATCTCAGAAACTACTTTGTGATGTGTACATTCAACTCACAGAGTGGAACTTTTCTCTTTATAGAGCAGTGTTGAAACACTCTTTTTGTAGAAACTGCAAGTGGATATTTGGACCAGCTTTGAGGCCTTCGTTGGAAACGGGATTTCTTCCTATAACCCTAGACAGAAGAATTTTCAGAAACCTCATTGTGATGTGTGCGTTCATCTCACAGAGTGGAGTCTTCCGTTTGATAGAGAAGTTTTGAAACCCTGTTCTTGTAGGATTTCCAAGTGGATATTTAGACCACTTTGAAGCCTATGATAGAAAAGGAAACATCTTCATGGAAAACATAGATAGAATCATTCTCAGAAACAACTTTGTGATGTGTGCGTTGAACTCACCGTCTTTAACCTTTCTTTTGGTAGAGAAGTTTTGAAACACTCTCTTTGTAAAGTCTACAAGTGGATATTTTGAGCCCTTGGAGGCATTCTTTGGAAAAGGGAATGTCTTCACATAAAAGGCAGACAGAAGTGTTCTCAGAAACTGCTTTGTGATGTCTGTGTTCAACTCACAGAGTTTAACATTTCCTTTGAGAGAGCGGTTTAGTAACACTCTCTTTGTAGAATTTGGAAGTGTATACTAAGAGCGCTTTGAGGCCTATGGTAGAAAAGGAAATATCTTTCCATAAAAGCTAGACAGAAGCAATCTCAGAAACTCCTTTGTGATGTCTGCATTCAACTCACCGAGTGGAATATTCCTCTTGATAGAGCAGTTTGGAAACACTCTTTCTGTAGAATCAGCTTGTTTGTATTTGGACCTCCTTGAGGCCTTCGTTGGAAACGGGTTTTCATCTTATAAACCCAGACAGAAGAATTCTCAGAGTCTTCTTTGTGATGTGTGCTTTCAACTCACCGAGATAAAGATTTCTCTTGATAGAGCAATTTGGAAACACTCTTTTTGTAGAATTTGCAAGGGTACATTGAGAGCGCTTTCAGGCCTATGGTAGAAAAGGGAATATCTTTCCATAAAAGGTAGACAGAAGCAATCTCAGAAACTACTTTGTGATGTGTGCATTCAACTCACCGAGTGCAACATTCCTCTTGATAGAGCAGTTTGGAAACATTGTTTCTGTAGAATCTGCAAGTGGATATTTGGACCTCTTTGAGGCCTTCGTTGGAAACGGGATTTCTTCCTATAAACCCAGACAGAAGAATTCTCAGAGACTTCTTTGTGATGTGTGAATTCAACTCACAGTGTGGATCCTTCCTTTTGATAGAGCAGTTTTGAAACACTGTTTTTGTAGTATTTCCAAGCGGATATTTGGAACGCCTTGAAGCGTATGGTAGAAAAGGAAATATCTTCCCATAAAACCTAGACAGAACCCATCTCAGAAACGACTTTGTGATGTCTGCATTCAACTCACAGAGTTCAACATTTCTCTTGATAGAGCAGTTTTGAAACCCTCTTTCTGAAGGATCTGCAAGTGGATATTTGGAACTCCTTTGGGTCTTCGTTGGAAACGGGATTTCTTCGTATAAATCCAGACAGAAGAATTCTCCGAAACTTCTTTGGTTGTGTGCATTCAAGTCACAGAGTGGAACCTTCCTTTGGATAGAGCAGTTTGAAACGCTGTGGTTGTAGTATTTCCAAGCGGATATTAGAGCGCCTTGAAGCCTATGGTAGAAAAGGAAATATCTTCCCATAAAACCTAGACGGAAGCAATCTCAGAAACTACTGTGTGATGGCTGCATTCCACACACACGGTGGAACATTTCTCTTGATAGAGCAGTTTTGAAACACTCTTTCTGTAGAATCTGCAAGTGGATAATTGGACCGCCTTGAGGCCTTCGTTGGAAACGGGATTTCTTCATGTTACTCTAGACAGAAGAATTCTCAAACACTGCTATGTGATGTTTGCATTCAAGTCACAGAGTGCAACATTCCTCTTGATAGAGCAGTTGGGAAACACTCCTTTTGTAGAATTTGCAATGGGATATTTGGACTTCTTTGAGGCCTTCGTTGGAAACGGGATTTCTTCGTATGAATCTAGACAGAAGAATTCTCAGAAACTTCCTTGTGATGTGTGCATTCAACTCAGCGAGTGGCACCTTCCTTTGGATACAGCAGTTTTGAAACCCTGTTTTTGTACTATTTCCAAGCGGATATTTAGAGCGCCTTGAAGCCTATGCTAGAAATGGAAATATCTCCCCATAAAACCAAGACAGAAGCAATCTCAGAAACTAATGTGTGATGGCTGCATTCCACACACACGGTGGACCATTTCTCTTGATAGAGCAGTTTTGAAACACTCTTTCTGTAGAATCTGCAAGTGGATAATTGGACCTCCTAGAGGCCTTCGTTGGAAACGGGATTTCTTCATCTAAACCTACAGAGAAGAATTCTCAGTAACTTCTTCGGATGTGTGCATTCGACTCACAGAATGGAACATTCCCTTTGATAGAGCAGTTTTGAGACACCGTTTTTGTAGAATTCCCAAGTGGATATTTAGAGCACTTTGAAGTCTCTGCTAGAAAAGGAAACATCTTCATGTAAAAAGTAGATAGATTCGTTCTCAGAAAGTGCTTAGTGACGTGTGCGTTCAACTCACAGAGTTTAACGTTTCTTTTGATAGAGCGTTTCTGAAACACCCTTCTTGTAGTAGCTGCAAGTGGATATTTGGACCTATTTGAGGCCTTCTTTGGAAACGGGATTTCTTCATGTAACTCTAGATTGAAGAATTTTCAGAAACTCCTTTGTGATGTGTGCATTCAATTCAAAGAGTGAAACCTCCCTTTTCACAGAGCAGTTTTGAAACACTGTTTTTGTAGGATTTCCAAGGGGATATTTATAGCGCATTGAGCCTATGGCAGAAAAAGAAACATCTTCCTATAAAAACTAGACAGAATAATTCTCAGAATCTGCTTTGCGATGTGTGCGTTCAACCCACAGAGTAAAACTTTTCTTTTGATAGAGCAGTTTTGAAACACTCTTTTTGTAGTATTTGCATGTGTATATTTAGAGCGCATTGAAGCCCACAGTAGAAAAGGAAATAACTTCACCTAAAACCTAGACAGAAGCAATCTCAGAAACTACTTTGTGATGTGTACATTCAACTCACAGAGTGGAACTTTCCTCTTTATAGAGCAGTGTTGAAACACTCTTTTTGTAGAAACTGCAAGTGGATATTTGGACCTCTTTGAGGCCTTCGTTGGAAACGGGATTTCCTCCTATAACCCTAGACAGAAGAATTTTCAGAAACCTCATTGTGATGTGTGCGTTCATCTCACAGAGTGGAGTCTTCCGTTTGATAGAGAAGTTTTGAAACCCTGTTCTTGTAGGATTTCCAAGTGGATATTTAGACCACTTTGAAGCCTATGATAGAAAAGGAAACATCTTCATGGAAAACATAGATAGAATCATTCTCAGAAACAACTTTGTGATGTGTGCGTTGAACTCACCGTCTTTAACCTTTCTTTTGGTAGAGAAGTTTTGAAACACTCTCTTTGTAAAGTCTACAAGTGGATATTTTGAGCCCTTGGAGGCATTCTTTGGAAAAGGGAATGTCTTCACATAAAAGGCAGACAGAAGTGTTCTCAGAAACTGCTTTGTGATGTCTGTGTTCAACTCACAGAGTTTAACATTTCCTTTGAGAGAGCGGTTTAGTAACACTCTCTTTGTAGAATTTGGAAGTGTATACTAAGAGCGCTTTGAGGCCTATGGTAGAAAAGGAAATATCTTTCCATAAAAGCTAGACAGAAGCAATCTCAGAAACTCCTTTGTGATGTCTGCATTCAACTCACCGAGTGGAACATTCCTCTTGATAGAGCAGTTTGGAAACACTCTTTCTGTAGAATCAGCTTGTTTGTATTTGGACCTCCTTGAGGCCTTCGTTGGAAACGGGTTTTCATCTTATAAACCCAGACAGAAGAATTCTCAGAGTCTTCTTTGTGATGTGTGCTTTCAACTCACCGAGATAAAGATTTCTCTTGATAGAGCAATTTGGAAACACTCTTTTTGTAGAATTTGCAAGGGTACATTGAGAGCGCTTTCAGGCCTATGGTAGAAAAGGGAATATCTTTCCATAAAAGGTAGACAGAAGCAATCTCAGAAACTACTTTGTGATGTGTGCATTCAACTCACCGAGTGCAACATTCCTCTTGATAGAGCAGTTTGGAAACATTGTTTCTGTAGAATCTGCAAGTGGATATATGGACCGCTTTGAGGCCTTCGTTGGAAACGGGATTTCTTCCTATAAACCCAGACAGAAGAATTCTCAGAGATTTCTTTGTGATGTGTGAATTCAACTCACAGTGTGGATCCTTCCTTTTGATAGAGCAGTTTTGAAACACCGTTTTTGTAGTATTTCCAAGCGGATATTTGGAACGCCTTGAAGCGTATGGTAGAAAAGGAAATATCTTCCCATAAAACCTAGACAGAACCCATCTCAGAAACGACTTTGTGATGTCTGCATTCAACTCGCAGAGTTGAACATTTCTCTTGATAGAGCAGTTTTGAAACCCTCTTTCTGAAGGATCTGCAAGTGGATATTTGGAACTCCTTTGGGTCTTCGTTGGAAACGGGATTTCTTCGTATAAATCCAGACAGAAGAATTCTCCGAAACTTCTTTGGTTGTGTGCATTCAAGTCACAGAGTGGAACCTTCCTTTGGATAGAGCAGTTTGAAACGCTGTGGTTGTAGTATTTCCAAGCGGATATTAGAGCGCCTTGAAGCCTATGGTAGAAAAGGAAATATCTTCCCATAAAACCAGACGGAAGCAATCTCAGAAACTACTGTGTGATGGCTGCATTCCACACACACGGTGGAACATTTCTCTTGATAGAGCAGTTTTGAAACACTCTTTCTGTAGAATCTGCAAGTGGATAATTGGACCGCCTTGAGGCCTTCGTTGGAAACGGGATTTCTTCATGTTACTCTAGACAGAAGAATTCTCAAACACTGCTATGTGATGTTTGCATTCAAGTCACAGAGTGCAACATTCCTCTTGATAGAGCAGTTGGGAAACACTCCTTTTGTAGAATTTGCAATGGGATATTTGGACTTCTTTGAGGCCTTCGTTGGAAACGGGATTTCTTCGTATGAATCTAGACAGAAGAATTCTCAGAAACTTCCTTGTGATGTGTGCATTCAACTCAGCGAGTGGCACCTTCCTTTGGATACAGCAGTTTTGAAACACTGTTTTTGTAGTATTTCCAAGCGGATATTTAGAGCGCCTTGAAGCCTATGCTAGAAATGGAAATATCTCCCCATAAAACCAAGACAGAAGCAATCTCAGAAACTAATGTGTGATGGCTGCATTCCACACACACGGTGGACCATTTCTCTTGATAGAGCAGTTTTGAAACACTCTTTCTGTAGAATCTGCAAGTGGATAATTGGACCTCCTAGAGGCCTTCGTTGGAAACGGGATTTCTTCATCTAAACCTACAGAGAAGAATTCTCAGTAACTTCTTCGGATGTGTGCATTCGACTCACAGAATGGAACATTCCCTTTGATAGAGCAGTTTTGAGACACCGTTTTTGTAGAATTCCCAAGTGGATATTTAGAGCACTTTGAAGTCTCTGCTAGAAAAGGAAACATCTTCATGTAAAAAGTAGATAGAATCGTTCTCAGAAAGTGCTTAGTGACGTGTGTGTTCAACTCACAGAGTTTAACGGTTTCTTTTGATAGAGCGTTTCTGAAACACCCTTCTTGTAGTAGCTGCAAGTGGATATTTGGACCTATTTGAGGCCTTCTTTGGAAACGGGATTTCTTCATGTAACTCTAGTTTGAAGAATTTTCAGAAACTCCTTTGTGATGTGTGCATTCAATTCAAAGAGTGAAACCTCCCTTTTCACAGAGCAGTTTTGAAACACTGTTTTTGTAGGATTTCCAAGGGGATATTTATAGCGCATTGAGCCTACGGCAGAAAAAGAAACATCTTCCTATAAAAACTAGACAGAATAATTCTCAGAATCTGCTTTGCGATGTGTGCGTTCAACCCACAGAGTAAAACTTTTCTTTTGATAGAGCAGTTTTGAAACACTCTTTTTGTAGTATTTGCATGTGTATATTTAGAGCGCATTGAAGCCCAAAGTAGAAAAGGAAATAACTTCACCTAAAACCTAGACAGAAGCAATCTCAGAAACTACTTTGTGATGTGTACATTCAACTCACAGAGTGGAACTTTTCTCTTTATAGAGCAGTGTTGAAACACTCTTTTTGTAGAAACTGCAAGTGGATATTTGGACCTCTTTGAGGCCTTCGTTGGAAACGGGATTTCTTCCTATAACCCTAGACAGAAGAATTTTCAGAAACCTCATTGTGATGTGTGCGTTCATCTCACAGAGTGGAGTCTTCCGTTTGATAGAGAAGTTTTGAAACCCTGTTCTTGTAGGATTTCCAAGTGGATATTTAGACCACTTTGAAGCCTATGATAGAAAAGGAAACATCTTCATGGAAAACATAGATAGAATCATTCTCAGAAACAACTTTGTGATGTGTGCGTTGAACTCACCGTCTTTAACCTTTCTTTTGGTAGAGAAGTTTTGAAACACTCTCTTTGTAAAGTCTACAAGTGGATATTTTGAGCCCTTGGAGGCATTCTTTGGAAAAGGGAATGTCTTCACATAAAAGGCAGACAGAAGTGTTCTCAGAAACTGCTTTGTGATGTCTGTGTTCAACTCACAGAGTTTAACATTTCCTTTGAGAGAGCGGTTTAGTAACACTCTCTTTGTAGAATTTGGAAGTGTATACTAAGAGCGCTTTGAGGCCTATGGTAGAAAAGGAAATATCTTTCCATAAAAGCTAGACAGAAGCAATCTCAGAAACTCCTTTGTGATGTCTGCATTCAACTCACCGAGTGGAACATTCCTCTTGATAGAGCAGTTTGGAAACACTCTTTCTGTAGAATCAGCTTGTTTGTATTTGGACCTCCTTGAGGCCTTCGTTGGAAACGGGTTTTCATCTTATAAACCCAGACAGAAGAATTCTCAGAGTCTTCTTTGTGATGTGTGCTTTCAACTCACCGAGATAAAGATTTCTCTTGATAGAGCAATTTGGAAACACTCTTTTTGTAGAATTTGCAAGGGTACATTGAGAGTGCTTTCAGGCCTATGGTAGAAAAGGGAATATCTTTCCATAAAAGGTAGACAGAAGCAATCTCAGAAACTACTTTGTGATGTGTGCATTCAACTCACCGAGTGCAACATTCCTCTTGACCGAGCAGTTTGGAAACATTGTTTCTGTAGAATCTGCAAGTGGATATTTGGACCTCTTTGAGGCCTTCGTTGGAAACGGGATTTCTTCCTATAAACCCAGACAGAAGAATTCTCAGAGATTTCTTTGTGATGTGTGAATTCAACTCACAAGTGTGGATCCTTCCTTTTGATAGAGCAGTTTTGAAACACTGTTTTTGTAGTATTTCCAAGCGGATATTTGGAACGCCTTGAAGCGTATGGTAGAAAAGGAAATATCTTCCCATAAAACCTAGACAGAACCCATCTCAGAAACGACTTTGTGATGTCTGCATTCAACTCACAGAGTTGAACATTTCTCTTGATAGAGCAGTTTTGAAACCCTCTTTCTGAAGGATCTGCAAGTGGATATTTGGAACTCCTTTGGGTCTTCGTTGGAAACGGGATTTCTTCGTATAAATCCAGACAGAAGAATTCTCCGAAACTTCTTTGGTTGTGTGCATTCAAGTCACAGAGTGGAACCTTCCTTTGGATAGAGCAGTTTGAAACGCTGTGGTTGTAGTATTTCCAAGCGGATATTAGAGCGCCTTGAAGCCTATGGTAGAAAAGGAAATATCTTCCCATAAAACCTAGACGGAAGCAATCTCAGAAACTACTGTGTGATGGCTGCATTCCACACACACGGTGGAACATTTCTCTTGATAGAGCAGTTTTGAAACACTCTTTCTGTAGAATCTGCAAGTGGATAATTGGACCGCCTTGAGGCCTTCGTTGGAAACGGGATTTCTTCATGTTACTCTAGACAGAAGAATTCTCAAACACTGCTATGTGATGTTTGCATTCAAGTCACAGAGTGCAACATTCCTCTTGATAGAGCAGTTGGGAAACACTCCTTTTGTAGAATTTGCAATGGGATATTTGGACTTCTTTGAGGCCTTCGTTGGAAACGGGATTTCTTCGTATGAATCTAGACAGAAGAATTCTCAGAAACTTCCTTGTGATGTGTGCATTCAACTCAGCGAGTGGCACCTTCCTTTGGATACAGCAGTTTTGAAACACTGTTTTTGTACTATTTCCAAGCGGATATTTAGAGCGCCTTGAAGCCTATGCTAGAAATGGAAATATCTCCCCATAAAACCAAGACAGAAGCAATCTCAGAAACTAATGTGTGATGGCTGCATTCCACACACACGGTGGACCATTTCTCTTGATAGAGCAGTTTTGAAACACTCTTTCTGTAGAATCTGCAAGTGGATAATTGGACCTCCTAGAGGCCTTCGTTGGAAACGGGATTTCTTCATCTGAACCTACAGAGAAGAATTCTCAGTAACTTCTTCGGATGTGTGCATTCGACTCACAGAATGGAACATTCCGTTTGATAGAGCAGTTTTGAGACACCGTTTTTGTAGAATTCCCAAGTGGATATTTAGAGCACTTTGAAGTCTCTGCTAGAAAAGGAAACATCTTCATGTAAAAAGTAGATAGAATCGTTCTCAGAAAGTGCTTAGTGACGTGTGCGTTCAACTCACAGAGTTTAACGTTTCTTTTGATAGAGCGTTTCTGAAACACCCTTCTTGTAGTAGCTGCAAGTGGATATTTGGACCTATTTGAGGCCTTCTTTGGAAACGGGATTTCTTCATGTAACTCTAGTTTGAAGAATTTTCAGAAACTCCTTTGTGATGTGTGCATTCAATTCAAAGAGTGAAACATCCCTTTTCACAGAGCAGTTTTGAAACACTGTTTTTGTAGGATTTCCAAGGGGATATTTATAGCGCATTGAGCCTACGGCAGAAAAAGAAACATCTTCCTATAAAAACTAGACAGAATAATTCTCAGAATCTGCTTTGCGATGTGTGCGTTCAACCCACAGAGTAAAACTTTTCTTTTGATAGAGCAGTTTTGAAACACTCTTTTTGTAGTATTTGCATGTGTATATTTAGAGCGCATTGAAGCCCACAGTAGAAAAGGAAATAACTTCACCTAAAACCTAGACAGAAGCAATCTCAGAAACTACTTTGTGATGTGTACATTCAACTCACAGAGTGGAACTTTCCTCTTTATAGAGCAGTGTTGAAACACTCTTTTTGTAGAAACTGCAAGTGGATATTTGGACCTCTTTGAGGCCTTCGTTGGAAACGGGATTTCTTCCTATAACCCTAGACAGAAGAATTTTCAGAAACCTCATTGTGATGTGTGCGTTCATCTCACAGAGTGGAGTCTTCCGTTTGATAGAGAAGTTTTGAAACCCTGTTCTTGTAGGATTTCCAAGTGGATATTTAGACCACTTTGAAGCCTATGATAGAAAAGGAAACATCTTCATGGAAAACATAGATAGAATCATTCTCAGAAACAACTTTGTGATGTGTGCGTTGAACTCACCGTCTTTAACCTTTCTTTTGGTAGAGAAGTTTTGAAACACTCACTTTGTAAAGTCTACAAGTGGATATTTTGAGCCCTTGGAGGCATTCTTTGGAAAAGGGAATGTCTTCACATAAAAGGCAGACAGAAGTGTTCTCAGAAACTGCTTTGTGATGTCTGTGTTCAACTCACAGAGTTTAACATTTCCTTTGAGAGAGCGGTTTAGTAACACTCTCTTTGTAGAATTTGGAAGTGTATACTAAGAGCGCTTTGAGGCCTATGGTAGAAAAGGAAATATCTTTCCATAAAAGCTAGACAGAAGCAATCTCAGAAACTCCTTTGTGATGTCTGCATTCAACTCACCGAGTGGAACATTCCTCTTGATAGAGCAGTTTGGAAACACTCTTTCTGTAGAATCAGCTTGTTTGTATTTGGACCTCCTTGAGGCCTTCGTTGGAAACGGGTTTTCATCTTATAAACCCAGACAGAAGAATTCTCAGAGTCTTCTTTGTGATGTGTGCTTTCAACTCACCGAGATAAAGATTTCTCTTGATAGAGCAATTTGGAAACAATCTTTTTGTAGAATTTGCAAGGGTACATTGAGAGCGCTTTCAGGCCTATGGTAGAAAAGGGAATATCTTTCCATAAAAGGTAGACAGAAGCAATCTCAGAAACTACTTTGTGATGTGTGCATTCAACTCACCGAGTGCAACATTCCTCTTGATAGAGCAGTTTGGAAACATTGTTTCTGTAGAATCTGCAAGTGGATATATGGACCGCTTTGAGGCCTTCGTTGGAAACGGGATTTCTTCCTATAAACCCAGACAGAAGAATTCTCAGAGATTTCTTTGTGATGTGTGAATTCAACTCACAGTGTGGATCCTTCCTTTTGATAGAGCAGTTTTGAAACACTGTTTTTGTAGTATTTCCAAGCGGATATTTGGAACGCCTTGAAGCGTATGGTAGAAAAGGAAATATCTTCCCATGAAACCTAGACAGAACCCATCTCAGAAACGACTTTGTGATGTCTGCATTCAACTCACAGAGTTGAACATTTCTCTTGATAGAGCAGTTTTGAAACCCTCTTTCTGAAGGATCTGCAAGTGGATATTTGGAACTCCTTTGGGTCTTCGTTGGAAACGGGATTTCTTCGTATAAATCCAGACAGAAGAATTCTCCGAAACTTCTTTGGTTGTGTGCATTCAAGTCACAGAGTGGAACCTTCCTTTGGATAGAGCAGTTTGAAACGCTGTGGTTGTAGTATTTCCAAGCGGATATTAGAGCGCCTTGAAGCCTATGGTAGAAAAGGAAATATCTTCCCATAAAACCTAGACGGAAGCAATCTCAGAAACTACTGTGTGATGGCTGCATTCCACACACACGGTGGAACATTTCTCTTGATAGAGCAGTTTTGAAACACTCTTTCTGTAGAATCTGCAAGTGGATAATTGGACCGCCTTGAGGCCTTCGTTGGAAACGGGATTTCTTCATGTTACTCTAGACAGAAGAATTCTCAAACACTGCTATGTGATGTTTGCATGCAAGTCACAGAGTGCAACATTCCTCTTGATAGAGCAGTTGGGAAACACTCCTTTTGTAGAATTTGCAATGGGATATTTGGACTTCTTTGAGGCCTTCGTTGGAAACGGGATTTCTTCGTATGAATCTAGACAGAAGAATTCTCAGAAACTTCCTTGTGATGTGTGCATTCAACTCAGCGAGCGGCACCTTCCTTTGGATACTGCAGTTTTGAAACACAGTTTTTGTAGTATTTCCAAGCGGATATTTAGAGCGCCTTGAAGCCTATGCTAGAAATGGAAATATCTCCCCATAAAACCAAGACAGAAGCAATCTCAGAAACTAATGTGTGATGGCTGCATTCCACACACACGGTGGACCATTTCTCTTGATAGAGCAGTTTTGAAACACTCTTTCTGTAGAATCTGCAAGTGGATAATTGGACCTCCTAGAGGCCTTCGTTGGAAATGGGATTTCTTCATCTAAACCTACAGAGAAGAATTCTCAGTAACTTCTTCGGATGTGTGCATTCGACTCACAGAATGGAACATTCCCTTTGATAGAGCAGTTTTGAGACACCGTTTTTGTAGAATTCCCAAGTGGATATTTAGAGCACTTTGAAGTCTCTGCTAGAAAAGGAAACATCTTCATGTAAAAAGTAGATAGAATCGTTCTCAGAAAGTGCTTAGTGACGTGTGTGTTCAACTCACAGAGTTTAACGTTTCTTTTGATAGAGCGTTTCTGAAACACCCTTCTTGTAGTAGCTGCAAGTGGATATTTGGACCTATTTGAGGCCTTCTTTGGAAACGGGATTTCTTCATGTAACTCTAGTTTGAAGAATTTTCAGAAACTCCTTTGTGATGTGTGCATTCAATTCAAAGAGTGAAACCTCCCTTTTCACAGAGCAGTTTTGAAACACTGTTTTTGTAGGATTTCCAAGGGGATATATATAGCGCATTGAGCCTACGGCAGAAAAAGAAACATCTTCCTATAAAAACTAGACAGAATAATTCTCAGAATCTGCTTTGCGATGTGTGCGTTCAACTCACAGAGTAAAACTTTTCTTTTGATAGAGCAGTTTTGAAACACTCTTTTTGTAGTATTTGCATGTGTATATTTAGAGCGCATTGAAGCCCACAGTAGAAAAGGAAATAACTTCACCTAAAACCTAGACAGAAGCAATCTCAGAAACTACTTTGTGATGTGTACATTCAACTCACAGAGTGGAACTTTTCTCTTTATAGAGCAGTGTTGAAACACTCTTTTTGTAGAAACTGCAAGTGGATATTTGGACCTCTTTGAGGCCTTCGTTGGAAACGGGATTTCTTCCTATAACCCTAGACAGAAGAATTTTCAGAAACCTCATTGTGATGTGTGCGTTCATCTCACAGAGTGGAGTCTTCCGTTTGATAGAGAAGTTTTGAAACCCTGTTCTTGTAGGATTTCCAAGTGGATATTTAGACCACTTTGAAGCCTATGATAGAAAAGGAAACATCTTCATGGAAAACATAGATAGAATCATTCTCAGAAACAACTTTGTGATGTGTGCGTTGAACTCACCGTCTTTAACCTTTCTTTTGGTAGAGAAGTTTTGAAACACTCTCTTTGTAAAGTCTACAAGTGGATATTTTGAGCCCTTGGAGGCATTCTTTGGAAAAGGGAATGTCTTCACATAAAAGGCAGACAGAAGTGTTCTCAGAAACTGCTTTGTGATGTCTGTGTTCAACTCACAGAGTTTAACATTTCCTTTGAGAGAGCGGTTTAGTAACACTCTCTTTGTAGAATTTGGAAGTGTATACTAAGAGCGCTTTGAGGCCTATGGTAGAAAAGGAAATATCTTTCCATAAAAGCTAGACAGAAGCAATCCCAGAAACTCCTTTGTGATGTCTGCATTCAACTCACCGAGTGGAACATTCCTCTTGATAGAGCTGTTTGAAAACACTCTTTCTGTAGAATCAGCTTGTTTGTATTTGGACCTCCTTGAGGCCTTCGTTGGAAACGGGTTTTCATCTTATAAACCCAGACAGAAGAATTCTCAGAGTCTTCTTTGTGATGTGTGCTTTCAACTCACCGAGATAAAGATTTCTCTTGATAGAGCAATTTGGAAACACTCTTTTTGTAGAATTTGCAAGGGTACATTGAGAGCGCTTTCAGGCCTATGGTAGAAAAGGGAATATCTTTCCATAAAAGGTAGACAGAAGCAATCTCAGAAACTACTTTGTGATGTGTGCATTCAACTCACCGAGTGCAACATTCCTCTTGACCGAGCAGTTTGGAAACATTGTTTCTGTAGAATCTGCAAGTGGATATTTGGACCTCTTTGAGGCCTTCGTTGGAAACGGGATTTCTTCCTATAAACCCAGACAGAAGAATTCTCAGAGACTTCTTTGTGATGTGTGAATTCAACTCACAGTGTGGATCCTTCCTTTTGATAGAGCAGTTTTGAAACACTGTTTTTGTAGTATTTCCAAGCGGATATTTGGAACGCCTTGAAGCGTATGGTAGAAAAGGAAATATCTTCCCATAAAACCTAGACAGAACCAATCTCAGAAACGACTTTGTGATGTCTGCATTCAACTCACAGAGTTGAACATTTCTCTTGATAGAGCAGTTTTGAAACCCTCTTTCTGAAGGATCTGCAAGTGGATATTTGGAACTCCTTTGGGTCTTCGTTGGAAACGGGATTTCTTCGTATAAATCTAGACAGAAGAATTCTCCGAAACTTCTTTGGTTGTGTGCATTCAAGTCACAGAGTGGAACCTTCCTTTGGATAGAGCAGTTTGAAACGCTGTGGTTGTAGTATTTCCAAGCGGATATTAGAGCGCCTTGAGGCCTATGGTAGAAAAGGAAATATCTTCCCATAAAACCTAGACGGAAGCAATCTCAGAAACTACTGTGTGATGGCTGCATTCCACACACACGGTGGAACATTTCTCTTGATAGAGCAGTTTTGAAACACTCTTTCTGTAGAATCTGCAAGTGGATAATTGGACCGCCTTGAGGCCTTCGTTGGAAACGGGATTTCTTCATGTTACTCTAGACAGAAGAATTCTCAAACACTGCTATGTGATGTTTGCATTCAAGTCACAGAGTGCAACATTCCTCTTGATAGAGCAGTTGGGAAACACTCCTTTTGTAGAATTTGCAATGGGATATTTGGACTTCTTTGAGGCCTTCGTTGGAAACGGGATTTCTTCGTATGAATCTAGACAGAAGAATTCTCAGAAACTTCCTTGTGATGTGTGCATTCAACTCAGCGAGTGGCACCTTCCTTTGGATACAGCAGTTTTGAAACACTGTTTTTGTAGTATTTCCAAGCGGATATTTAGAGCGCCTTGAAGCCTATGCTAGAAATGGAAATATCTCCCCATAAAACCAAGACAGAAGCAATCTCAGAAACTAATGTGTGATGGCTGCATTCCACACACACGGTGGACCATTTCTCTTGATAGAGCAGTTTTGAAACACTCTTTCTGTAGAATCTGCAAGTGGATAATTGGACCTCCTAGAGGCCTTCGTTGGAAACGGGATTTCTTCATCTAAACCTACAGAGAAGAATTCTCAGTAACTTCTTCGGATGTGTGCATTCGACTCACAGAATGGAACATTCCCTTTGATAGAGCAGTTTTGAGACACCGTTTTTGTAGAATTCCCAAGTGGATATTTAGAGCACTTTGAAGTCTCTGCTAGAAAAGGAAACATCTTCATGTAAAAAGTAGATAGAATCGTTCTCAGAAAGTGCTTAGTGACGTGTGCGTTCAACTCACAGAGTTTAACGTTTCTTTTGATAGAGCGTTTCTGAAACACCCTTCTTGTAGTAGCTGCAAGTGGATATTTGGACCTATTTGAGGCCTTCTTTGGAAACGGGATTTCTTCATGTAACTCTAGATTGAAGAATTTTCAGAAACTCCTTTGTGAAGTGTGCATTCAATTCAAAGAGTGAAACCTCCCTTTTCACAGAGCAGTTTTGAAACACTGTTTTTGTAGGATTTCCAAGGGGATATTTATAGCGCATTGATCCTATGGCAGAAAAAGAAACATCTTCCTATAAAAACTAGACAGAATAATTCTCAGAATCTGCTTTGCGATGTGTGCGTTCAACCCACAGAGTAAAACTTTTCTTTTGATAGAGCAGTTTTGAAACACTCTTTTTGTAGTATTTGCATGTGTATATTTAGAGCGCATTGAAGCACACAGTAGAAAAGGAAATAACTTCACCTAAAACCTAGACAGAAGCAATCTCAGAAACTATTTTGTGATGTGTACATTCAACTCACAGAGTGGAACTTTCCTCTTTATAGAGCAGTGTTGAAACACTCTTTTTGTAGAAACTGCAAGTGGATATTTGGACCTCTTTGAGGCCTTCGTTGGAAACGGGATTTCTTCCTATAACCCTAGACAGAAGAATTTTCAGAAACCTCATTGTGATGTGTGCGTTCATCTCACAGAGTGGAGTCTTCCGTTTGATAGAGAAGTTTTGAAACCCTGTTCTTGTAGGATTTCCAAGTGGATATTTAGACCACTTTGAAGCCTATGATAGAAAAGGAAACATCTTCATGGGAAAACATAGATAGAATCATTCTCAGAAACAACTTTGTGATGTGTGCGTTGAACTCACCGTCTTTAACCTTTCTTTTGGTAGAGAAGTTTTGAAACACTCTCTTTGTAAAGTCTACAAGTGGATATTTTGAGCCCTTGGAGGCATTCTTTGGAAAAGGGAATGTCTTCACATAAAAGGCAGACAGAAGTGTTCTCAGAAACTGCTTTGTGATGTCTGTGTTCAACTCACAGAGTTTAACATTTCCTTTGAGAGAGCGGTTTAGTGACACTCTCTTTGTAGAATTTGGAAGTGTATACTAAGAGCGCTTTGAGGCCTATGGTAGAAAAGGAAATATCTTTCCATAAAAGCTAGACAGAAGCAATCTCAGAAACTCCTTTGTGATGTCTGCATTCAACTCACCGAGTGGAACATTCCTCTTGATAGAGCAGTTTGGAAACACTCTTTCTGTAGAATCAGCTTGTTTGTATTTGGACCTCCTTGAGGCCTTCGTTGGAAACGGGTTTTCATCTTATAAACCCAGACAGAAGAATTCTCAGAGTCTTCTTTGTGATGTGTGCTTTCAACTCACCGAGATAAAGATTTCTCTTGATAGAGCAATTTGGAAACACTCTTTTTGTAGAATTTGCAAGGGTACATTGAGAGCGCTTTCAGGCCTATGGTAGAAAAGGGAATATCTTTCCATAAAAGGTAGACAGAAGCAATCTCAGAAACTACTTTGTGATGTGTGCATTCAACTCACCGAGTGCAACATTCCTCTTGACCGAGCAGTTTGGAAACATTGTTTCTGTAGAATCTGCAAGTGGATATTTGGACCTCTTTGAGGCCTTCGTTGGAAACGGGATTTCTTCCTATAAACCCAGACAGAAGAATTCTCAGAGACTTCTTTGTGATGTGTGAATTCAACTCACAGTGTGGATCCTTCCTTTTGATAGAGCAGTTTTGAAACACTGTTTTTGTAGTATTTCCAAGCGGATATTTGGAACGCCTTGAAGCGTATGGTAGAAAAGGAAATATCTTCCCATAAAACCTAGACAGAACCAATCTCAGAAACGACTTTGTGATGTCTGCATTGAACTCACAGAGTTGAACATTTCTCTTGATAGAGCAGTTTTGAAACCCTCTTTCTGAAGGATCTGCAAGTGGATATTTGGAACTCCTTTGGGTCTTCGTTGGAAACGGGATTTCTTCGTATAAATCTAGACAGAAGAATTCTCCGAAACTTCTTTGGTTGTGTGCATTCAAGTCACAGAGTGGAACCTTCCTTTGGATAGAGCAGTTTGAAACGCTGTGGTTGTAGTATTTCCAAGCGGATATTAGAGCGCCTTGAGGCCTATGGTAGAAAAGGAAATATCTTCCCATAAAACCTAGACGGAAGCAATCTCAGAAACTACTGTGTGATGGCTGCATTCCACACACACGGTGGAACATTTCTCTTGATAGAGCAGTTTTGAAACACTCTTTCTGTAGAATCTGCAAGTGGATAATTGGACCGCCTTGAGGCCTTCGTTGGAAACGGGATTTCTTCATGTTACTCTAGACAGAAGAATTCTCAAACACTGCTATGTGATGTTTGCATGCAAGTCACAGAGTGCAACATTCCTCTTGATAGAGCAGTTGGGAAACACTCCTTTTGTAGAATTTGCAATGGGATATTTGGACTTCTTTGAGGCCTTCGTTGGAAACGGGATTTCTTCGTATGAATCTAGACAGAAAGAATTCTCAGAAACTTCCTTGTGATGTGTGCATTCAACTCAGCGAGTGGCACCTTCCTTTGGATACAGCAGTTTTGAAACACTGTTTTTGTACTATTTCCAAGCGGATATTTAGAGCGCCTTGAAGCCTATGCTAGAAATGGAAATATCTCCCCATAAAACCAAGGACAGAAGCAATCTCAGAAACTAATGTGTGATGGCTGCATTCCACACACACGGTGGACCATTTCTCTTGATAGGGCAGTTTTGAAACACTCTTTCTGTAGAATCTGCAAGTGGATAATTGGACCTCCTAGAGGCCTTCGTTGGAAACGGGATTTCTTCATCTAAACCTACAGAGAAGAATTCTCAGTAACTTCTTCGGATGTGTGCATTCGACTCACAGAATGGAACATTCCGTTTGATAGAGCAGTTTTGAGACACCGTTTTTGTAGAATTCCCAAGTGGATATTTAGAGCACTTTGAAGTCTCTGCTAGAAAAGGAAACATCTTCATGTAAAAAGTAGATAGAATCGTTCTCAGAAAGTGCTTAGTGACGTGTGCGTTCAACTCACAGAGTTTAACGTTTCTTTTGATAGAGCGTTTCTGAAACACCCTTCTTGTAGTAGCTGCAAGTGGATATTTGGACCTATTTGAGGCCTTCTTTGGAAACGGGATTTCTTCATGTAACTCTAGTTTGAAGAATTTTCAGAAACTCCTTTGTGATGTGTGCATTCAATTCAAAGAGTGAAACCTCCCTTTTCACAGAGCAGTTTTGAAACACTGTTTTTGCAGGATTTCCAAGGGGATATTTATAGCGCATTGAGCCTACGGCAGAAAAAGAAACATCTTCCTATAAAAACTAGACAGAATAATTCTCAGAATCTGCTTTGCGATGTGTGCGTTCAACCCACAGAGTAAAACTTTTCTTTTGATAGAGCAGTTTTGAAACACTCTTTTTGTAGTATTTGCATGTGTATATTTAGAGCGCATTGAAGCCCACAGTAGAAAAGGAAATAACTTCACCTAAAACCTAGACAGAAGCAATCTCAGAAACTACTTTGTGATGTGTACATTCAACTCACAGAGTGGAACTTTCCTCTTTATAGAGCAGTGTTGAAACACTCTTTTTGTAGAAACTGCAAGTGGATATTTGGACCTCTTTGAGGCCTTCGTTGGAAACGGGATTTCTTCCTATAACCCTAGACAGAAGAATTTTCAGAAACCTCATTGTGATGTGTGCGTTCATCTCACAGAGTGGAGTGTTCCGTTTGATAGAGAAGTTTTGAAACCCTGTTCTTGTAGGATTTCCAAGTGGATATTTAGACCACTTTGAAGCCTATGATAGAAAAGGAAACATCTTCATGGAAAACATAGATAGAATCATTCTCAGAAACAACTTTGTGATGTGTGCGTTGAACTCACCGTCTTTAACCTTTCTTTTGGTAGAGAAGTTTTGAAACACTCTCTTTGTAAAGTCTACAAGTGGATATTTTGAGCCCTTGGAGGCATTCTTTGGAAAAGGGAATGTCTTCACATAAAAGGCAGACAGAAGTGTTCTCAGAAACTGCTTTGTGATGTCTGTGTTCAACTCACAGAGTTTAACATTTCCTTTGAGAGAGCGGTTTAGTAACACTCTCTTTGTAGAATTTGGAAGTGTATACTAAGAGCGCTTTGAGGCCTATGGTAGAAAAGGAAATATCTTTCCATAAAAGCTAGACAGAAGCAATCTCAGAAACTCCTTTGTGATGTCTGCATTCAACTCACCGAGTGGAACATTCCTCTTGATAGAGCAGTTTGGAAACACTCTTTCTGTAGAATCAGCTTGTTTGTATTTGGACCTCCTTGAGGCCTTCGTTGGAAACGGGTTTTCATCTTATAAACCCAGACAGAAGAATTCTCAGAGTCTTCTTTGTGATGTGTGCTTTCAACTCACCGAGATAAAGATTTCTCTTGATAGAGCAATTTGGAAACACTCTTTTTGTAGAATTTGCAAGGGTACATTGAGAGCGCTTTCAGGCCTATGGTAGAAAAGGGAATATCTTTCCATAAAAGGTAGACAGAAGCAATCTCAGAAACTACTTTGTGATGTGTGCATTCAACTCACCGAGTGCAACATTCCTCTTGATAGAGCAGTTTGGAAACATTGTTTCTGTAGAATCTGCAAGTGGATATATGGACCGCTTTGAGGCCTTCGTTGGAAACGGGATTTCTTCCTATAAACCCAGACAGAAGAATTCTCAGAGATTTCTTTGTGATGTGTGAATTCAACTCACAGTGTGGATCCTTCCTTTTGATAGAGCAGTTTTGAAACACTGTTTTTGTAGTATTTCCAAGCGGATATTTGGAACGCCTTGAAGCGTATGGTAGAAAAGGAAATATCTTCCCATAAAACCTAGACAGAACCCATCTCAGAAACGACTTTGTGATGTCTGCATTCAACTCACAGAGTTGAACATTTCTCTTGATAGAGCAGTTTTGAAACCCTCTTTCTGAAGGAGCTGCAAGTGGATATTTGGAACTCCTTTGGGTCTTCGTTGGAAACGGGATTTCTTCGTATAAATCCAGACAGAAGAATTCTCCGAAACTTCTTTGGTTGTGTGCATTCAAGTCACAGAGTGGAACCTTCCTTTGGATAGAGCAGTTTGAAACGCTGTGGTTGTAGTATTTCCAAGCGGATATTAGAGCGCCTTGAAGCCTATGGTAGAAAAGGAAATATCTTCCCATAAAACCTAGACGGAAGCAATCTCAGAAACTACTGTGTGATGGCTGCATTCCACACACACGGTGGAACATTTCTCTTGATAGAGCAGTTTTGAAACACTCTTTCTGTAGAATCTGCAAGTGGATAATTGGACCGCCTTGAGGCCTTCGTTGGAAACGGGATTTCTTCATGTTACTCTAGACAGAAGAATTCTCAAACACTGCTATGTGATGTTTGCATTCAAGTCACAGAGTGCAACATTCCTCTTGATAGAGCAGTTGGGAAACACTCCTTTTGTAGAATTTGCAATGGGATATTTGGACTTCTTTGAGGCCTTCGTTGGAAACGGGATTTCTTCGTATGAATCTAGACAGAAGAATTCTCAGAAACTTCCTTGTGATGTGTGCATTCAACTCAGCGAGTGGCACCTTCCTTTGGATACAGCAGTTTTGAAACACTGTTTTTGTAGTATTTCCAAGCGGATATTTAGAGCGCCTTGAAGCCTATGCTAGAAATGGAAATATCTCCCCATAAAACCAAGACAGAAGCAATCTCAGAAACTAATGTGTGATGGCTGCATTCCACACACACGGTGGACCATTTCTCTTGATAGAGCAGTTTTGAAACACTCTTTCTGTAGAATCTGCAAGTGGATAATTGGACCTCCTAGAGGCCTTCGTTGGAAACGGGATTTCTTCATCTAAACCTACAGAGAAGAATTCTCAGTAACTTCTTCGGATGTGTGCATTCGACTCACAGAATGGAACATTCCCTTTGATAGAGCAGTTTTGAGACACCGTTTTTGTAGAATTCCCAAGTGGATATTTAGAGCACTTTGAAGTCTCTGCTAGAAAAGGAAACATCTTCATGTAAAAAGTAGATAGAATCGTTCTCAGAAAGTGCTTAGTGACGTGTGCGTTCAACTCACAGAGTTTAACGTTTCTTTTGATAGAGCGTTTCTGAAACACCCTTCTTGTAGTAGCTGCAAGTGGATATTTGGACCTATTTGAGGCCTTCTTTGGAAACGGGATTTCTTCATGTAACTCTAGATTGAAGAATTTTCAGAAACTCCTTTGTGATGTGTGCATTCAATTCAAAGAGTGAAACCTCCCTTTTCACAGAGCAGTTTTGAAACACTGTTTTTGTAGGACTTCCAAGGGGATATTTATAGCGCATTGAGCCTATGGCAGAAAAAGAAACATCTTCCTATAAAAACTAGACAGAATAATTCTCAGAATCTGCTTTGCGATGTGTGCGTTCAACCCACAGAGTAAAACTTTTCTTTTGATAGAGCAGTTTTGAAACACTCTTTTTGTAGTATTTGCATGTGTATATTTAGAGCGCATTGAAGCCCACAGTAGAAAAGGAAATAACTTCACCTAAAACCTAGACAGAAGCAATCTCAGAAACTACTTTGTGATGTGTACATTCAACTCACAGAGTGGAACTTTCCTCTTTATAGAGCAGTGTTGAAACACTCTTTTTGTAGAAACTGCAAGTGGATATTTGGACCTCTTTGAGGCCTTCGTTGGAAACGGGATTTCTTCCTATAACCCTAGACAGAAGAATTTTCAGAAACCTCATTGTGATGTGTGCGTTCATCTCACAGAGTGGAGTCTTCCGTTTGATAGAGAAGTTTTGAAACCCTGTTCTTGTAGGATTTCCAAGTGGATATTTAGACCACTTTGAAGCCTATGATAGAAAAGGAAACATCTTCATGGAAAACATAGATAGAATCATTCTCAGAAACAACTTTGTGATGTGTGCGTTGAACTCACCGTCTTTAACCTTTCTTTTGGTAGAGAAGTTTTGAAACACTCTCTTTGTAAAGTCTACAAGTGGATATTTTGAGCCCTTGGAGGCATTCTTTGGAAAAGGGAATGTCTTCACATAAAAGGCAGACAGAAGTGTTCTCAGAAACTGCTTTGTGATGTCTGTGTTCAACTCACAGAGTTTAACATTTCCTTTGAGAGAGCGGTTTAGTAACACTCTCTTTGTAGAATTTGGAAGTGTATACTAAGAGCGCTTTGAGGCCTATGGTAGAAAAGGAAATATCTTTCCATAAAAGCTAGACAGAAGCAATCTCAGAAACTCCTTTGTGATGTCTGCATTCAACTCACCGAGTGGAACATTCCTCTTGATAGAGCAGTTTGGAAACACTCTTTCTGTAGAATCAGCTTGTTTGTATTTGGACCTCCTTGAGGCCTTCGTTGGAAACGGGTTTTCATCTTATAAACCCAGACAGAAGAATTCTCAGAGTCTTCTTTGTGATGTGTGCTTTCAACTCACCGAGATAAAGATTTCTCTTGATAGAGCAATTTGGAAACACTCTTTTTGTAGAATTTGCAAGGGTACATTGAGAGCGCTTTCAGGCCTATGGTAGAAAAGGGAATATCTTTCCATAAAAGGTAGACAGAAGCAATCTCAGAAACTACTTTGTGATGTGTGCATTCAACTCACCGAGTGCAACATTCCTCTTGACCGAGCAGTTTGGAAACATTGTTTCTGTAGAATCTGCAAGTGGATATTTGGACCTCTTTGAGGCCTTCGTTGGAAACGGGATTTCTTCCTATAAACCCAGACAGAAGAATTCTCAGAGACTTCTTTGTGATGTGTGAATTCAACTCACAGTGTGGATCCTTCCTTTTGATAGAGCAGTTTTGAAACACTGTTTTTGTAGTATTTCCAAGCGGATATTTGGAACGCCTTGAAGCGTATGGTAGAAAAGGAAATATCTTCCCATAAAACCTAGACAGAACCAATCTCAGAAACGACTTTGTGATGTCTGCATTCAACTCACTGAGTTGAACATTTCTCTTGATAGAGCAGTTTTGAAACCCTCTTTCTGAAGGATCTGCAAGTGGATATTTGGAACTCCTTTGGGTCTTCGTTGGAAACGGGATTTCTTCGTATAAATCTAGACAGAAGAATTCTCCGAAACTTCTTTGGTTGTGTGCATTCAAGTCACAGCGTGGAACCTTCCTTTGGATAGAGCAGTTTGAAACGCTGTGGTTGTAGTATTTCCAAGCGGATATTAGAGCGCCTTGAGGCCTATGGTAGAAAAGGAAATATCTTCCCATAAAACCTAGACGGAAGCAATCTCAGAAACTACTGTGTGATGGCTGCATTCCACACACACGGTGGAACATTTCTCTTGATAGAGCAGTTTTGAAACACTCTTTCTGTAGAATCTGCAAGTGGATAATTGGACCGCCTTGAGGCCTTCGTTGGAAACGGGATTTCTTCATGTTACTCTAGATAGAAGAATTCTCAAACACTGCTATGTGATGTTTGCATTCAACTCACAGAGTGCAACATTCCTCTTGATAGAGCAGTTGGGAAACACTCCTTTTGTAGAATTTGCAATGGGATATTTGGACTTCTTTGAGGCCTTCGTTGGAAACGGGATTTCTTCGTATGAATCTAGACAGAAGAATTCTCAGAAACTTCCTTGTGATGTGTGCATTCAACTCAGCGAGTGGCACCTTCCTTTGGATACAGCAGTTTTGAAACACTGTTTTTGTAGTATTTCCAAGCGGATATTTAGAGCGCCTTGAAGCCTATGCTAGAAATGGAAATATCTCCCCATAAAACCAAGACAGAAGCAATCTCAGAAACTAATGTGTGATGGCTGCATTCCACACACACGGTGGACCATTTCTCTTGATAGAGCAGTTTTGAAACACTCTTTCTGTAGAATCTGCAAGTGGATAATTGGACCTCCTAGAGGCCTTCGTTGGAAACGGGATTTCTTCATCTAAACCTACAGAGAAGAATTCTCAGTAACTTCTTCGGATGTGTGCATTCGACTCACAGAATGGAACATTCCCTTTGATAGAGCAGTTTTGAGACACCGTTTTTGTAGAATTCCCAAGTGGATATTTAGAGCACTTTGAAGTCTCTGCTAGAAAAGGAAACATCTTCATGTAAAAAGTAGATAGAATCGTTCTCAGAAAGTGCTTAGTGACGTGTGCGTTCAACTCACAGAGTTTAACGTTTCTTTTGATAGAGCGTTTCTGAAACACCCTTCTTGTAGTAGCTGCAAGTGGATATTTGGACCTATTTGAGGCCTTCTTTGGAAACGGGATTTCTTCATGTAACTACTAGTTTGAAGAATTTTCAGAAACTCCTTTGTGATGTGTGCATTCAATTCAAAGAGTGAAACGTCCCTTTTCACAGAGCAGTTTTGAAACACTGTTTTTGTAGGATTTCCAAGGGGATATTTATAGCGCATTGAGCCTACGGCAGAAAAAGTAACATCTTCCTATAAAAACTAGACAGAATAATTCTCAGAATCTGCTTTGCGATGTGTGCGTTCCACCCACAGAGTAAAACTTTTCTTTTGATAGAGCAGTTTTGAAACACTCTTTTTGTAGTATTTGCATGTGTATATTTAGAGCGCATTGAAGCCCACAGTAGAAAAGGAAATAACTTCACCTAAAACCTAGACAGAAGCAATCTCAGAAACTACTTTGTGATGTGTACATTCAACTCACAGAGTGGAACTTTCCTCTTTATAGAGCAGTGTTGAAACACTCTTTTTGTAGAAACTGCAAGTGGATATTTGGACCTCTTTGAGGCCTTCGTTGGAAACGGGATTTCTTCCTATAACCCTAGACAGAAGAATTTTCAGAAACCTCATTGTGATGTGTGCGTTCATCTCACAGAGTGGAGTCTTCCGTTTGATAGAGAAGTTTTGAAACCCTGTTCTTGTAGGATTTCCAAGTGGATATTTAGACCACTTTGAAGCCTATGATAGAAAAGGAAACATGTTCATGGAAAACATAGATAGAATCATTCTCAGAAACAACTTTGTGATGTGTGCGTTGAACTCACCGTCTTTAAACTTTCTTTTGGTAGAGAAGTATTGAAACACTCTCTTTGTAAAGTCTACAAGTGGATATTTTGAGCCCTTGGAGGCATTCTTTGGAAAAGGGAATGTCTTCACATAAAAGGCAGACAGAAGTGTTCTCAGAAACTGCTTTGTGATGTCTGTGTTCAACTCACAGAGTTTAACATTTCCTTTGAGAGAGCAGTTTAGTAACACTCTCTTTGTAGAATTTGGAAGTGTATACTAAGAGCGCTTTGAGGCCTATGGTAGAAAAGGAAATATCTTTCCATAAAAGCTAGACAGAAGCAATCTCAGAAACTCCTTTGTGATGTCTGCATTCAACTCACCGAGTGGAACATTCCTCTTGATAGAGCAGTTTGGAAACACTCTTTCTGTAGAATCAGGTTTTTTGTATTTGGACCTCCTTGAGGCCTTCGTTGGAAACGGGTTTTCATCTTATAAACCCAGACAGAAGAATTCTCAGAGTCTTCTTTGTGATGTGTGCTTTCAACTCACCGAGATAAAGATTTCTCTTGATAGAGCAATTTGGAAACACTCTTTTTGTAGAATTTGCAAGGGTACATTGAGAGCGCTTTCAGGCCTATGGTAGAAAAGGGAATATCTTTCCATAAAAGGTAGACAGAAGCAATCTCAGAAACTACTTTGTGATGTGTGCATTCAACTCACCGAGTGCAACATTCCTCTTGATAGAGCAGTTTGGAAACATTGTTTCTGTAGAATCTGCAAGTGGATATATGGACCGCTTTGAGGCCTTCGTTGGAAACGGGATTTCTTCCTATAAACCCAGACAGAAGAATTCTCAGAGATTTCTTTGTGATGTGTGAATTCAACTCACAGTGTGGATCCTTCCTTTTGATAGAGCAGTTTTGAAACACTGTTTTTGTAGTATTTCCAAGCGGATATTTGGAACGCCTTGAAGCGTATGGTAGAAAAGGAAATATCTTCCCATAAAACCTAGACAGAACCCATCTCAGAAACGACTTTGTGATGTCTGCATTCAACTCACAGAGTTGAACATTTCTCTTGATAGAGCAGTTTTGAAACCCTCTTTCTGAAGGATCTGCAAGTGGATATTTGGAACTCCTTTTGGTCTTCGTTGGAAACGGGATTTCTTCGTATAAATCCAGACAGAAGAATTCTCCGAAACTTCTTTGGTTGTGTGCATTCAAGTCACAGAGTGGAACCTTCCTTTGGATAGAGCAGTTTGAAACGCTGTGGTTGTAGTATTTCCAAGCGGATATTAGAGCGCCTTGAAGCCTATGGTAGAAAAGGAAATATCTTCCCATAAAACCTAGACGGAAGCAATCTCAGAAACTACTGTGTGATGGCTGCATTCCACACACACGGTGGAACATTTCTCTTGATAGAGCAGTTTTGAAACACTCTTTCTGTAGAATCTGCAAGTGGATAATTGGACCGCCTTGAGGCCTTCGTTGGAAACGGGATTTCTTCATGTTACTCTAGACAGAAGAATTCTCAAACACTGCTATGTGATGTTTGCATGCAAGTCACAGAGTGCAACATTCCTCTTGATAGAGCAGTTGGGAAACACTCCTTTTGTAGAATTTGCAATGGGATATTTGGACTTCTTTGAGGCCTTCGTTGGAAACGGGATTTCTTCGTATGAATCTAGACAGAAGAATTCTCAGAAACTTCCTTGTGATGTGTGTATTCAACTCAGCGAGCGGCACCTTCCTTTGGATACTGCAGTTTTGAAACACTGTTTTTGTAGTATTTCCAAGCGGATATTTAGAGCGCCTTGAAGCCTATGCTAGAAATGGAAATATCTCCCCATAAAACCAAGACAGAAGCAATCTCAGAAACTAATGTGTGATGGCTGCATTCCACACACACGGTGGACCATTTCTCTTGATAGAGCAGTTTTGAAACACTCTTTCTGTAGAATCTGCAAGTGGATAATTGGACCTCCTAGAGGCCTTCGTTGGAAACGGGATTTCTTCATCTAAACCTACAGAGAAGAATTCTCAGTAACTTCTTCGGATGTGTGCATTCGACTCACAGAATGGAACATTCCCTTTGATAGAGCAGTTTTGAGACACCGTTTTTGTAGAATTCCCAAGTGGATATTTAGAGCACTTTGAAGTCTCTGCTAGAAAAGGAAACATCTTCATGTAAAAAGTAGATAGAATCGTTCTCAGAAAGTGCTTAGTGACGTGTGTGTTCAACTCACAGAGTTTAACGTTTCTTTTGATAGAGCGTTTCTGAAACACCCTTCTTGTAGTAGCTGCAAGTGGATATTTGGACCTATTTGAGGCCTTCTTTGGAAACGGGATTTCTTCATGTAACTCTAGTTTGAAGAATTTTCAGAAACTCCTTTGTGATGTGTGCATTCAATTCAAAGAGTGAAACGTCCCTTTTCACAGAGCAGTTTTGAAACACTGTTTTTGTAGGATTTCCAAGGGGATATTTATAGCGCATTGAGCCTACGGCAGAAAAAGAAACATCTTCCTATAAAAACTAGACAGAATAATTCTCAGAATCTGCTTTGCGATGTGTGCGTTCAACTCACAGAGTAAAACTTTTCTTTTGATAGAGCAGTTTTGAAACACTCTTTTTGTAGTATTTGCATGTGTATATTTAGAGCGCATTGAAGCCCACAGTAGAAAAGGAAATAACTTCACCTAAAACCTAGACAGAAGCAATCTCAGAAACTACTTTGTGATGTGTACATTCAACTCACAGAGTGGAACTTTCCTCTTTATAGAGCAGTGTTGAAACACTCTTTTTGTAGAAACTGCAAGTGGATATTTGGACCTCTTTGAGGCCTTCGTTGGAAACGGGATTTCTTCCTATAACCCTAGACAGAAGAATTTTCAGAAACCTCATTGTGATGTGTGCGTTCATCTCACAGAGTGGAGTCTTCCGTTTGATAGAGAAGTTTTGAAACCCTGTTCTTGTAGGATTTCCAAGTGGATATTTAGACCACTTTGAAGCCTATGATAGAAAAGGAAACATCTTCATGGAAAACATAGATAGAATCATTCTCAGAAACAACTTTGTGATGTGTGCGTTGAACTCACTGTCTTTAACCTTTCTTTTGGTAGAGAAGTTTTGAAACACTCTCTTTGTAAAGTCTACAAGTGGATATTTTGAGCCCTTGGAGGCATTCTTTGGAAAAGGGAATGTCTTCACATAAAAGGCAGACAGAAGTGTTCTCAGAAACTGCTTTGTGATGTCTGTGTTCAACTCACAGAGTTTAACATTTCCTTTGAGAGAGCGGTTTAGTAACACTCTCTTTGTAGAATTTGGAAGTGTATACTAAGAGCGTTTTGAGGCCTATGGTAGAAAAGGAAATATCTTTCCATAAAAGCTAGACAGAAAGCAATCTCAGAAACTCCTTTGTGATGTCTGCATTCAACTCACCGAGTGGAACATTCCTCTTGATAGAGCAGTTTGGAAACACTCTTTCTGTAGAATCAGCTTGTTTGTATTTGGACCTCCTTGAGGCCTTCGTTGGAAACGGGTTTTCATCTTATAAACCCAGACAGAGAATTCTCAGAGTCTTCTTTGTGATGTGTGCTTTCAACTCACCGAGATAAAGATTTCTCTTGATAGAGCAATTTGGAAACACTCTTTTTGTAGAATTTGCAAGGGTACATTGAGAGCGCTTTCAGGCCTATGGTAGAAAAGGGAATATCTTTCCATAAAAGGTAGACAGAAGCAATCTCAGAAACTACTTTGTGATGTGTGCATTCAACTCACCGAGTGCAACATTCCTCTTGATAGAGCAGTTTGGAAACATTGTTTCTGTAGAATCTGCAAGTGGATATATGGACCGCTTTGAGGCCTTCGTTGGAAACGGGATTTCTTCCTATAAACCCAGACAGAAGAATTCTCAGAGATTTCTTTGTGATGTGTGAATTCAACTCACAGTGTGGATCCTTCCTTTTGATAGAGCAGTTTTGAAACACTGTTTTTGTAGTATTTCCAAGCGGATATTTGGAACGCCTTGAAGCGTAAGGTAGAAAAGGAAATATCTTCCCATAAAACCTAGACAGAACCCATCTCAGAAACGACTTTGTGATGTCTGCATTCAACTCACAGAGTTGAACATTTCTCTTGATAGAGCAGTTTTGAAACCCTCTTTCTGAAGGAGCTGCAAGTGGATATTTGGAACTCCTTTGGGTCTTCGTTGGAAACGGGATTTCTTCGTATAAATCCAGACAGAAGAATTCTCCGAAACTTCTTTGGTTGTGTGCATTCAAGTCACAGAGTGGAACCTTCCTTTGGATAGAGCAGTTTGAAACGCTGTGGTTGTAGTATTTCCAAGCGGATATTAGAGCGCCTTGAAGCCTATGGTAGAAAAGGAAATATCTTCCCATAAAACCTAGACGGAAGCAATCTCAGAAACTACTGTGTGATGGCTGCATTCCACACACACGGTGGAACATTTCTCTTGATAGAGCAGTTTTGAAACACTCTTTCTGTAGAATCTGCAAGTGGATAATTGGACCGCCTTGAGGCCTTCGTTGGAAACGGGATTTCTTCATGTTACTCTAGACAGAAGAATTCTCAAACACTGCTATGTGATGTTTGCATTCAAGTCACAGAGTGCAACATTCCTCTTGATAGAGCAGTTGGGAAACACTCCTTTTGTAGAATTTGCAATGGGATATTTGGACTTCTTTGAGGCCTTCGTTGGAAACGGGATTTCTTCGTATGAATCTAGACAGAAGAATTCTCAGAAACTTCCTTGTGATGTGTGCATTCAACTCAGCGAGTGGCACCTACCTTTGGATACAGCAGTTTTGAAACACTGTTTTTGTAGTATTTCCAAGCGGATATTTAGAGCGCCTTGAAGCCTATGCTAGAAATGGAAATATCTCCCCATAAAACCAAGACAGAAGCAATCTCAGAAACTAATGTGTGATGGCTGCATTCCACACACACGGTGGACCATTTCTCTTGATAGAGCAGTTTTGAAACACTCTTTCTGTAGAATCTGCAAGTGGATAATTGGACCTCCTAGAGGCCTTCGTTGGAAACGGGATTTCTTCATCTAAACCTACAGAGAAGAATTCTCAGTAACTTCTTCGGATGTGTGCATTCGACTCACAGAATGGAACATTCCGTTTGATAGAGCAGTTTTGAGACACCGTTTTTGTAGAATTCCCAAGTGGATATTTAGAGCACTTTGAAGTCTCTGCTAGAAAAGGAAACATCTTCATGTAAAAAGTAGATAGAATCGTTCTCAGAAAGTGCTTAGTGACGTGTGCGTTCAACTCACAGAGTTTAACGTTTCTTTTGATAGAGCGTTTCTGAAACACCCTTCTTGTAGTAGCTGCAAGTGGATATTTGGACCTATTTGAGGCCTTCTTTGGAAACGGGATTTCTTCATGTAACTCTAGTTTGAAGAATTTTCAGAAACTCCTTTGTGATGTGTGCATTCAATTCAAAGAGTGAAACCTCCCTTTTCACAGAGCAGTTTTGAAACACTGTTTTTGTAGGATTTCCAAGGGGATATTTATAGCGCATTGAGCCTATGGCAGAAAAAGAAACATCTTCCTATAAAAACTAGACAGAATAATTCTCAGAATCTGCTTTGCGATGTGTGCGTTCAACCCACAGAGTAAAACTTTTCTTTTGATAGAGCAGTTTTGAAACACTCTTTTTGTAGTATTTGCATGTGTATATTTAGAGCGCATTGAAGCCCACAGTAGAAAAGGAAATAACTTCACCTAAAACCTAGACAGAAGCAATCTCAGAAACTACTTTGTGATGTGTACATTCAACTCACAGAGTGGAACTTTCCTCTTTATAGAGCAGTGTTGAAACACTCTTTTTGTAGAAACTGCAAGTGGATATTTGGACCTCTTTGAGGCCTTCGTTGGAAACGGGATTTCTTCCTATAACCCTAGACAGAAGAATTTTCAGAAACCTCATTGTGATGTGTGCGTTCATCTCACAGAGTGGAGTCTTCCGTTTGATAGAGAAGTTTTGAAACCCTGTTCTTGTAGGATTTCCAAGTGGATATTTAGACCACTTTGAAGCCTATGATAGAAAAGGAAACATCTTCATGGAAAACATAGATAGAATCATTCTCAGAAACAACTTTGTGATGTGTGCGTTGAACTCACCGTCTTTAACCTTTCTTTTGGTAGAGAAGTTTTGAAACCCTCTCTTTGTAAAGTCTACAAGTGGATATTTTGAGCCCTTGGAGGCATTCTTTGGAAAAGGGAATGTCTTCACATAAAAGGCAGACAGAAGTGTTCTCAGAAACTGCTTTGTGATGTCTGTGTTCAACTCACAGAGTTTAACATTTCCTTTGAGAGAGCGGTTTAGTAACACTCTCTTTGTAGAATTTGGAAGTGTATACTAAGAGCGCTTTGAGGCCTATGGTAGAAAAGGAAATATCTTTCCATAAAAGCTAGACAGAAGCAATCTCAGAAACTCCTTTGTGATGTCTGCATTCAACTCACCGAGTGGAACATTCCTCTTGATAGAGCAGTTTGGAAACACTCTTTCTGTAGAATCAGCTTGTTTGTATTTGGACCTCCTTGAGGCCTTCGTTGGAAACGGGTTTTCATCTTATAAACCCAGACAGAAGAATTCTCAGAGTCTTCTTTGTGATGTGTGCTTTCAACTCACCGAGATAAAGATTTCTCTTGATAGAGCAATTTGGAAACACTCTTTTTGTAGAATTTGCAAGGGTACAATGAGAGCGCTTTCAGGCCTATGGTAGAAAAGGGAATATCTTTCCATAAAAGGTAGACAGAAGCAATCTCAGAAACTACTTTGTGATGTGTGCATTCAACTCCCCGAGTGCAACATTCCTCTTGATAGAGCAGTTTGGAAACATTGTTTCTGTAGAATCTGCAAGTGGATATATGGACCGCTTTGAGGCCTTCGTTGGAAACGGGATTTCTTCCTATAAACCCAGACAGAAGAATTCTCAGAGATTTCTTTGTGATGTGTGAATTCAACTCACAGTGTGGATCCTTCCTTTTGATAGAGCAGTTTTGAAACACTGTTTTTGTAGTATTTCCAAGCGGATATTTGGAACGCCTTGAATCGTATGGTAGAAAAGGAAATATCTTCCCATAAAACCTAGACAGAACCCATCTCAGAAACGACTTTGTGATGTCTGCATTCAACTCACAGAGTTGAACATTTCTCTTGATAGAGCAGTTTTGAAACCCTCTTTCTGAAGGATCTGCAAGTGGATATTTGGAACTCCTTTGGGTCTTCGTTGGAAACGGGATTTCTTCGTATAAATCCAGACAGAAGAATTCTCCGAAACTTCTTTGGTTGTGTGCATTCAAGTCACAGAGTGGAACCTTCCTTTGGATAGAGCAGTTTGAAACGCTGTGGTTGTAGTATTTCCAAGCGGATATTAGAGCGCCTTGAGGCCTATGGTAGAAAAGGAAATATCTTCCCATAAAACCTAGACGGAAGCAATCTCAGAAACTACTGTGTGATGGCTGCATTCCACACACACGGTGGAACATTTCTCTTGATAGAGCAGTTTTGAAACACTCTTTCTGTAGAATCTGCAAGTGGATAATTGGACCGCCTTGAGGCCTTCGTTGGAAACGGGATTTCTTCATGTTACTCTAGACAGAAGAATTCTCAAACACTGCTGTGTGATGTTTGCATGCAAGTCACAGAGTGCAACATTCCTCTTGATAGAGCAGTTGGGAAACACTCCTTTTGTAGAATTTGCAATGGGATATTTGGACTTCTTTGAGGCCTTCGTTGGAAACGGGATTTCTTCGTATGAATCTAGACAGAAGAATTCTCAGAAACTTCCTTGTGATGTGTGCATTCAACTCAGCGAGTGGCACCTTCCTTTGGATACAGCAGTTTTGAAACACTGTTTTTGTAGTATTTCCAAGCGGATATTTAGAGCGCCTTGAAGCCTATGCTAGAAATGGAAATATCTCCCCATAAAACCAAGACAGAAGCAATCTCAGAAACTAATGTGTGATGGCTGCATTCCACACACACGGTGGACCATTTCTCTTGATAGAGCAGTTTTGAAACACTCTTTCTGTAGAATCTGCAAGTGGATAATTGGACCTCCTAGAGGCCTTCGTTGGAAACGGGATTTCTTCATCTAAACCTACAGAGAAGAATTCTCAGTAACTTCTTCGGATGTGTGCATTCGACTCACAGAATGGAACATTCCGTTTGATAGAGCAGTTTTGAGACACCGTTTTTGTAGAATTCCCAAGTGGATATTTAGAGCACTTTGAAGTCTCTGCTAGAAAAGGAAACATCTTCATGTAAAAAGTAGATAGAATCGTTCTCAGAAAGTGCTTAGTGACGTGTGCGTTCAACTCACAGAGTTTAACGTTTCTTTTGATAGAGCGTTTCTGAAACACCCTTCTTGTAGTAGCTGCAAGTGGATATTTGGACCTATTTGAGGCCTTCTTTGGAAACGGGATTTCTTCATGTAACTCTAGTTTGAAGAATTTTCAGAAACTCCTTTGTGATGTGTGCATTCAATTCAAAGAGTGAAACCTCCCTTTTCACAGAGCAGTTTTGAAACACTGTTTTTGTAGGATTTCCAAGGGGATATTTATAGCGCATTGAGCCTACGGCAGAAAAAGAAACATCTTCCTATAAAAACTAGACAGAATAATTCTCAGAATCTGCTTTGCGATGTGTGCGTTCAACCCACAGAGTAAAACTTTTCTTTTGATAGAGCAGTTTTGAAACACTCTTTTTGTAGTATTTGCATGTGTATATTTAGAGCGCATTGAAGCCCACAGTAGAAAAGGAAATAACTTCACCTAAAACCTAGACAGAAGCAATCTCAGAAACTACTTTGTGATGTGTACATTCAACTCACAGAGTAGAACTTTCCTCTTTATAGAGCAGTGTTGAAACACTCTTTTTGTAGAAACTGCAAGTGGATATTTGGACCTCTTTGAGGCCTTCGTTGGAAACGGGATTTCTTCCTATAACCCTAGACAGAAGAATTTTCAGAAACCTCATTGTGATGTGTGCGTTCATCTCACAGAGTGGAGTCTTCCGTTTGATAGAGAAGTTTTGAAACCCTGTTCTTGTAGGATTTCCAAGTGGATATTTAGACCACTTTGAAGCCTATGATAGAAAAGGAAACATCTTCATGGAAAACATAGATAGAATCATTCTCAGAAACAACTTTGTGATGTGTGCGTTGAACTCACCGTCTTTAACCTTTCTTTTGGTAGAGAAGTTTTGAAACACTCTCTTTGTAAAGTCTACAAGTGGATATTTTGAGCCCTTGGAGGCATTCTTTGGAAAAGGGAATGTCTTCACATAAAAGGCAGACAGAAGTGTTCTCAGAAACTGCTTTGTGATGTCTGTGTTCAACTCACAGAGTTTAACATTTCCTTTGAGAGAGCGGTTTAGTAACACTCTCTTTGTAGAATTTGGAAGTGTATACTAAGAGCGCTTTGAGGCCTATGGTAGAAAAGGAAATATCTTTCCATAAAAGCTAGACAGAAGCAATCTCAGAAACTCCTTTGTGATGTCTGCATTCAACTCACCGAGTGGAACATTCCTCTTGATAGAGCAGTTTGGAAACACTCTTTCTGTAGAATCAGCTTGTTTGTATTTGGACCTCCTTGAGGCCTTCGTTGGAAACGGGTTTTCATCTTATAAACCCAGACAGAAGAATTCTCAGAGTCTTCTTTGTGATGTGTGCTTTCAACTCACCGAGATAAAGATTTCTCTTGATAGAGCAATTTGGAAACACTCTTTTTGTAGAATTTGCAAGGGTACATTGAGAGCGCTTTCAGGCCTATGGTAGAAAAGGTAGACAGAAGCAATCTCAGAAACTACTTTGTGATGTGTGCATTCAACTCACCGAGTGCAACATTCCTCTTGATAGAGCAGTTTGGAAACATTGTTTCTGTAGAATCTGCAAGTGGATATATGGACCGCTTTGAGGCCTTCGTTGGAAACGGGATTTCTTCCTATAAACCCAGACAGAAGAATTCTCAGAGATTTCTTTGTGATGTGTGAATTCAACTCACAGTGTGGATCCTTCCTTTTGATAGAGCAGTTTTGAAACACTGTTTTTGTAGTATTTCCAAGCGGATATTTGGAACGCCTTGAAGCGTATGGTAGAAAAGGAAATATCTTCCCATAAAACCTAGACAGAACCCATCTCAGAAACGACTTTGTGATGTCTGCATTCAACTCACAGAGTTGAACATTTCTCTTGATAGAGCAGTTTTGAAACCCTCTTTCTGAAGGATCTGCAAGTGGATATTTGGAACTCCTTTGGGTCTTCGTTGGAAACGGGATTTCTTCGTATAAATCCAGACAGAAGAATTCTCCGAAACTTCTTTGGTTGTGTGCATTCAAGTCACAGAGTGGAACCTTCCTTTGGATAGAGCAGTTTGAAACGCTGTGGTTGTAGTATTTCCAAGCGGATATTAGAGCGCCTTGAAGCCTATGGTAGAAAAGGAAATATCTTCCCATAAAACCTAGACGGAAGCAATCTCAGAAACTACTGTGTGATGGCTGCATTCCACACACACGGTGGAACATTTCTCTTGATAGAGCAGTTTTGAAACACTCTTTCTGTAGAATCTGCAAGTGGATAATTGGACCGCCTTGAGGCCTTCGTTGGAAACGGGATTTCTTCATGTTACTCTAGACAGAAGAATTCTCAAACACTGCTATGTGATGTTTGCATTCAAGTCACAGAGTGCAACATTCCTCTTGATAGAGCAGTTGGGAAACACTCCTTTTGTAGAATTTGCAATGGGATATTTGGACTTCTTTGAGGCCTTCGTTGGAAACGGGATTTCTTCGTATGAATCTAGACAGAAGAATTCTCAGAAACTTCCTTGTGATGTGTGCATTCAACTCAGCGAGTGGCACCTTCCTTTGGATACAGCAGTTTTGAAACACTGTTTTTGTAGTATTTCCAAGCGGATATTTAGAGCGCCTTGAAGCCTATGCTAGAAATGGAAATATCTCCACATAAAACCAAGACAGAAGCAATCTCAGAAACTAATGTGTGATGGCTGCATTCCACACACACGGTGGACCATTTCTCTTGATAGAGCAGTTTTGAAACACTCTTTCTGTAGAATCTGCAAGTGGATAATTGGACCTCCTAGAGGCCTTCGTTGGAAACGGGATTTCTTCATCTAAACTACAGAGAAGATTCTCAGTAACTTCTTCGGATGTGTGCATTCGACTCACAGAATGGAACATTCCCTTTGGTAGAGCAGTTTTGAGACACCGTTTTTGTAGAATTCCCAAGTGGATATTTAGAGCACTTTGAAGTCTCTGCTAGAAAAGGAAACATCTTCATGTAAAAAGTAGATAGAATCGTTCTCAGAAAGTGCTTAGTGACGTGTGCGTTCAACTCACAGAGTTTAACGTTTCTTTTGATAGAGCGTTTCTGAAACACCCTTCTTGTAGTAGCTGCAAGTGGATATTTGGACCTATTTGAGGCCTTCTTTGGAAACGGGATTTCTTCATGTAACTCTAGATTGAAGAATTTTCAGAAACTCCTTTGTGATGTGTGCATTCAATTCAAAGAGTGAAACCTCCCTTTTCACAGAGCAGTTTTGAAACACTGTTTTTGTAGGATTTCCAAGGGGATATTTATAGCGCATTGAGCCTATGGCAGAAAAAGAAACATCTTCCTATAAAAACTAGACAGAATAATTCTCAGAATCTGCTTTGCGATGTGTGCGTTCAACTCACAGAGTAAAACTTTTCTTTTGATAGAGCAGTTTTGAAACACTCTTTTTGTAGTATTTGCATGTGTATATTTAGAGCGCATTGAAGCCCACAGTAGAAAAGGAAATAACTTCACCTAAAACCTAGACAGAAGCAATCTCAGAAACTACTTTGTGATGTGTACATTCAACTCACAGAGTGGAACTTTTCTCTTTATAGAGCAGTGTTGAAACACTCTTTTTGTAGAAACTGCAAGTGGATATTTGGACCTCTTTGAGGCCTTCGTTGGAAACGGGATTTCTTCCTATAACCCTAGACAGAAGAATTTTCAGAAACCTCATTGTGATGTGTGCGTTCATCTCACAGAGTGGAGTCTTCCGTTTGATAGAGAAGTTTTGAAACCCTGTTCTTGTAGGATTTCCAAGTGGATATTTAGACCACTTTGAAGCCTATGATAGAAAAGGAAACATCTTCATGGAAAACATAGATAGAATCATTCTCAGAAACAACTTTGTGATGTGTGCGTTGAACTCACAGTCTTTAACCTTTCTTTTGGTAGAGAAGTTTTGAAACACTCTCTTTGTAAAGTCTACAAGTGGATATTTTGGGCCCTTGGAGGCATTCTTTGGAAAAGGGAATGTCTTCACATAAAAGGCAGACAGAAGTGTTCTCAGAAACTGCTTTGTGATGTCTGTGTTCAACTCACAGAGTTTAACATTTCCTTTGATAGAGCAGTTTAGTAACACTCTCTTTGTAGAATTTGGAAGTGTATACTAAGAGCGCTTTGAGGCCTATGGTAGAAAAGGAAATATCTTTCCATAAAAGCTAGACAGAAGCAATCTCAGAAACTCCTTTGTGATGTCTGCATTCAACTCACCGAGTGGAACATTCCTCTTGATAGAGCAGTTTGGAAACACTCTTTCTGTAGAATCAGCTTGTTTGTATTTGGACCTCCTTGAGGCCTTCGTTGGAAACGGGTTTTCATCTTTTAAACCCAGACAGAAGAATTCTCAGAGTCTTCTTTGTGATGTGTGCTTCCAACTCACCGAGATAAAGATTTTTCTTGATAGAGCAATTTGGAAACACTCTTTTTGTAGAATTTGCAAGGGTACATTGAGAGCGCTTTCAGGCCTATGGTAGAAAAGGGAATATCTTTCCATAAAAGGTAGACAGAAGCAATCTCAGAAACTACTTTGTGATGTGTGCATTCAACTCACCGATTGCAACGTTCCTCTTGATAGAGCAGTTTGGAAACATTGTTTCTGTAGAATCTGCAAGTGGATATTTGGACCTCTTTGAGGCCTTCGTTGGAAACGGGATTTCTTCCTATAAACCCAGACAGAAGAATTCTCAGAGACTTCTTTGTGATGTGTGAATTCAACTCACAGTGTGGATCCTTCCTTTTGATAGAGCAGGTTTGAAACACTGTTTTTGTAGTATTTCCAAGCGGATATTTGGAACGCCTTGAAGCGCATGGTAGAAAAGGAAATATCTTCCCATAAAACCTTGACAGAACCAATCTCAGAAACGACTTTGTGATGTCTGCATTCACCTCACAGAGTTGAACATTTCTCTTGATAGAGCAGTTTTGAAACCCTCTTTCTGAAGGATCTGCAAGTGGATATTTGGAACTCCTTTGGGTCTTCGTTGGAAACGGGATTTCTTCGTATAAATCTAGACAGAAGAATTCTCCGAAACTTCTTTGGTTGTGTGCATTCAAGTCACAGGGTGGAACCTTCCTTTGGGTAGAGCAGTTTGAAACGCTGGGGTTGTAGTATTTCCAAGCGGATATTAGAGCGCCTTGAGGCCTATGGTAGAAAAGGAAATATCTTCCCATAAAACCTAGACGGAAGCAATCTCAGAAACCACTGTGTGATGGCTGCATTCCACACACACGGTGGAACATTTCTCTTGATAGAGCAGTTTTGAAACACTCTTTCTGTAGAATCTGCAAGTGGATAATTGGACCGCCTTGAGGCCTTCGTTGGAAACGGGATTTCTTCATGTTACTCTAGATAGAAGAATTCTCAAACACTACTATGTGATGTTTGCATTCAAGTCACAGAGTGCAACATTCCTCTTGATAGAGCAGTTGGGAAACACTCCTTTTGTAGAATTTGCAATGGGATATTTGGACTTCTTTGAGGCCTTCTTTGGAAACGGGATTTCTTCGTATAAATCTAGACAGAAGAATTCTCAGAAACTTCTTTGTGATGTGTGCATTCAACTCAGTGAGTGGCACCTTCCTTTGGATACAGCAGTTTTGAAACACTGTTTTTGTAGTATTTCCAAGCGGATATTTAGAGCGCCTTGAAGCCTACGCTAGAAATGGAAATATCTCCCCATAAAACCAAGACAGAAGCAATCTCAGAAACTAATGTGTGATGGCTGCATTCCACACACACGGTGGACCATTTCTCTTGATAGAGCAGTTTTGAAACACTCTTTCTGTAGAATCTGCAAGTGGATAATTGGACCTCCTAGAGGCCTTCGTTGGAAACGGGATTTCTTCATCTAAACCTACAGAGAAGAATTCTCAGTAACTTCTTCGGATGTGTGCATTCGACTCACAGAGTGGAACATTCCCTTCGATAGAGCAGTTTTGAGACACCGTTTTGGTAGAATTCCCAAGTGGATATTTAGAGCACTTTGAAGTCTCTGCTAGAAAAGGAAACATCTTCATGTAAAAAGTACATAGAATCGTTCTCAGATAGTGCTTAGTGACGTGTGCGTTCAACTCACAGAGTGTAACGTTTCTTTTGATAGAGCGTTTCTGAAACACCCTTCTTGTAGTAGCTGCAAGTGGATGTTTGGTCCTATTGGAGGCCTTCTTTGGAAACGGGATTTCTTCATGTAACTCTAGATTGAAGAATTTTCAGAAACTCCTTTGTGATGTGTGCATTCAATTCAAAGAGTGAAACCTCCCTTTTCACAGAGCAGTTTTGAAACACTGTTTTTGTAGGATTTCCAAGGGGATATTTATAGCGCATTGAGCCTACGGCAGAAAAAGAAACATCTTCCTATAAAAACTAGACAGAATAATTCTCAGAATCTGCTTTGCGATGTGTGCGTTCAACTCACAGAGTAAAACTTTTCTTTTGATAGAGCAGTTTTGAAACACTCTTTTTGTAGTATTTGCATGTGTATATTTAGAGCGCATTGAAGCCCACAGTAGAAAAGGAAATAACTTCACCTAAAACCTAGACAGAAGCAATCTCAGAAACTACTTTGTGATGTGTACATTCAACTCACAGAGTGGAACTTTCCTCTTTATAGAGCAGTGTTGAAACACTCTTTTTGTAGAAACTGCAAGTGGATATTTGGACCTCTTTGAGGCCTTCGTTGGAAACGGGATTTCTTCCTATAACCCTAGACAGAAGAATTTTCAGAAACCTCATTGTGATGTGTGCGTTCATCTCACAGAGAGGAGTCTTCCGTTTGATAAAGAAGTTTTGAAACCCTGTTCTTCTAGGATTTCCAAGTGGATATTTAGACCACTTTGAAGCCTATGATAGAAAAGGAAACATCTTCATGGAAAACATAGATAGAATCATTCTCAGAAACAACTTTGTGATGTGTGCGTTGAACTCACCGTCTTTAACCTTTCTTTTGGTAGAGAAGTTTTGAAACACTCTCTTTGTAAAGTCTACAAGTGGATATTTTGAGCCCTTGGAGGCATTCTTTGGAAAAGGGAATGTCTTCACATAAAAGGCAGATAGAAGTGTTCTCAGAAACTGCTTTGTGATGTCTGTGTTCAACTCACAGAGTTTAACATTTCCTTTGAGAGAGCGGTTTAGTAACACTCTCTTTGTAGAATTTGGAAGTGTATACTAAGAGCGCTTTGAGGCCTATGGTAGAAAAGGAAATATCTTTCCATAAAAGCTAGACAGAAGCAATCTCAGAAACTCCTTTGTGATGTCTGCATTCAACTCACCGAGTGGAACATTCCTCTTGATAGAGCAGTTTGGAAACACTCTTTCTGTAGAATCAGCTTGTTTGTATTTGGACCTCCTTGAGGCCTTCGTTGGAAACGGGTTTTCATCTTATAAACCCAGACAGAAGAATTCTCAGAGTCTTCTTTGTGATGTGTGCTTTCAACTCACCGAGATAAAGATTTCTCTTGATAGAGCAATTTGGAAACACTCTTTTTGTAGAATTTGCAAGGGTACATTGAGAGCGCTTTCAGGCCTATGGTAGAAAAGGGAATATCTTTCCATAAAAGGTAGACAGAAGCAATCTCAGAAACTACTTTGTGATGTGTGCATTCAACTCACCGAGTGCAACATTCCTCTTGACCGAGCAGTTTGGAAACATTGTTTCTGTAGAATCTGCAAGTGGATATATGGACCTCTTGGAGGCCTTCGTTGGAAACGGGATTTCTTCCTATAAACCCAGACAGAAGAATTCTCAGAGATTTCTTTGTGATGTGTGAATTCAACTCACAGTGTGGATCCTTCCTTTTGATAGAGCAGTTTTGAAACACCGTTTTTGTAGTATTTCCAAGCGGATATTTGGAACGCCTTGAAGCGTATGGTAGAAAAGGAAATATCTTCCCATAAAACCTAGACAGAACCCATCTCAGAAACGACTTTGTGATGTCTGCATTCAACTCACAGAGTTGAACATTTCTCTTGATAGAGCAGTTTTGAAACCCTCTTTCTGAAGGATCTGCAAGTGGATATTTGGAACTCCTTTGGGTCTTCGTTGGAAACGGGATTTCTTCGTATAAATCCAGACAGAAGAATTCTCCGAAACTTCTTTGGTTGTGTGCATTCAAGTCACAGAGTGGAACCTTCCTTTGGATAGAGCAGTTTGAAACGCTGTGGTTGTAGTATTTCCAAGCGGATATTAGAGCGCCTTGAGGCCTATGGTAGAAAAGGAAATATCTTCCCATAAAACCTAGACGGAAGCAATCTCAGAAACTACTGTGTGATGGCTGCATTCCACACACACGGTGGAACATTTCTCTTGATAGAGCAGTTTTGAAACACTCTTTCTGTAGAATCTGCAAGTGGATAATTGGACCGCCTTGAGGCCTTCGTTGGAAACGGGATTTCTTCATGTTACTCTAGACAGAAGAATTCTCAAACACTGCTGTGTGATGTTTGCATGCAAGTCACAGAGTGCAACATTCCTCTTGATAGAGCAGTTGGGAAACACTCCTTTTGTAGAATTTGCAATGGGATATTTGGACTTCTTTGAGGCCTTCGTTGGAAACGGGATTTCTTCGTATGAATCTAGACAGAAGAATTCTCAGAAACTTCCTTGTGATGTGTGCATTCAACTCAGCGAGTGGCACCTTCCTTTGGATACAGCAGTTTTGAAACACTGTTTTTGTAGTATTTCCAAGCGGATATTTAGAGCGCCTTGAAGCCTATGCTAGAAATGGAAATATCTCCCCATAAAACCAAGACAGAAGCAATCTCAGAAACTAATGTGTGATGGCTGCATTCCACACACACGGTGGACCATTTCTCTTGATAGAGCAGTTTTGAAACACTCTTTCTGTAGAATCTGCAAGTGGATAATTGGACCTCCTAGAGGCCTTCGTTGGAAACGGGATTTCTTCATCTAAACCTACAGAGAAGAATTCTCAGTAACTTCTTCGGATGTGTGCATTCGACTCACAGAATGGAACATTCCGTTTGATAGAGCAGTTTTGAGACACCGTTTTTGTAGAATTCCCAAGTGGATATTTAGAGCACTTTGAAGTCTCTGCTAGAAAAGGAAACATCTTTCATGTAAAAAGTAGATAGGATCGTTCTCAGAAAGTGCTTAGTGACGTGTGCGTTCAACTCACAGAGTTTAACGTTTCTTTTGATAGAGCGTTTCTGAAACACCCTTCTTGTAGTAGCTGCAAGTGGATATTTGGACCTATTTGAGGCCTTCTTTGGAAACGGGATTTCTTCATGTAACTCTAGTTTGAAGAATTTTCAGAAACTCCTTTGTGATGTGTGCATTAAATTCAAAGAGTGAAACCTCCCTTTTCACAGAGCAGTTTTGAAACACTGTTTTTGTAGGATTTCCAAGGGGATATTTATAGCGCATTGAGCCTACGGCAGAAAAAGAAACATCTTCCTATAAAAACTAGACAGAATAATTCTCAGAATCTGCTTTGCGATGTGTGCGTTCAACCCACAGAGTAAAACTTTTCTTTTGATAGAGCAGTTTTGAAACACTCTTTTTGTAGTATTTGCATGTGTATATTTAGAGCGCATTGAAGCCCACAGTAGAAAAGGAAATAACTTCACCTAAAACCTAGACAGAAGCAATCTCAGAAACTACTTTGTGATGTGTACATTCAACTCACAGAGTGGAACTTTCCTCTTTATAGAGCACTGTTGAAACACTCTTTTTGTAGAAACTGCAAGTGGATATTTGGACCTCTTTGAGGCCTTCGTTGGAAACGGGATTTCTTCCTATAACCCTAGACAGAAGAATTTTCAGAAACCTCATTGTGATGTGTGCGTTCATCTCACAGAGTGGAGTCTTCCGTTTGATAGAGAAGTTTTGAAACCCTGTTCTTGTAGGATTTCCAAGTGGATATTTAGACCACTTTGAAGCCTATGATAGAAAAGGAAACATCTTCATGGAAAACATAGATAGAATCATTCTCAGAAACAACTTTGTGATGTGTGCGTTGAACTCACCGTCTTTAACCTTTCTTTTGGTAGAGAAGTTTTGAAACACTCTCTTTGTAAAGTCTACAAGTGGATATTTTGAGCCCTTGGAGGCATTCTTTGGAAAAGGGAATGTCTTCACATAAAAGGCAGACAGAAGTGTTCTCAGAAACTGCTTTGTGATGTCTGTGTTCAACTCACAGAGTTTAACATTTCCTTTGAGAGAGCGGTTTAGTAACACTCTCTTTGTAGAATTTGGAAGTGTATACTAAGAGCGCTTTGAGGCCTATGGTAGAAAAGGAAATATCTTTCCATAAAAGCTAGACAGAAGCAATCTCAGAAACTCCTTTGTGATGTCTGCATTCAACTCACCGAGTGGAACATTCCTGTTGATAGAGCAGTTTGGAAACACTCTTTCTGTAGAATCAGCTTGTTTGTATTTGGACCTCCTTGAGGCCTTCGTTGGAAACGGGTTTTCATCTTATAAACCCAGACAGAAGAATTCTCAGAGTCTTCTTTGTGATGTGTGCTTTCAACTCACCGAGATAAAGATTTCTCTTGATAGAGCAATTTGGAAACACTCTTTTTGTAGAATTTGCAAGGGTACATTGAGAGCGCTTTCAGGCCTATGGTAGAAAAGGGAATATCTTTCCATAAAAGGTAGACAGAAGCAATCTCAGAAACTACTTTGTGATGTGTGCATTCAACTCACCGAGTGCAACATTCCTCTTGACCGAGCAGTTTGGAAACATTGTTTCTGTAGAATCTGCAAGCGGATATTTGGACCTCTTTGAGGCCTTCGTTGGAAACGGGATTTCTTCCTATAAACCCAGACAGAAGAATTCTCAGAGACTTCTTTGTGATGTGTGAATTCAACTCACAGTGTGGATCCTTCCTTTTGATAGAGCAGTTTTGAAACACTGTTTTTGTAGTATTTCCAAGCGGATATTTGGAACGCCTTGAAGCGTATGGTAGAAAAGGAAATATCTTCCCATAAAACCTAGACAGAACCAGTCTCAGAAACGACTTTGTGATGTCTGCATTCAACTCACAGAGTTGAACATTTCTCTTGATAGAGCAGTTTTGAAACCCTCTTTCTGAAGGATCTGCAAGTGGATATTTGGAATTCCTTTGGGTCTTCGTTGGAAACGGGATTTCTTCGTATAAATCCAGACAGAAGAATTCTCCGAAACTTCTTTGGTTGTGTGCATTCAAGTCACAGAGTGGAACCTTCCTTTGGATAGAGCAGTTTGAAACGCTGTGGTTGTAGTATTTCCAAGCGGATATTAGAGCGCCTTGAAGCCTATGGTAGAAAAGGAAATATCTTCCCATAAAACCTAGACGGAAGCAATCTCAGAAACTACTGTGTGATGGCTGCATTCCACACACATGGTGGAACATTTCTCTTGATAGAGCAGTTTTGAAACACTCTTTCTGTAGAATCTGCAAGTGGATAATTGGACCGCCTTGAGGCCTTCGTTGGAAACGGGATTTCTTCATGTTACTCTAGACAGAAGAATTCTCAAACACTGCTATGTGATGTTTGCATTCAAGTCACAGAGTGCAACATTCCTCTTGATGGAGCAGTTGGGAAACACTCCTTTTGTAGAATTTGCAATGGGATATTAGGACTTCTTTGAGGCCTTCGTTGGAAACGGGATTTCTTCGTATGAATACTAGACAGAAGAATTCTCAGAAACTTCCTTGTGATGTGTGCATTCAACTCAGCGATTGGCACCTTCCTTTGGATACAGCAGTTTTGAAACACTGTTTTTGTACTATTTCCAAGCGGATATTTAGAGCGCCTTGAAGCCTATGCTAGAAATGGAAATATCTCCCCATAAAACCAAGACAGAAGCAATCTCAGAAACTAATGTGTGATGGCTGCATTCCACACACACGGTGGACCATTTCTCTTGATAGAGCAGTTTTGAAACACTCTTTCTGTAGAATCTGCAAGTGGATAATTGGACCTCCTAGAGGCCTTCGTTGGAAACGGGATTTCTTCATCTAAACCTACAGAGAAGAATTCTCAGTAACTTCTTCGGATGTGTGCATTCGACTCACAGAATGGAACATTCCCTTTGATAGAGCAGTTTTGAGACACCGTTTTTGTAGAATTGCCAAGTGGATATTTAGAGCACTTTGAAGTCTCTGCTAGAAAAGGAAACATCTTCATGTAAAAAGTAGATAGAATCGTTCTCAGAAAGGGCTTAGTGACGTGTGTGTTCAACTCACAGAGTTTAACGTTTCTTTTGATAGAGCGTTTCTGAAACACCCTTCTTGTAGTAGCTGCAAGTGGATATTTGGACCTATTTGAGGCCTTCTTTGGAAACGGGATTTCTTCATGTAACTCTAGATTGAAGAATTTTCAGAAACTCCTTTGTGATGTGTGCATTCAATTCAAAGAGTGAAACCTCCCTTTTCACAGAGCAGTTTTGAAACACTGTTTTTGTAGGATTTCCAAGGGGATATTTATAGCGCATTGATCCTATGGCAGAAAAAGAAACATCTTCCTATAAAAACTAGACAGAATAATTCTCAGAATCTGCTTTGCGATGTGTGCGTTCAACCCACAGAGTAAAACTTTTCTTTTGATAGAGCAGTTTTGAAACACTCTTTTTGTAGTATTTGCATGTGTATATTTAGAGCGCATTGAAGCCCACAGTAGAAAAGGAAATAACTTCACCTAAAATCTAGACAGAAGCAATCTCAGAAACTACTTTGTGATGTGTACATTCAACTCACAGAGTGGAACTTTCCTCTTTATAGAGCAGTGTTGAAACACTCTTTTTGTAGAAACTGCAAGTGGATATTTGGACCTCTTTGAGGCCTTCGTTGGAAACGGGATTTCTTCCTATAACCCTAGACAGAAGAATTTTCAGAAACCTCATTGTGATGTGTGCGTTCATCTCACAGAGTGGAGTCTTCCGTTTGATAGAGAAGTTTTGAAACCCTGTTCTTGTAGGATTTCCAAGTGGATATTTAGACCACTTTGAAGCCTATGATAGAAAAGGAAACATCTTCATGGAAAACATAGATAGAATCATTCTCAGAAACAACTTTGTGATGTGTGCGTTGAACTCACCGTCTTTAACCTTTCTTTTGGTAGAGAAGTTTTGAAACACTCTCTTTGTAAAGTCTACAAGTGGATATTTTGAGCCCTTGGAGGCATTCTTTGGAAAAGGGAATGTCTTCACATAAAAGGCAGACAGAAGTGTTCTCAGAAACTGCTTTGTGATGTCTGTGTTCAACTCACAGAGTTTAACATTTCCTTTGAGAGAGCGGTTTAGTAACACTCTCTTTGTAGAATTTGGAAGTGTATACTAAGAGCGCTTTGAGGCCTATGGTAGAAAAGGAAATATCTTTCCATAAAAGCTAGACAGAAGCAATCTCAGAAACTCCTTTGTGATGTCTGCATTCAACTCACCGAGTGGAACATTCCTCTTGATAGAGCAGTTTGGAAACACTCTTTCTGTAGAATCAGCTTGTTTGTATTTGGACCTCCTTGAGGCCTTCGTTGGAAACGGGTTTTCATCTTATAAACCCAGACAGAAGAATTCTCAGAGTCTTCTTTGTGATGTGTGCTTTCAACTCACCGAGATAAAGATTTCTCTTGATAGAGCAATTTGGAAACACTCTTTTTGTAGAATTTGCAAGGGTACATTGAGAGCGCTTTCAGGCCTATGGTAGAAAAGGGAATATCTTTCCATAAAAGGTAGACAGAAGCAATCTCAGAAACTACTTTGTGATGTGTGCATTCAACTCACCGAGTGCAACATTCCTCTTGACCGAGCAGTTTGGAAACATTGTTTCTGTAGAATCTGCAAGTGGATATTTGGACCTCTTTGAGGCCTTCGTTGGAAACGGGATTTCTTCCTATAAACCCAGACAGAAGAATTCTCAGAGACTTCTTTGTGATGTGTGAATTCAACTCACAGTGTGGATCCTTCCTTTTGATAGAGCAGTTTTGAAACACTGTTTTTGTAGTATTTCCAAGCGGATATTTGGAACGCCTTGAAGCGTATGGTAGAAAAGGAAATATCTTCCCATAAAACCTAGACAGAACCCATCTCAGAAACGACTTTGTGATGTCTGCATTCAACTCACAGAGTTGAACATTTCTCTTGATAGAGCAGTTTTGAAACCCTCTTTCTGAAGGATCTGCAAGTGGATATTTGGAACTCCTTTGGGTCTTCGTTGGAAACGGGATTTCTTCGTATAAATCCAGACAGAAGAATTCTCTGAAACTTCTTTGGTTGTGTGCATTCAAGTCACAGAGTGGAACCTTCCTTTGGATAGAGCAGTTTGAAACGCTGTGGTTGTAGTATTTCCAAGCGGATATTAGAGCGCCTTGAGGCCTATGGTAGAAAAGGAAATATCTTCCCATAAAACCTAGACGGAAGCAATCTCAGAAACTACTGTGTGATGGCTGCATTCCACACACACGGTGGAACATTTCTCTTGATAGAGCAGTTTTGAAACACTCTTTCTGTAGAATCTGCAAGTGGATAATTGGACCGCCTTGAGGCCTTCGTTGGAAACGGGATTTCTTCATGTTACTCTAGACAGAAGAATTCTCAAACACTGCTGTGTGATGTTTGCATGCAAGTCACAGAGTGCAACATTCCTCTTGATAGAGCAGTTGGGAAACACTCCTTTTGTAGAATTTGCAATGGGATATTTGGACTTCTTTGAGGCCTTCGTTGGAAACGGGATTTCTTCGTATGAATCTAGACAGAAGAATTCTCAGAAACTTCCTTGTGATGTGTGCATTCAACTCAGCGAGTGGCACCTTCCTTTGGATACAGCAGTTTTGAAACACTGTTTTTGTAGTATTTCCAAGCGGATATTTAGAGCGCCTTGAAGCCTATGCTAGAAATGGAAATATCTCCCCATAAAACCAAGACAGAAGCAATCTCAGAAACTAATGTGTGATGGCTGCATTCCACACACACGGTGGACCATTTCTCTTGATAGAGCAGTTTTGAAACACTCTTTCTGTAGAATCTGCAAGTGGATAATTGGACCTCCTAGAGGCCTTCGTTGGAAACGGGATTTCTTCATCTAAACCTACAGAGAAGAATTCTCAGTAACTTCTTCGGATGTGTGCATTCGACTCACAGAATGGAACATTCCCTTTGATAGAGCAGTTTTGAGACACCGTTTTTGTAGAATTCCCAAGTGGATATTTAGAGCACTTTGAAGTCTCTGCTAGAAAAGGAAACATCTTCATGTAAAAAGTAGATAGAATCGTTCTCAGAAAGTGCTTAGTGACGTGTGTGTTCCACTCACAGGGTTTAACGTTTCTTTTGTTAGAGCGTTTCTGAAACACCCTTCTTGTAGTAGCTGCAAGTGGATATTTGGACCTATTTGAGGCCTTCTTTGTAAACGGGATTTGCTTCATGTAACTCTAGATTGAAGAATTTTCAGAACCTCCTTTGTGATGTGTGCATTCAATTCAAAGAGTGAAACGTCCCTTTTCACAGAGCAGTTTTGAAACACTGTTTTTGTAGGATTTCCAAGGGGATATTTATAGCGCATTGAGCCTATGGCAGAAAAAGAAACATCTTCCTATAAAAACTAGACAGAATAATTCTCAGAATCTGCTTTGCGATGTGTGCGTTCAACTCACAGAGTAAAACTTTTCTTTTGATAGAGCAGTTTTGAAACACTCTTTTTGTAGTATTTGCATGTGTATATTTAGAGCGCATTGAAGCCCACAGTAGAAAAGGAAATAACTTCACCTAAAACCTAGACAGAAGCAATCTCAGAAACTACTTTGTGATGTGTACATTCAACTCACAGAGTGGAACTTTTCTCTTTATAGAGCAGTGTTGAAACACTCTTTTTGTAGAAACTGCAAGTGGATATTTGGACCTCTTTGAGGCCTTCGTTGGAAACGGGATTTCTTCCTATAACCCTAGACAGAAGAATTTTCAGAAACCTCATTGTGATGTGTGCGTTCATCTCACAGAGTGGAGTCTTCCGTTTGATAGAGAAGTTTTGAAACCCTGTTCTTGTAGGATTTCCAAGTGGATATTTAGACCACTTTGAAGCCTATGATAGAAAAGGAAACATCTTCATGGAAAACATAGATAGAATCATTCTCAGAAACAACTTTGTGATGTGTGCGTTGAACTCACCGTCTTTAACCTTTCTTTTGGTAGAGAAGTTTTGAAACACTCTCTTTGTAAAGTCTACAAGTGGATATTTTGAGCCCTTGGAGGCATTCTTTGGAAAAGGGAATGTCTTCACATAAAAGGCAGACAGAAGTGTTCTCAGAAACTGCTTTGTGATGTCTGTGTTCAACTCACAGAGTTTAACATTTCCTTTGAGAGAGCGGTTTAGTAACACTCTCTTTGTAGAATTTGGAAGTGTATACTAAGAGCGCTTTGAGGCCTATGGTAGAAAAGGAAATATCTTTCCATAAAAGCTAGACAGAAGCAATCTCAGAAACTCCTTTGTGATGTCTGCATTCAACTCACCGAGTGGAACATTCCTCTTGATAGAGCAGTTTGGAAACACTCTTTCTGTAGAATCAGCTTGTTTGTATTTGGACCTCCTTGAGGCCTTCGTTGGAAACGGGTTTTCATCTTATAAACCCAGACAGAAGAATTCTCAGAGTCTTCTTTGTGATGTGTGCTTTCAACTCACCGAGATAAAGATTTCTCTTGATAGAGCAATTTGGAAACACTCTTTTTGTAGAATTTGCAAGGGTACATTGAGAGCGCTTTCAGGCCTATGGTAGAAAAGGGAATATCTTTCCATAAAAGGTAGACAGAAGCAATCTCAGAAACTACTTTGTGATGTGTGCATTCAACTCACCGAGTGCAACATTCCTCTTGATAGAGCAGTTTGGAAACATTGTTTCTGTAGAATCTGCAAGTGGATATATGGACCGCTTTGAGGCCTTCGTTGGAAACGGGATTTCTTCCTATAAACCCAGACAGAAGAATTCTCAGAGATTTCTTTGTGATGTGGGAATTCAACTCACAGTGTGGATCCTTCCTTTTGATAGAGCAGTTTTGAAACACCGTTTTTGTAGTATTTCCAAGCGGATATTTGGAACGCCTTGAAGCGTATGGTAGAAAAGGAAATATCTTCCCATAAAACCTAGACAGAACCAATCTCAGAAACGACTTTGTGATGTCTGCATTCAACTCACAGAGTTGAACATTTCTCTTGATAGAGCAGTTTTGAAACCCTCTTTCTGAAGGATCTGCAAGTGGATATTTGGAACTCCTTTGGGTCTTCGTTGGAAACGGGATTTCTTCGTATAAATCCAGACAGAAGAATTCTCCGAAACTTCTTTGGTTGTGTGCATTCAAGTCACAGAGTGGAACCTTCCTTTGGATAGAGCAGTTTGAAACGCTGTGGTTGTAGTATTTCCAAGCGGATATTAGAGCGCCTTGAGGCCTATGGTAGAAAAGGAAATATCTTCCCATAAAACCTAGACGGAAGCAATCTCAGAAACTACTGTGTGATGGCTGCATTCCACACACACGGTGGAACATTTCTCTTGATAGAGCAGTTTTGAAACACTCTTTCTGTAAAATCTGCAAGTGGATAATTGGACCGCCTTGAGGCCTTCGTTGGAAACGGGATTTCTTCATGTTACTCTAGACAGAAGAATTCTCAAACACTGCTATGTGATGTTTGCATTCAAGTCACAGAGTGCAACATTCCTCTTGATAGAGCAGTTGGGAAACACTCCTTTTGTAGAATTTGCAATGGGATATTTGGACTTCTTTGAGGCCTTCGTTGGAAACGGGATTTCTTCGTATGAATCTAGACAGAAGAATTCTCAGAAACTTCCTTGTGATGTGTGCATTCAACTCAGCGAGTGGCACCTTCCTTTGGATACAGCAGTTTTGAAACACTGTTTTTGTAGTATTTCCAAGCGGATATTTAGAGCGCCTTGAAGCCTATGCTAGAAATGGAAATATCTCCCCATAAAACCAAGACAGAAGCAATCTCAGAAACTAATGTGTGATGGCTGCATTCCACACACACGGTGGACCATTTCTCTTGATAGAGCAGTTTTGAAACACTCTTTCTGTAGAATCTGCAAGTGGATAATTGGACCTCCTAGAGGCCTTCGTTGGAAACGGGATTTCTTCATCTAAACCTACAGAGAAGAATTCTCAGTAACTTCTTCGGATGTGTGCATTCGACTCACAGAATGGAACATTCCCTTTGATAGAGCAGTTTTGAGACACCGTTTTTGTAGAATTCCCAAGTGGATATTTAGAGCACTTTGAAGTCTCTGCTAGAAAAGGAAACATCTTCATGTAAAAAGTAGATAGAATCGTTCTCAGAAAGTGCTTAGTGACGTGTGTGTTCAACTCACAGAGTTTATCGTTTCTTTTGATAGAGCGTTTCTGAAACACCCTTCTTGTAGTAGCTGCAAGTGGATATTTGGACCTATTTGAGGCCTTCTTTGGAAACGGGATTTCTTCATGTAACTCTAGATTGAAGAATTTTCAGAAACTCCTTTGTGATGTGTGCATTCAATTCAAAGAGTGAAACCTCCCTTTTCACAGAGCAGTTTTGAAACACTGTTTTTGTAGGATTTCCAAGGGGATATTTATAGCGCATTGAGCCTATGGCAGAAAAAGAAACATCTTCCTATAAAAACTAGACAGAATAATTCTCAGAATCTGCTTTGCGATGTGTGCGTTCAACCCACAGATTAAAACTTTTCTTTTGATAGAACAGTTTTGAAACACTCTTTTTGTAGTATTTGCATGTGTATATTTAGAGCGCATTGAAGCCCACAGTAGAAAAGGAAATAACTTCACCTAAAACCTAGACAGAAGCAATCTCAGAAACTACTTTGTGATGTGTACATTCAACTCACAGAGTGGAACTTTCCTCTTTATAGAGCAGTGTTGAAACACTCTTTTTGTAGAAACTGCAAGTGGATATTTGGACCTCTTTGAGGCCTTCGTTGGAAACGGGATTTCTTCCTATAACCCTAGACAGAAGAATTTTCAGAAACCTCATTGTGATGTGTGCGTTCATCTCACAGAGTGGAGTCTTCCGTTTGATAGAGAAGTTTTGAAACCCTGTTCTTGTAGGATTTCCAAGTGGATATTTAGACCACTTTGAAGCCTATGATAGAAAAGGAAACATCTTCATGGAAAACATAGATAGAATCATTCTCAGAAACAACTTTGTGATGTGTGCGTTGAACTCACCGTCTTTAACCTTTCTTTTGGTAGAGAAGTTTTGAAACACTCTCTTTGTAAAGTCTACAAGTGGATATTTTGAGCCCTTGGAGGCATTCTTTGGAAAAGGGAATGTCTTCACATAAAAGGCAGACAGAAGTGTTCTCAGAAACTGCTTTGTGATGTCTGTGTTCAACTCACAGAGTTTAACATTTCCTTTGAGAGAGCGGTTTAGTAACACTCTCTTTGTAGAATTTGGAAGTGTATACTAAGAGCGCTTTGAGGCCTATGGTAGAAAAGGAAATATCTTTCCATAAAAGCTAGACAGAAGCAATCTCAGAAACTCCTTTGTGATGTCTGCATTCAACTCACCGAGTGGAACATTCCTCTTGATAGAGCAGTTTGGAAACACTCTTTCTGTAGAATCAGCTTGTTTGTATTTGGACCTCCTTGAGGCCTTCGTTGGAAACGGGTTTTCATCTTATAAACCCAGACAGAAGAATTCTCAGAGTCTTCTTTGTGATGTGTGCTTTCAACTCACCGAGATAAAGATTTCTCTTGATAGAGCAATTTGGAAACACTCTTTTTGTAGAATTTGCAAGGGTACATTGAGAGCGCTTTCAGGCCTATGGTAGAAAAGGGAATATCTTTCCATAAAAGGTAGACAGAAGCAATCTCAGAAACTACTTTGTGATGTGTGCATTCAACTCACCGAGTGCAACATTCCTCTTGACCGAGCAGTTTGGAAACATTGTTTCTGTAGAATCTGCAAGTGGATATTTGGACCTCTTTGAGGCCTTCGTTGGAAACGGGATTTCTTCCTATAAACCCAGACAGAAGAATTCTCAGAGACTTCTTTGTGATGTGTGAATTCAACTCACAGTGTGGATCCTTCCTTTTGATAGAGCAGTTTTGAAACACTGTTTTTGTAGTATTTCCAAGCGGATATTTGGAACGCCTTGAAGCGTATGGTAGAAAAGGAAATATCTTCCCATAAAACCTAGACAGAACCAATCTCAGAAACGACTTTGTGATGTCTGCATTCAACTCACAGAGTTGAACATTTCTCTGGATAGAGCAGTTTTGAAACCCTCTTTCTGAAGGATCTGCAAGTGGATATTTGGAACTCCTTTGGGTCTTCGTTGGTAACGGGATTTCTTCGTACCAATCTAGACAGAAGAATTCTCCGAAACTTCTTTGGTTGTGTGCATTCAAGTCACAGAGTGGAACCTTCCTTTGGATAGAGCAGTTTGAAACGCTCTGGTTGTAGTATTTCCAAGCGGATATTAGAGCGCCTTGAAGCCTATGGTAGAAAAGGAAATATCTTCCCATAAAACCTAGACGGAAGCAATCTCAGAAACTACTGTGTGATGGCTGCATTCCACACACACGGTGGAACATTTCTCTTGATAGAGCAGTTTTGAAACACTCTTTCTGTAGAATCTGCAAGTGGATAATTGGACCGCCTTGAGGCCTTCGTTGGAAACGGGATTTCTTCATGTTACTCTAGACAGAAGAATTCTCAAACACTGCTATGTGATGTTTGCATTCAAGTCACAGAGTGCAACATTCCTCTTGATAGAGCAGTTGGGAAACACTCCTTTTGTAGAATTTGCAATGGGATATTTGGACTTCTTTGAGGCCTTCGTTGGAAACGGGATTTCTTCGTATGAATCTAGACAGAAGAATTCTCAGAAACTTCCTTGTGATGTGTGCATTCAACTCAGCGAGTGGCACCTTCCTTTGGATACAGCAGTTTTGAAACACTGTTTTTGTACTATTTCCAAGCGGATATTTAGAGCGCCTTGAAGCCTATGCTAGAAATGGAAATATCTCCCCATAAAACCAAGACAGAAGCAATCTCAGAAACTAATGTGTGATGGCTGCATTCCACACACACGGTGGACCATTTCTCTTGATAGAGCAGTTTTGAAACACTCTTTCTGTAGAATCTGCAAGTGGATAATTGGACCTCCTAGAGGCCTTCGTTGGAAACGGGATTTCTTCATCTAAACCTACAGAGAAGAATTCTCAGTAACTTCTTCGGATGTGTGCATTCGACTCACAGAATGGAACATTCCCTTTGATAGAGCAGTTTTGAGACACCGTTTTTGTAGAATTCCCAAGTGGATATTTAGAGCACTTTGAAGTCTCTGCTAGAAAAGGAAACATCTTCATGTAAAAAGTAGATAGAATCGTTCTCAGAAAGTGCTTAGTGACGTGTGTGTTCAACTCACAGAGTTTAACGTTTCTTTTGATAGAGCGTTTCTGAAACACCCTTCTTGTAGTAGCTGCAAGTGGATATTTGGACCTATTTGAGGCCTTCTTTGGAAACGGGATTTCTTCATGTAACTCTAGATTGATGAATTTTCAGAAACTCCTTTGTGATGTGTGCATTCAATTCAAAGAGTGAAACCTCCCTTTTCACAGAGCAGTTTTGAAACACTGTTTTTGTAGGATTTCCAAGGGGATATTTATAGCGCATTGATCCTATGGCAGAAAAAGAAACATCTTCCTATAAAAACTAGACAGAATAATTCTCAGAATCTGCTTTGCGATGTGTGCGTTCAACTCACAGAGTAAAACTTTTCTTTTGATAGAGCAGTTTTGAAACACTCTTTTTGTAGTATTTGCATGTGTATATTTAGAGCGCATTGAAGCCCACAGTAGAAAAGGAAATAACTTCACCTAAAACCTAGACAGAAGCAATCTCAGAAACTACTTTGTGATGTGTACATTCAACTCACAGAGTGGAACTTTCCTCTTTATAGAGCAGTGTTGAAACACTCTTTTTGTAGAAACTGCAAGTGGATATTTGGACCTCTTTGAGGCCTTCGTTGGAAACGGGATTTCTTCCTATAACCCTAGACAGAAGAATTTTCAGAAACCTCATTGTGATGTGTGCGTTCATCTCACAGAGTGGAGTCTTCCGTTTGATAGAGAAGCTTTGAAACCCTGTTCTTGTAGGATTTCCAAGTGGATATTTAGACCACTTTGAAGCCTATGATAGAAAAGGAAACATCTTCATGGAAAACATAGATAGAATCATTGTCAGAAACAACTTTGTGATGTGTGCGTTGAACTCACCGTCTTTAACCTTTCTTTTGGTAGAGAAGTTTTGAAACACTCTCTTTGTAAAGTCTACAAGTGGATATTTTGAGCCCTTGGAGGCATTCTTTGGAAAAGGGGATGTCTTCACATAAAAGGCAGACAGAAGTGTTCTCAGAAACTGCTTTGTGATGTCGGTGTTCAACTCACAGAGTTTAACATTTCCTTTGAGAGAGCAGTTTAGTAACACTCTCTTTGTAGAATTTGGAAGTGTATACTAAGAGCGCTTTGAGGCCTATGGTAGAAAAGGAAATATCTTTCCATAAAAGCTAGACAGAAGCAATCTCAGAAACTCCTTTGTGATGTCTGCATTCAACTCACCGAGTGGAACATTCCTCTTGATAGAGCAGTTTGGAAACACTCTTTTTGTAGGATCAGCTTGTTTGTATTTGGACCTCCTTGAGGCCTTCGTTGGAAACGGGTTTTCATCTTATAAACCCAGACAGAAGAATTCTCAGAGTCTTCTTTGTGATGTGTGCTTTCAACTCACCGAGATAAAGATTTCTCTTGATAGAGCAATTTGGAAACACTCTTTTTGTAGAATTTGCAAGGGTACATTGAGAGCGCTTTCAGGCCTATGGTAGAAAAGGGAATATCTTTCCATCAAAGGTAGACAGAAGCAATCTCAGAAACTACTTTGTGATGTGTGCATTCAACTCACCGAGTGCAACATTCCTCTTGACCGAGCAGTTTGGAAACATTGTTTCTGTAGAATCTGCAAGTGGATATATGGACCGCTTTGAGGCCTTCGTTGGAAACGGGATTTCTTCCTATAAACCCAGACAGAAGAATTCTCAGAGATTTCTTTGTGATGTGTGAATTCAACTCACAGTGTGGATCCTTCCTTTTGATAGAGCAGTTTTGAAACACTGTTTTTGTAGTATTTCCAAGCGGATATTTGGAACGCCTTGAAGCGTAAGGTAGAAAAGGAAATATCTTCCCATAAAACCTAGACAGAACCCATCTCAGAAACGACTTTGTGATGTCTGCATTCAACTCACAGAGTTGAACATTTCTCTTGATAGAGCAGTTTTGAAACCCTCTTTCTGAAGGAGCTGCAAGTGGATATTTGGAACTCCTTTGGGTCTTCGTTGGAAACGGGATTTCTTCGTATAAATCCAGACAGAAGAATTCTCCGAAACTTCTTTGGTTGTGTGCATTCAAGTCACAGAGTGGAACCTTCCTTTGGATAGAGCAGTTTGAAACGCTGTGGTTGTAGTATTTCCAAGCGGATATTAGAGCGCCTTGAAGCCTATGGTAGAAAAGGAAATATCTTCCCATAAAACCTAGACGGAAGCAATCTCAGAAACTACTGTGTGATGGCTGCATTCCACACACACGGTGGAACATTTCTCTTGATAGAGCAGTTTTGAAACACTCTTTCTGTAGAATCTGCAAGTGGATAATTGGACCGCCTTGAGGCCTTCGTTGGAAACGGGATTTCTTCATGTTACTCTAGACAGAAGAATTCTCAAACACTGCTATGTGATGTTTGCATTCAAGTCACAGAGTGCAACATTCCTCTTGATAGAGCAGTTGGGAAACACTCCTTTTGTAGAATTTGCAATGGGATATTTGGACTTCTTTGAGGCCTTCGTTGGAAACGGGATTTCTTCGTATGAATCTAGACAGAAGAATTCTCAGAAACTTCCTTGTGATGTGTGCATTCAACTCAGTGAGTGGCACCTTCCTTTGGATACAGCAGTTTTGAAACACTGTTTTTGTAGTATTTCCAAGCGGATATTTAGAGCGCCTTGAAGCCTATGCTAGAAATGGAAATATCTCCCCATAAAACCAAGACAGAAGCAATCTCAGAAACTAATGTGTGATGGCTGCATTCCACACACACGGTGGACCATTTCTCTTGATAGAGCAGTTTTGAAACACTCTTTCTGTAGAATCTGCAAGTGGATAATTGGACCTCCTAGAGGCCTTCGTTGGAAACGGGATTTCTTCATCTAAACCTACAGAGAAGAATTCTCAGTAACTTCTTCGGATGTGTGCATTCGACTCACAGAATGGAACATTCCGTTTGATAGAGCAGTTTTGAGACACCGTTTTTGTAGAATTCCCAAGTGGATATTTACAGCACTTTGAAGTCTCTGCTAGAAAAGGAAACATCTTCATGTAAAAAGTAGATAGAATCGTTCTCAGAAAGTGCTTAGTGACGTGTGTGTTCAACTCACAGAGTTTAACGTTTCTTTTGATAGAGCGTTTCTGAAACACCCTTCTTGTAGTAGCTGCAAGTGGATATTTGGACCTATTTGAGGCCTTCTTTGGAAACGGGATTTCTTCATGTAACTCTAGATTGAAGAATTTTCAGAAACTCCTTTGTGATGTGTGCATTCAATTCAAAGAGTGAAACCTCCCTTTTCACAGAGCAGTTTTGAAACACTGTTTTTGTAGGATTTCCAAGGGGATATTTATAGCGCATTGAGCCTACGGCAGAAAAAGAAACATCTTCCTATAAAAACTAGACAGAATAATTCTCAGAATCTGCTTTGCGATGTGTGCGTTCAACCCACAGAGTAAAACTTTTCTTTTGATAGAGCAGTTTTGAAACACTCTTTTTGTAGTATTTGCATGTGTATATTTAGAGCGCATTGAAGCCCACAGTAGAAAAGGAAATAACTTCACCTAAAACCTAGACAGAAGCAATCTCAGAAACTACTTTGTGATGTGTACATTCAACTCACAGAGTGGAACTTTCCTCTTTATAGAGCAGTGTTGAAACACTCTTTTTGTAGAAACTGCAAGTGGATATTTGGACCTCTTTGAGGCCTTCGTTGGAAAGGGGATTTCTTCCTATAACCCTAGACAGAAGAATTTTCAGAAACCTCATTGTGATGTGTGCGTTCATCTCACAGAGTGGAGTCTTCCGTTTGATAGAGAAGCTTTGAAACCCTGTTCTTGTAGGATTTCCAGGTGGATATTTAGACCACTTGGAAGCCTATGATAGAAAAGGAAACATCTTCATGGAAAACATAGATAGAATCATTGTCAGAAACAACTTTGTGATGTGTGCGTTGAACTCACCGTCTTTAACCTTTCTTTTGGTAGAGAAGTTTTGAAACACTCTCTTTGTAAAGTCTACAAGTGGATATTTTGAGCCCTTGGAGGCATTCTTTGGAAAAGGGAATGTCTTCACATAAAAGGCAGACAGAAGTGTTCTCAGAAACTGCTTTGTGATGTCTGTGTTTAACTCACAGAGTTTAACATTTCCTTTGAGAGAGCGGTTTAGTAACACTCTCTTTGTAGAATTTGGAAGTGTATACTAAGAGCGCTTTGAGGCCTATGGTAGAAAAGGAAATATCTTTCCATAAAAGCTAGACAGAAGCAATCTCAGAAACTCCTTTGTGATGTCTGCATTCAACTCACCGAGTGGAACATTCCTCTTGATAGAGCAGTTTGGAAACACTCTTTCTGTAGAATCAGCTTGTTTGTATTTGGACCTCCTTGAGGCCTTCGTTGGAAACGGGTTTTCATCTTATAAACCCAGACAGAAGAATTCTCAGAGTCTTCTTTGTGATGTGTGCTTTCAACTCACCGAGATAAAGATTTCTCTTGATAGAGCAATTTGGAAACACTCTTTTTGTAGAATTTGCAAGGGTACATTGAGAGCGCTTTCAGGCCTATGGTAGAAAAGGGAATATCTTTCCATAAAAGGTAGACAGAAGCAATCTCAGAAACTACTTTGTGATGTGTGCATTCAACTCACCGAGTGCAACATTCCTCTTGATAGAGCAGTTTGGAAACATTGTTTCTGTAGAATCTGCAAGTGGATATATGGACCGCTTTGAGGCCTTCGTTGGAAACGGGATTTCTTCCTATAAACCCAGACAGAAGAATTCTCAGAGATTTCTTTGTGATGTGTGAATTCAACTCACAGTGTGGATCCTTCCTTTTGATAGAGCAGTTTTGAAACACCGCTTTTGTAGTATTTCCAAGCGGATATTTGGAACGCCTTGAAGCGTATGGTAGAAAAGGAAATATCTTCCCATAAAACCTAGACAGAACCCATCTCAGAAACGACTTTGTGATGTCTGCATTCAACTCACAGAGTTGAACATTTCTCTTGATAGAGCAGTTTTGAAACCCTCTTTCTGAAGGATCTGCAAGTGGATATTTGGAACTCCTTTGGGTCTTCGTTGGAAACGGGATTTCTTCGTATAAATCCAGACAGAAGAATTCTCCGAAACTTCTTTGGTTGTGTGCATTCAAGTCACAGAGTGGAACCTTCCTTTGGATAGAGCAGTTTGAAACGCTGTGGTTGTAGTATTTCCAAGCGGATATTAGAGCGCCTTGAGGCCTATGGTAGAAAAGGAAATATCTTCCCATAAAACCTAGACGGAAGCAATCTCAGAAACTACTGTGAGATGGCTGCATTCCACACACACGGTGGAACATTTCTCTTGATAGAGCAGTTTTGAAACACTCTTTCTGTAGAATCTGCAAGTGGATAATTGGACCGCCTTGAGGCCTTCGTTGGAAACGGGATTTCTTCATGTTACTCTAGACAGAAGAATTCTCAAACACTGCTGTGTGATGTTTGCATTCAAGTCACAGAGTGCAACATTCCTCTTGATAGAGCAGTTGGGAAACACTCCTTTTGTAGAATTTGCAATGGGATATTTGGACTTCTTTGAGGCCTTCGTTGGAAACGGGATTTCTTCGTATGAATCTAGACAGAAGAATTCTCAGAAACTTCCTTGTGATGTGTGCATTCAACTCAGCGAGTGGCACCTTCCTTTGGATACAGCAGTTTTGAAACACTGTTTTTGTAGTATTTCCAAGCGGATATTTAGAGCGCCTTGAAGCCTATGCTAGAAATGGAAATATCTCCCCATAAAACCAAGACAGAAGCAATCTCAGAAACTAATGTGTGATGGCTGCATTCCACACACACGGTGGACCATTTCTCTTGATAGAGCAGTTTTGAAACACTCTTTCTGTAGAATCTGCAAGTGGATAATTGGACCTCCTAGAGGCCTTCGTTGGAAACGGGATTTCTTCATCTAAACCTACAGAGAAGAATTCTCAGTAACTTCTTCGGATGTGTGCATTCGACTCACAGAATGGAACATTCCGTTTGATAGAGCAGTTTTGAGACACCGTTTTTGTAGAATTCCCAAGTGGATATTTAGAGCACTTTGAAGTCTCTGCTAGAAAAGGAAACATCTTCATGTAAAAAGTAGATAGAATCGTTCGCAGAAAGTGCTTAGTGACGTGTGCGTTCAACTCACAGAGTTTAACGTTTCTTTTGATAGAGCGTTTCTGAAACACCCTTCTTGTAGTAGCTGCAAGTGGATATTTGGACCTATTTGAGGCCTTCTTTGGAAACGGGATTTCTTCATGTAACTCTAGTTTGAAGAATTTTCAGAAACTCCTTTGTGATGTGTGCATTCAATTCAAAGAGTGAAACCTCCCTTTTCACAGAGCAGTTTTGAAACACTGTTTTTGTAGGATTTCCAAGGGGATATTTATAGCGCATTGAGCCTATGGCAGAAAAAGAAACATCTTCCTATAAAAACTAGACAGAATAATTCTCAGAATCTGCTTTGCGATGTGTGCGTTCAACCCACAGAGTAAAACTTTTCTTTTGATAGAGCAGTTTTGAAACACTCTTTTTGTAGTATTTGCATGTGTATATTTAGAGCGCATTGAAGCCCACAGTAGAAAAGGAAATAACTTCACCTAAAACCTAGACAGAAGCAATCTCAGAAACTACTTTGTGATGTGTACATTCAACTCACAGAGTGGAACTTTCCTCTTTATAGAGCAGTGTTGAAACACTCTTTTTGTAGAAACTGCAAGTGGATATTTGGACCTCTTTCAGGCCTTCGTTGGAAACGGGATTTCTTCCTATAACCCTAGACAGAAGAATTTTCAGAAACCTCATTGTGATGTGTGCGTTCATCTCACAGAGTGGAGTCTTCCGTTTGATAGAGAAGTTTTGAAACCCTGTTCTTGTAGGATTTCCAAGTGGATATTTAGACCACTTTGAAGCCTATGATAGAAAAGGAAACATCTTCATGGAAAACATAGATAGAATCATTCTCAGAAACAACTTTGTGATGTGTGCGTTGAACTCACCGTCTTTAACCTTTCTTTTGGTAGAGAAGTTTTGAAACACTCTCTTTGTAAAGTCTACAAGTGGATATTTTGAGCCCTTGGAGGCATTCTTTGGAAAAGGGAATGTCTTCACATAAAAGGCAGACAGAAGTGTTCTCAGAAACTGCTTTGTGATGTCTGTGTTCAACTCACAGAGTTTAACATTTCCTTTGAGAGAGCGGTTTAGTAACACTCTCTTTGTAGAATTTGGAAGTGTATACTAAGAGCGCTTTGAGGCCTATGGTAGAAAAGGAAATATCTTTCCATAAAAGCTAGACAGAAGCAATCTCAGAAACTCCTTTGTGATGTCTGCATTCAACTCACCGAGTGGAACATTCCTCTTGATAGAGCAGTTTGGAAACACTCTTTCTGTAGAATCAGCTTGTTTGTATTTGGACCTCCTTGAGGCCTTCGTTGGAAACGGGTTTTCATCTTATAAACCCAGACAGAAGAATTCTCAGAGTCTTCTTTGTGATGTGTGCTTTCAACTCACCGAGATAAAGATTTCTCTTGATAGAGCAATTTGGAAACACTCTTTTTGTAGAATTTGCAAGGGTACATTGAGAGCGCTTTCAGGCCTATGGTAGAAAAGGGAATATCTTTCCATAAAAGGTAGACAGAAGCAATCTCAGAAACTACTTTGTGATGTGTGCATTCAACTCACCGAGTGCAACATTCCTCTTGATAGAGCAGTTTGGAAACATTGTTTCTGTAGAATCTGCAAGTGGATATATGGACCGCTTTGAGGCCTTCGTTGGAAACGGGATTTCTTCCTATAAACCCAGACAGAAGAATTCTCAGAGACTTCTTTGTGATGTGTGAATTCAACTCACAGTGTGGATCCTTCCTTTTGATAGAGCAGTTTTGAAACACTGTTTTTGTAGTATTTCCAAGCGGATATTTGGAACGCCTTGAAGCGTATGGTAGAAAAGGAAATATCTTCCCATAAAACCTAGACAGAACCAATCTCAGAAACGACTTTGTGATGTCTGCATTCAACTCACAGAGTTGAACATTTCTCTTGATAGAGCAGTTTTGAAACCCTCTTTCTGAAGGATCTGCAAGTGGATATTTGGAACTCCTTTGGGTCTTCGTTGGAAACGGGATTTCTTCGTATAAATCCAGACAGAAGAATTCTCCGAAACTTCTTTGGTTGTGTGCATTCAAGTCACAGAGTGGAACCTTCCTTTGGATAGAGCATTTTGAAACGCTCTGGTTGTAGTATTTCCAAGCGGATATTAGAGAGCCTTGAAGCCTATGGTAGAAAAGGAAATATCTTCCCATAAAACCTAGACGGAAGCAATCTCAGAAACTACTGTGTGATGGCTGCATTCCACACACACGGTGGAACATTTCTCTTGATAGAGCAGTTTTGAAACACTCTTTCTGTAGAATCTGCAAGTGGATAATTGGACCGCCTTGAGGCCTTCGTTGGAAACGGGATTTCTTCATGTTACTCTAGACAGAGAATTCTCAAACACTGCTATGTGATGTTTGCATGCAAGTCACAGAGTGCAACATTCCTCTTGATAGAGCAGTTGGGAAACACTGCTTTTGTGGAATTTGCAATGGGATATTTGGACTTCTTTGAGGCCTTCGTTGGAAACGGGATTTCTTCGTATGAATCTAGACAGAAGAATTCTCAGAAACTTCCTTGTGATGTGTGCATTCAACTCAGCGAGTGGCACCTTCCTTTGGATACAGCAGTTTTGAAACACTGTTTTTGTAGTATTTCCAAGCGGATATTTAGAGCGCCTTGAAGCCTATGCTAGAAATGGAAATATCTCCCCATAAAACCAAGACAGAAGCAATCTCAGAAACTAATGTGTGATGGCTGCATTCCACACACACGGTGGACCATTTCTCTTGATAGAGCAGTTTTGAAACACTCTTTCTGTAGAATCTGCAAGTGGATAATTGGACCTCCTAGAGGCCTTCGTTGGAAACGGGATTTCTTCATCTAAACCTACAGAGAAGAATTCTCAGTAACTTCTTCGGATGTGTGCATTCGACTCACAGAATGGAACATTCCGTTTGATAGAGCAGTTTTGAGACACCGTTTTTGTAGAATTCCCAAGTGGATATTTAGAGCACTTTGAAGTCTCTGCAAGAAAAGGAAACATCTTCATGTAAAAAGTAGATAGAATCGTTCTCAGAAAGTGCTTAGTGACGTGTGCGTTCAACTCACAGAGTTTAACGTTTCTTTTGATAGAGCGTTTCTGAAACACCCTTCTTGTAGTAGCTGCAAGTGGATATTTGGACCTATTTGAGGCCTTCTTTGGAAACGGGATTTCTTCATGTAACTCTAGATTGAAGAATTTTCAGAAACTCCTTTGTGAAGTGTGCATTCAATTCAAAGAGTGAAACCTCCCTTTTCACAGAGCAGTTTTGAAACACTGTTTTTGTAGGATTTCCAAGGGGATATTTATAGCGCATTGATCCTATGGCAGAAAAAGAAACATCTTCCTATAAAAACTAGACAGAATAATTCTCAGAATCTGCTTTGCGATGTGTGCGTTCAACCCACAGAGTAAAACTTTTCTTTTGATAGAGCAGTTTTGAAACACTCTTTTTGTAGTATTTGCATGTGTATATTTAGAGCGCATTGAAGCCCAAAGTAGAAAAGGAAATAACTTCACCTAAAACCTAGACAGAAGCAATCTCAGAAACTACTTTGTGATGTGTACATTCAACTCACAGAGTGGAACGTTCCCCTTTACAGAGCAGTGTTGAAACACTCTTTTTGTAGAAACTGCAGGTGGATATTTGGAACTCTTTGAGGCCTTCGTTGGAAACGGGATTTCTTCCTATAACCCTAGACAGAAGAATTTTCAGAAACCTCATTGTGATGTGTGCGTTCATCTCACAGAGTGGAGTCTTCCGTTTGATAGAGAAGTTTTGAAACCCTGTTCTTGTAGGATTTCCAAGTGGATATTTAGACCACTTTGAAGCCTATGATAGAAAAGGAAACATCTTCATGGAAACATAGATAGAATCATTCTCAGAAACAACTTTGTGATGTGTGCGTTGAACTCACAGTTTTTAACCTTTCTTTTGGTAGAGAAGTTTTGAAACACTCTCTTTGTAAAGTCTACAAGTGGATATTTTGGGCCCTTGGAGGCATTCTTTGGAAAAGGGAATGTCTTCACATAAAAGGCAGACAGAAGTGTTCTCAGAAACTGCTTTGTGATGTCTGTGTTCAACTCACAGAGTTTAACATTTCCTTTGATATAGCAGTTTAGTAACACTCTCTTTGTAGAATTTGGAAGTGTATACTAAGAGCGCTTTGAGGCCTATGGTAGAAAAGGAAATATCTTTCCATAAAAGCTAGACAGAAGCAATCTCAGAAACTCCTTTGTGATGTCTGCATTCAACTCACCGAGTGGAACATTTCTCTTGATAGAACAGTTTGGAAACACTCTTTCTTTAGAATCAGCTTGTTTGTATTTGGACCTCCTTGAGGCCTTCGTTGGAAACGGGTTTTCATCTTATAAACCCAGACAGAAGAATTCTCAGAGTCTTCTTTGTGATGTGTGCTTTCAACTCACCGAGATAAAGATTTCTCTTGATACAGCAATTTGGAAACACTCTTTTTGTACAATTTGCAAGGGTACATTGAGAGCGCTTTCAGGCCTATGGTAGAAAAGGGAATATCTTTCCATCAAAGGTAGACAGAAGCAATCTCAGAAACTACTTTGTGATGTGTGCATTCAACTCACCGAGTGCAACATTCCTCTTGACCGAGCAGTTTGGAAACATTGTTTCTGTAGAATCTGCAAGTGGATATTTGGACCTCTTTGAGGCCTTCGATTGGAAACGGGATTTCTTCCTATAAACCCAGACAGAAGAATTCTCAGAGACTTCTTTGTGATGTGTGAATTCAACTCACAGTGTGGATCCTTCCTTTTGATAGAGCAGTTTTGAAACACTGTTTTTGTAGTATTTCCAAGCGGATATTTGGAACGCCTTGAAGCGTATGGTAGAAAAGGAAATATCTTCCCATAAAACCTAGACAGAACCAATCTCAGAAACGACTTTGTGATGTCTGCATTCAACTCACAGAGTTGAACATTTCTCTTGATAGAGCAGTTTTGAAACCCTCTTTCTGAAGGATCTGCAAGTGGATATTTGGAACTCCTTTGGGTCTTCGTTGGAAACTGGATTTCTTCGTATAAATCGAGACAGAAGAATTCTCCGAAACTTCTTTGGTTGTGTGCATTCAAGTCACAGAGTGGAACCTTCCTTTGGATAGAGCAGTTTGAAACGCTGTGGTTGTAGTATTTCCAAGCGGATATTAGAGCACCTTGAGGCCTATGGTAGAAAAGGAAATATCTTCCCATAAAACCTAGACGGAAGCAATCTCAGAAACTACTGTGTGATGGCTGCATTCCACACACACGGTGGAACATTTCTCTTGATAGAGCAGTTTTGAAACACTCTTTCTGTAGAATCTGCAAGTGGATAATTGGACCGCCTTGAGGCCTTCGTTGGAAACGGGATTTCTTCCTGTTACTCTAGATAGAAGAATTCTCAGTAACTTCTTCGGATGTGTGCATTCGACTCACAGAATGGAACATTCCCTTTGATAGAGCAGTTTTGAGACACCGTTTTTGTAGAATTCCCAAGTGGATATTTAGAGCACTTTGAAGTCTCTGCTAGAAAAGGAAACATCTTCATGTAAAAAGTAGATAGAATCGTTCTCAGAAAGTGCTTAGTGACGTGTGCGTTCAACTCACAGAGTTTAACGTTTCTTTTGATAGAGCGTTTCTGAAACACCCTTCTTGTAGTAGCTGCAAGTGGATATTTGGACCTATTTGAGGCCTTCTTTCGAAACGGGATTTCTTCATGTAACTCTAGTTTGAAGAATTTTCAGAAACTCCTTTGTGATGTGTGCATTCAATTCAAAGAGTGAAACCTCCCTTTTCACAGAGCAGTTTTGAAAAACTGTTTTTGTAGGATTTCCAAGGGGATATTTATAGCGCATTGAGCCTACGGCAGAAAAAGAAACATCTTCCTATAAAAACTAGACAGAATAATTCTCAGAATCTGCTTTGCGATGTGTGCGTTCAACCCACAGAGTAAAACTTTTCTTTTGATAGAGCAGTTTTGAAACACTCTTTTTGTAGTATTTGCATGTGTATATTTAGAGCGCATTGAAGCCCACAGTAGAAAAGGAAATAACTTCACCTAAAACCTAGACAGAAGCAATCTCAGAAACTACTTTGTGATGTGTACATTCAACTCACAGAGTGGAACTTTCCTCTTTATAGAGCAGTGTTGAAACACTCTTTTTGTAGAAACTGCAAGTGGATATTTGGACCTCTTTGAGGCCTTCGTTGGAAACGGGATTTCTTCCTATAACCCTAGACAGAAGAATTTTCAGAAACCTCATTGTGATGTGTGCGTTCATCTCACAGAGTGGAGTCTTCCGTTTGATAGAGAAGCTTTGAAACCCTGTTCTTGTAGGATTTCCAAGTGGATATTTAGACCACTTTGAAGCCTATGATAGAAAAGGAAACATCTTCATGGAAAACATAGATAGAATCATTCTCAGAAACAACTTTGTGATGTGTGCGTTGAACTCACCGTCTTTAACCTTTCTTTTGGTAGAGAAGTTTTGAAACACTCTCTTTGTAAAGTCTACAAGTGGATATTTTGAGCCCTTGGAGGCATTCTTTGGAAAAGGGAATGTCTTCACATAAAAGGCAGACAGAAGTGTTCTCAGAAACTGCTTTGTGATGTCTGTGTTCAACTCACAGAGTTTAACATTTCCTTTGAGAGAGCGGTTTAGTAACACTCTCTTTGTAGAATTTGGAAGTGTATACTAAGAGCGCTTTGAGGCCTATGGTAGAAAAGGAAATATCTTTCCATAAAAGCTAGACAGAAGCAATCTCAGAAACTCCTTTGTGATGTCTGCATTCAACTCACCGAGTGGAACATTCCTCTTGATAGAGCAGTTTGGAAACACTCTTTCTGTAGAATCAGCTTGTTTGTATTTGGACCTCCTTGAGGCCTTCGTTGGAAACGGGTTTTCATCTTATAAACCCAGACAGAAGAATTCTCAGAGTCTTCTTTGTGATGTGTGCTTTCAACTCACCGAGATAAAGATTTCTCTTGATAGAGCAATTTGGAAACACTCTTTTTGTAGAATTTGCAAGGGTACATTGAGAGCGCTTTCAGGCCTATGGTAGAAAAGGGAATATCTTTCCATAAAAGGTAGACAGAAGCAATCTCAGAAACTACTTTGTGATGTGTGCATTCAACTCACCGAGTGCAACATTCCTCTTGATAGAGCAGTTTGGAAACATTGTTTCTGTAGAATCTGCAAGTGGATATATGGACCGCTTTGAGGCCTTCGTTGGAAACGGGATTTCTTCCTATAAACCCAGACAGAAGAATTCTCAGAGATTTCTTTGTGATGTGTGAATTCAACTCACAGTGTGGATCCTTCCTTTTGATAGAGCAGTTTTGAAACACTGTTTTTGTAGTATTTCCAAGCGGATATTTGGAACGCCTTGAAGCGTAAGGTAGAAAAGGAAATATCTTCCCATAAAACCTAGACAGAACCCATCTCAGAAACGACTTTGTGATGTCTGCATTCAACTCACAGAGTTGAACATTTCTCTTGATAGAGCAGTTTTGAAACCCTCTTTCTGAAGGAGCTGCAAGTGGATATTTGGAACTCCTTTGGGTCTTCGTTGGAAACGGGATTTCTTCGTATAAATCCAGACAGAAGAATTCTCCGAAACTTCTTTGGTTGTGTGCATTCAAGTCACAGAGTGGAACCTTCCTTTGGATAGAGCAGTTTGAAACGCTGTGGTTGTAGTATTTCCAAGCGGATATTAGAGCGCCTTGAAGCCTATGGTAGAAAAGGAAATATCTTCCCATAAAACCTAGACGGAAGCAATCTCAGAAACTACTGTGTGATGGCTGCATTCCACACACACGGTGGAACATTTCTCTTGATAGAGCAGTTTTGAAACACTCTTTCTGTAGAATCTGCAAGTGGATAATTGGACCGCCTTGAGGCCTTCGTTGGAAACGGGATTTCTTCATGTTACTCTAGACAGAAGAATTCTCAAACACTGCTATGTGATGTTTGCATTCAAGTCACAGAGTGCAACATTCCTCTTGATAGAGCAGTTGGGAAACACTCCTTTTGTAGAATTTGCAATGGGATATTTGGACTTCTTTGAGGCCTTCGTTGGAAACGGGATTTCTTCGTATGAATCTAGACAGAAGAATTCTCAGAAACTTCCTTGTGATGTGTGTATTCAACTCAGCGAGTGGCACCTTCCTTTGGATACAGCAGTTTTGAAACACTGTTTTTGTAGTATTTCCAAGCGGATATTTAGAGCGCCTTGAAGCCTATGCTAGAAATGGAAATATCTCCCCATAAAACCAAGACAGAAGCAATCTCAGAAACTAATGTGTGATGGCTGCATTCCACACACACGGTGGACCATTTCTCTTGATAGAGCAGTTTTGAAACACTCTTTCTGTAGAATCTGCAAGTGGATAATTGGACCTCCTAGAGGCCTTCGTTGGAAACGGGATTTCTTCATCTAAACCTACAGAGAAGAATTCTCAGTAACTTCTTCGGATGTGTGCATTCGACTAACAGAATGGAACATTCCCTTTGATAGAGCAGTTTTGAGACACCGTTTTTGTAGAATTCCCAAGTGGATATTTAGAGCACTTTGAAGTCTCTGCTAGAAAAGGAAACATCTTCATGTAAAAAGTAGATAGAATCGTTCTCAGAAAGTGCTTAGTGACGTGTGTGTTCAACTCACAGAGTTTAACGTTTCTTTTGATAGAGCGTTTCTGAAACACCCTTCTTGTAGTAGCTGCAAGTGGATATTTGGACCTATTTGAGGCCTTCTTTGGAAACGGGATTTCTTCATGTAACTCTAGTTTGAAGAATTTTCAGAAACTCCTTTGTGATGTGTGCATTCAATTCAAAGAGTGAAACCTCCCTTTTCACAGAGCAGTTTTGAAACACTGTTTTTGTAGGATTTCCAAGGGGATATTTATAGCGCATTGAGCCTATGGCAGAAAAAGAAACATCTTCCTATAAAAACTAGACAGAATAATTCTCAGAATCTGCTTTGCGATGTGTGCGTTCAACTCACAGAGTAAAACTTTTCTTTTGATAGAGCAGTTTTGAAACACTCTTTTTGTAGTATTTGCATGTGTATATTTAGAGCGCATTGAAGCCCACAGTAGAAAAGGAAATAACTTCACCTAAAACCTAGACAGAAGCAATCTCAGAAACTACTTTGTGATGTGTACATTCAACTCACAGAGTGGAACTTTTCTCTTTATAGAGCAGTGTTGAAACACTCTTTTTGTAGAAACTGCAAGTGGATATTTGGACCTCTTTGAGGCCTTCGTTGGAAACGGGATTTCTTCCTATAACCCTAGACAGAAGAATTTTCAGAAACCTCATTGTGATGTGTGCGTTCATCTCACAGAGTGGAGTCTTCCGTTTGATAGAGAAGTTTTGAAACCCTGTTCTTGTAGGATTTCCAAGTGGATATTTAGACCACTTTGAAGCCTATGATAGAAAAGGAAACATCTTCATGGAAAACATAGATAGAATCATTCTCAGAAACAACTTTGTGATGTGTGCGTTGAACTCACCGTCTTTAACCTTTCTTTTGGTAGAGAAGTTTTGAAACACTCTCTTTGTAAAGTCTACAAGTGGATATTTTGAGCCCTTGGAGGCATTCTTTGGAAAAGGGAATGTCTTCACATAAAAGGCAGACAGAAGTGTTCTCAGAAACTGCTTTGTGATGTCTGTGTTCAACTCACAGAGTTTAACATTTCCTTTGAGAGAGCGGTTTAGTAACACTCTCTTTGTAGAATTTGGAAGTGTATACTAAGAGCGCTTTGAGGCCTATGGTAGAAAAGGAAATATCTTTCCATAAAAGCTAGACAGAAGCAATCTCAGAAACTCCTTTGTGATGTCTGCATTCAACTCACCGAGTGGAACATTCCTCTTGATAGAGCAGTTTGGAAACACTCTTTCTGTAGAATCAGCTTGTTTGTATTTGGACCTCCTTGAGGCCTTCGTTGGAAACGGGTTTTCATCTTATAAACCCAGACAGAAGAATTCTCAGAGTCTTCTTTGTGATGTGTGCTTTCAACTCACCGAGATAAAGATTTCTCTTGATAGAGCAATTTGGAAACACTCTTTTTGTAGAATTTGCAAGGGTACATTGAGAGCGCTTTCAGGCCTATGGTAGAAAAGGGAATATCTTTCCATAAAAGGTAGACAGAAGCAATCTCAGAAACTACTTTGTGATGTGTGCATTCAACTCACCGAGTGCAACATTCCTCTTGACTGAGCAGTTTGGAAACATTGTTTCTGTAGAATCTGCAAGTGGATATTTGGACCTCTTTGAGGCCTTCGTTGGAAACGGGATTTCTTCCTATAAACCCAGACAGAAGAATTCTCAGAGACTTCTTTGTGATGTGTGAATTCAACTCACAGTGTGGATCCTTCCTTTTGATAGAGCAGTTTTGAAACACTGTTTTTGTAGTATTTCCAAGCGGATATTTGGAACGCCTTGAAGCGTATGGTAGAAAAGGAAATATCTTCCCATAAAACCTAGACAGAACCAATCTCAGAAACGACTTTGTGATGTCTGCATTCAACTCACAGAGTTGAACATTTCTCTTGATAGAGCAGTTTTGAAACCCTCTTTCTGAAGCATCTGCAAGTGGATATTTGGAACTCATTTGGGTCTTCGTTGGAAACGGGATTTCTTCGTATAAATCTAGACAGAAGAATTCTCCGAAACTTCTTTGGTTGTGTGCATTCAAGTCACAGAGTGGAACCTTCCTTTGGATAGAGCAGTTTGAAACGCTGTGGTTGTAGTATTTCCAAGCGGATATTAGAGCGCCTTGAGGCCTATGGTAGAAAAGGAAATATCTTCCCATAAAACCTAGACGGAAGCAATCTCAGAAACTACTGTGTGATGGCTGCATTCCACACACACGGTGGAACATTTCTCTTGATAGAGCAGTTTTGAAACACTCTTTCTGTAGAATCTGCAAGTGGATAATTGGACCGCCTTGAGGCCTTCGTTGGAAACGGGATTTCTTCATGTTACTCTAGACAGAAGAATTCTCAAACACTGCTATATGATGTTTGCATGCAAGTCACAGAGTGCAACATTCCTCTTGATAGAGCAGTTGGGAAACACTCCTTTTGTAGAATTTGCAATGGGATATTTGGACTTCTTTGAGGCCTTCGTTGGAAACGGGATTTCTTCGTATGAATCTAGACAGAAGAATTCTCAGAAACTTCCTTGTGATGTGTGCATTCAACTCAGCGAGTGGCACCTTCCTTTGGATACAGCAGTTTTGAAACACTGTTTTTGTAGTATTTCCAAGCGGATATTTAGAGCGCCTTGAAGCCTATGCTAGAAATGGAAATATCTCCCCATAAAACCAAGACAGAAGCAATCTCAGAAACTAATGTGTGATGGCTGCATTCCACACACACGGTGGACCATTTCTCTTGATAGAGCAGTTTTGAAACACTCTTTCTGTAGAATCTGCAAGTGGATAATTGGACCTCCTAGAGGCCTTCGTTGGAAACGGGATTTCTTCATCTAAACCTACAGAGAAGAATTCTCAGTAACTTCTTCGGATGTGTGCATTCGACTCACAGAATGGAACATTCCCTTTGATAGAGCAGTTTTGAGACACCGTTTTTGTAGAATTCCCAAGTGGATATTTAGAGCACTTTGAAGTCTTTGCTAGAAAAGGAAACATCTTCATGTAAAAAGTAGATAGAATCGTTCTCAGAAAGTGCTTAGTGACGTGTGCGTTCAACTCACAGAGTTTAACGTTTCTTTTGATAGAGCGTTTCTGAAACACCCTTCTTGTAGTAGCTGCAAGTGGATATTTGTACCTATTTGAGGCCTTCTTTGGAAACGGGATTTCTTCATGTAACTCTAGATTGAAGAATTTTCAGAAACTCCTTTGTGATGTGTGCATTCAATTCAAAGAGTGAAACGTCCCTTTTCACAGAGCAGTTTTAAAACACTGTTTTTGTAGGATTTCCAAGGGGATATTTATAGCGCATTGAGCCTACGGCAGAAAAAGAAACATCTTCCTATAAAAACTAGACAGAATAATTCTCAGAATCTGCTTTGCGATGTGTGCGTTCAACCCACAGAGTAAAACTTTTCTTTTGATAGAGCAGTTTTGAAACACTCTTTTTGTAGTATTTGCATGTGTATATTTAGAGCGCATTGAAGCCCACAGTAGAAAAGGAAATAACTTCACCTAAAACCTAGACAGAAGCAATCTCAGAAACTACTTTGTGATGTGTACATTCAACTCACAGAGTGGAACTTTCCCCTTTACAGAGCAGTGTTGAAACACTCTTTTTGTAGAAACTGCTGGTGGATATTTGGACCTCTTTGAGGCCCTCGTTGGAAACGGGATTTCTTCCTATAACCCTAGACAGAAGAATTTTCAGAAACCTCATTGTGATGTGTGCGTTCATCTCACAGAGTGGAGTCTTCCGTTTGATAGAGAAGTTTTGAAACCCTGTTCTTGTAGGATCTCCAAGTGGATATTTAGAACACTTTGAAGCCTATGATAGAAAAGGAAACATCTTCATGGAAAACATAGATAGAATCATTCTCAGAAACAACTTTGTGATGTGTGCGTTGAACTCACCGTCTTTAACCTTTCTTTTGGTAGAGAAGTTTTGAAACACTCTCTTTGTAAAGTCTACAAGTGGATATTTTGAGCCCTTGGAGGCATTCTTTGGAAAAGGGAATGTCTTCACATAAAAGGCAGACAGAAGTGTTCTCAGAAACTGCTTTGTGATGTCTGTGTTCAACTCACAGAGTTTAACATTTCCTTTGAGAGAGCGGTTTAGTAACACTCTCTTTGTAGAATTTGGAAGTGTATACTAAGAGCGCTTTGAGGCCTATGGTAGAAAAGGAAATATCTTTCCATAAAAGCTAGACAGAAGCAATCTCAGAAACTCCTTTGTGATGTCTGCATTCAACTCACCGAGTGGAACATTCCTCTTGATAGAGCAGTTTGGAAACACTCTTTCTGTAGAATCAGCTTGTTTGTATTTGGACCTCCTTGAGGCCTTCGTTGGAAACGGGTTTTCATCTTATAAACCCAGACAGAAGAATTCTCAGAGTCTTCTTTGTGATGTGTGCTTTCAACTCACCGAGATAAAGATTTCTCTTGATAGAGCAATTTGGAAACACTCTTTTTGTAGAATTTGCAAGGGTACATTGAGAGCGCTTTCAGGCCTATGGTAGAAAAGGGAATATCTTTCCATAAAAGGTAGACAGAAGCAATCTCAGAAACTACTTTGTGATGTGTGCATTCAACTCACCGAGTGCAACATTCCTCTTGACCGAGCAGTTTGGAAACATTGTTTCTGTAGAATCTGCAAGTGGATATATGGACCGCTTTGAGGCCTTCGTTGGAAACGGGATTTCTTCCTATAAACCCAGACAGAAGAATTCTCAGTGATTTCTTTGTGATGTGTGAATTCAACTCACAGTGTGGATCCTTCCTTTTGATAGAGCAGTTTTGAAACACTGTTTTTGTAGTATTTCCAAGCGGATATTTGGAACGCCTTGAAGCGTATGGTAGAAAAGGAAATATCTTCCCATAAAACCTAGACAGAACCAATCTCAGAAACGACTTTGTGATGTCTGCATTCAACTCACAGAGTTGAACATTTCTCTTGATAGAGCAGTTTTGAAACCCTCTTTCTGAAGGATCTGCAAGTGGATATTTGGAACTCCTTTGGGTCTTCGTTGGAAACGGGATTTCTTCGTATAAATCTAGACAGAAGAATTCTCCGAAACTTCTTTGGTTGTGTGCATTCAACTCACAGAGTGGAACCTTCCTTTGGATAGAGCAGTTTGAAACGCTGTGGTTGTAGTATTTCCAAGCGGATATTAGAGCGCCTTGAAGCCTATGGTAGAAAAGGAAATATCTTCCCATAAAACCTAGACGGAAGCAATCTCAGAAACTACTGTGTGATGGCTGCATTCCACACACACGGTGGAACATTTCTCTTGATAGAGCAGTTTTGAAACACTCTTTCTGTAGAATCTGCAAGTGGATAATTGGACCGCCTTGAGGCCTTCGTTGGAAACGGGATTTCTTCATGTTACTCTAGACAGAAGAATTCTCAAACACTGCTATGTGATGTTTGCATGCAAGTCACAGAGTGCAACATTCCTCTTGATAGAGCAGTTGGGAAACACTCCTTTTGTAGAATTTGCAATGGGATATTTGGACTTCTTTGAGGCCTTCGTTGGAAACGGGATTTCTTCGTATGAATCTAGACAGAAGAATTCTCAGAAACTTCCTTGTGATGTGTGCATTCAACTCAGCGAGTGGCACCTTCCTTTGGATACAGCAGTTTTGAAACACTGTTTTTGTACTATTTCCAAGCGGATATTTAGAGCGCCTTGAAGCCTATGCTAGAAATGGAAATATCTCCCCATAAAACCAAGACAGAAGCAATCTCAGGAAACTAATGTGTGATGGCTGCATTCCACACACACGGTGGACCATTTCTCTTGATAGAGCAGTTTTGAAACACTCTTTCTGTAGAATCTGCAAGTGGATAATTGGACCTCCTAGAGGCCTTCGTTGGAAACGGGATTTCTTCATCTAAACCTACAGAGAAGAATTCTCAGTAACTTCTTCGGGATGTGTGCATTCGACTCACAGAATGGAACATTCCGTTTGATAGAGCAGTTTTGAGACACCGTTTTTGTAGAATTCCCAAGTGGATATTTAGAGCACTTTGAAGTCTCTGCTAGAAAAGGAAACATCTTCATGTAAAAAGTAGATAGAATCGTTCTCAGAAAGTGCTTAGTGACGTGTGCGTTCAACTCACAGAGTTTAACGTTTCTTTTGATAGAGCGTTTCTGAAACACCCTTCTTGTAGTAGCTGCAAGTGGATATTTGGACCTATTTGAGGCCTTCTTTGGAAACGGGATTTCTTCATGTAACTCTAGATTGAAGAATTTTCAGAAACTCCTATGTGATGTGTGCATTCAATTCAAAGAGTGAAACCTCCCTTTTCACAGAGCAGTTTTGAAACACTGTTTTTGTAGGATTTCCAAGGGGATATTTATAGCGCATTGAGCCTATGGCAGAAAAAGAAACATCTTCCTATAAAAACTAGACAGAATAATTCTCAGAATCTGCTTTGCGATGTGTGCGTTCAACTCACAGAGTAAAACTTTTCTTTTGATAGAGCAGTTTTGAAACACTCTTTTTGTAGTATTTGCATGTGTATATTTAGAGCGCATTGAAGCCCACAGTAGAAAAGGAAATAACTTCACCTAAAACCTAGACAGAAGCAATCTCAGAAACTACTTTGTGATGTGTACATTCAACTCACAGAGTGGAACTTTCCTCTTTATAGAGCAGTGTTGAAACACTCTTTTTGTAGAAACTGCAAGTGGATATTTGGACCTCTTTGAGGCCTTCGTTGGAAACGGGATTTCTTCCTATAACCCTAGACAGAAGAATTTTCAGAAACCTCATTGTGATGTGTGCGTTCATCTCACAGAGTGGAGTCTTCCGTTTGATAGAGAAGTTTTGAAACCCTGTTCTTGTAGGATTTCCAAGTGGATATTTAGACCACTTTGAAGCCTATGATAGAAAAGGAAACATCTTCATGGAAAACATAGATAGAATCATTCTCAGAAACAACTTTGTGATGTGTGCGTTGAACTCACCGTCTTTAACCTTTCTTTTGGTAGAGAAGTTTTGAAACACTCTCTTTGTAAAGTCTACAAGTGGATATTTTGAGCCCTTGGAGGCATTCTTTGGAAAAGGGAATGTCTTCACATAAAAGGCAGACAGAAGTGTTCTCAGAAACTGCTTTGTGATGTCTGTGTTCAACTCACAGAGTTTAACATTTCCTTTGAGAGAGCGGTTTAGTAACACTCTCTTTGTAGAATTTGGAAGTGTATACTAAGAGCGCTTTGAGGCCTATGGTAGAAAAGGAAATATCTTTCCATAAAAGCTAGACAGAAGCAATCTCAGAAACTCCTTTGTGATGTCTGCATTCAACTCACCGAGTGGAACATTCCTCTTGATAGAGCAGTTTGGAAACACTCTTTCTGTAGAATCAGCTTGTTTGTATTTGGACCTCCTTGAGGCCTTCGTTGGAAACGGGTTTTCATCTTATAAACCCAGACAGAAGAATTCTCAGAGTCTTCTTTGTGATGTGTGCTTTCAACTCACCGAGATAAAGATTTCTCTTGATAGAGCAATTTGGAAACACTCTTTTTGTAGAATTTGCAAGGGTACATTGAGAGCGCTTTCAGGCCTATGGTAGAAAAGGGAATATCTTTCCATAAAAGGTAGACAGAAGCAATCTCAGAAACTACTTTGTGATGTGTGCATTCAACTCACCGAGTGCAACATTCCTCTTGATAGAGCAGTTTGGAAACATTGTTTCTGTAGAATCTGCAAGTGGATATTTGGACCTCTTTGAGGCCTTCGTTGGAAACGGGATTTCTTCCTATAAACCCAGACAGAAGAATTCTCAGAGACTTCTTTGTGATGTGTGAATTCAACTCACAGTGTGGATCCTTCCTTTTGATAGAGCAGTTTTGAAACACCGTTTTTGTAGTATTTCCAAGCGGATATTTGGAACGCCTTGAAGCGTATGGTAGAAAAGGAAATATCTTCCCATAAAACCTAGACAGAACCAATCTCAGAAACGACTTTGTGATGTCTGCATTCAACTCACAGAGTTGAACATTTCTCTTGATAGAGCAGCTTTGAAACCCTCTTTCTGAAGGATCTGCAAGTGGATATTTGGAACTCCTTTGGGTCTTCGTTGGAAACGGGATTTCTTCGTATAAATCCAGACAGAAGAATTCTCCGAAACTTCTTTGGTTGTGTGCATTCAAGTCACAGAGTGGAACCTTCCTTTGGATAGAGCAGTTTGAAACGCTGTGGTTGTAGTATTTCCAAGCGGATATTAGAGCGCCTTGAAGCCTATGGTAGAAAAGGAAATATCTTCCCATAAAACCTAGACGGAAGCAATCTCAGAAACTACTGTGTGATGGCTGCATTCCACACACACGGTGGAACATTTCTCTTGATAGAGCAGTTTTGAAACACTCTTTCTGTAGAATCTGCAAGTGGATAATTGGACCGCCTTGAGGCCTTCGTTGGAAACGGGATTTCTTCATGTTACTCTAGACAGAAGAATTCTCAAACACTGCTATGTGATGTTTGCATTCAAGTCACAGAGTGCAACATTCCTCTTGATAGAGCAGTTGGGAAACACTCCTTTTGTAGAATTTGCAATGGGATATTTGGACTTCTTTGAGGCCTTCGTTGGAAACGGGATTTCTTCGTATGAATCTAGACAGAAGAATTCTCAGAAACTTCCTTGTGATGTGTGCATTCAACTCAGCGAGTGGCACCTTCCTTTGGATACAGCAGTTTTGAAACACTGTTTTTGTAGTATTTCCAAGCGGATATTTAGAGCGCCTTGAAGCCTATGCTAGAAATGGAAATATCTCCCCATAAAACCAAGACAGAAGCAATCTCAGAAACTAATGTGTGATGGCTGCATTCCACACACACGGTGGACCATTTCTCTTGATAGAGCAGTTTTGAAACACTCTTTCTGTAGAATCTGCAAGTGGATAATTGGACCTCCTAGAGGCCTTCGTTGGAAACGGGATTTCTTCATCTAAACCTACAGAGAAGAATTCTCAGTAACTTCTTCGGATGTGTGCATTCGACTCACAGAATGGAACATTCCCTTTGATAGAGCAGTTTTGAGACACCGTTTTTGTAGAATTCCCAAGTGGATATTTAGAGCACTTTGAAGTCTCTGCTAGAAAAGGAAACATCTTCATGTAAAAAGTAGATAGAATCGTTCTCAGAAAGTGCTTAGTGACGTGTGCGTTCAACTCACAGAGTTTAACGTTTCTTTTGATAGAGCGTTTCTGAAACACCCTTCTTGTAGTAGCTGCAAGTGGATATTTGGACCTATTTGAGGCCTTCTTTGGAAACGGGATTTCTTCATGTAACTCTAGATTGAAGAATTTTCAGAAACTCCTTTGTGAAGTGTGCATTCAATTCAAAGAGTGAAACCTCCCTTTTCACAGAGCAGTTTTGAAACACTGTTTTTGTAGGATTTCCAAGGGGATATTTATAGCGCATTGATCCTATGGCAGAAAAAGAAACATCTTCCTATAAAAACTAGACAGAATAATTCTCAGAATCTGCTTTGCGATGTGTGCGTTCAACTCACAGAGTAAAACTTTTCTTTTGATAGAGCAGTTTTGAAACACTCTTTTTGTAGTATTTGCATGTGTATATTTAGAGCGCATTGAAGCACACAGTAGAAAAGGAAATAACTTCACCTAAAACCTAGACAGAAGCAATCTCAGAAACTATTTTGTGATGTGTACATTCAACTCACAGAGTGGAACTTTCCTCTTTATAGAGCAGTGTTGAAACACTCTTTGTAGAAACTGCAAGTGGATATTTGGACCTCTTTGAGGCCTTCGTTGGAAACGGGATTTCTTCCTATAACCCTAGACAGAAGAATTTTCAGAAACCTCATTGTGATGTGTGCGTTCATCTCACAGAGTGGAGTCTTCCGTTTGATAGAGAAGTTTTGAAACCCTGTTCTTGTAGGATTTCCAAGTGGATATTTAGACCACTTTGAAGCCTATGATAGAAAAGGAAACATCTTCATGGAAAACATAGATAGAATCATTCTCAGAAACAACTTTGTGATGTGTGCGTTGAACTCACCGTCTTTAACCTTTCTTTTGGTAGAGAAGTTTTGAAACACTCTCTTTGTAAAGTCTACAAGTGGATATTTTGAGCCCTTGGAGGCATTCTTTGGAAAAGGGGATGTCTTCACATAAAAGGCAGACAGAAGTGTTCTCAGAAACTGCTTTGTGATGTCTGTGTTCAACTCACAGAGTTTAACATTTCCTTTGAGAGAGCGGTTTAGTAACACTCTCTTTGTAGAATTTGGAAGTGTATACTAAGAGCGCTTTGAGGCCTATGGTAGAAAAGGAAATATCTTTCCATAAAAGCTAGACAGAAGCAATCTCAGAAACTCCTTTGTGATGTCTGCATTCAACTCACCGAGTGGAACATTCCTCTTGATAGAGCAGTTTGGAAACACTCTTTCTGTAGAATCAGCTTGTTTGTATTTGGACCTCCTTGAGGCCTTCGTTGGAAACGGGTTTTCATCTTATAAACCCAGACAGAAGAATTCTCAGAGTCTTCTTTGTGATGTGTGCTTTCAACTCACCGAGATAAAGATTTCTCTTGATAGAGCAATTTGGAAACACTCTTTTTGTAGAATTTGCAAGGGTACATTGAGAGCGCTTTCAGGCCTATGGTAGAAAAGGGAATATCTTTCCATAAAAGGTAGACAGAAGCAATCTCAGAAACTACTTTGTGATGTGTGCATTCAACTCACCGAGTGCAACATTCCTCTTGATAGAGCAGTTTGGAAACATTGTTTCTGTAGAATCTGCAAGTGGATATATGGACCGCTTTGAGGCCTTCGTTGGAAACGGGATTTCTTCCTATAAACCCAGACAGAAGAATTCTCAGAGATTTCTTTGTGATGTGTGAATTCAACTCACAGTGTGGATCCTTCCTTTTGATAGAGCAGTTTTGAAACACTGTTTTTGTAGTATTTCCAAGCGGATATTTGGAACGCCTTGAAGCGTATGGTAGAAAAGGAAATATCTTCCCATAAAACCTAGACAGAACCCATCTCAGAAACGACTTTGTGATGTCTGCATTCAACTCACAGAGTTGAACATTTCTCTTGATAGAGCAGTTTTGAAACCCTCTTTCTGAAGGATCTGCAAGTGGATATTTGGAACTCCTTTGGGTCTTCGTTGGAAACGGGATTTCTTCGTATAAATCCAGACAGAAGAATTCTCCGAAACTTCTTTGGTTGTGTGCATTCAAGTCACAGAGTGGAACCTTCCTTTGGATAGAGCAGTTTGAAACGCTGTGGTTGTAGTATTTCCAAGCGGATATTAGAGCGCCTTGAAGCCTATGGTAGAAAAGGAAATATCTTCCCATAAAACCTAGACGGAAGCAATCTCAGAAACTACTGTGTGATGGCTGCATTCCACACACACGGTGGAACATTTCTCTTGATAGAGCAGTTTTGAAACACTCTTTCTGTAGAATCTGCAAGTGGATAATTGGACCGCCTTGAGGCCTTCGTTGGAAACGGGATTTCTTCATGTTACTCTAGACAGAAGAATTCTCAAACACTGCTATGTGATGTTTGCATTCAAGTCACAGAGTGCAACATTCCTCTTGATAGAGCAGTTGGGAAACACTCCTTTTGTAGAATTTGCAATGGGATATTTGGACTTCTTTGAGGCCTTCGTTGGAAACGGGATTTCTTCGTATGAATCTAGACAGAAGAATTCTCAGAAACTTCCTTGTGATGTGTGCATTCAACTCAGCGAGTGGCACCTTCCTTTGGATACAGCAGTTTTGAAACACTGTTTTTGTAGTATTTCCAAGCGGATATTTAGAGCGCCTTGAAGCCTATGCTAGAAATGGAAATATCTCCCCATAAAACCAAGACAGAAGCAATCTCAGAAACTAATGTGTGATGGCTGCATTCCACACACACGGTGGACCATTTCTCTTGATAGAGCAGTTTTGAAACACTCTTTCTGTAGAATCTGCAAGTGGATAATTGGACCTCCTAGAGGCCTTCGTTGGAAATGGGATTTCTTCATCTAAACCTACAGAGAAGAATTCTCAGTAACTTCTTCGGATGTGTGCATTCGACTCACAGAATGGAACATTCCGTTTGATAGAGCAGTTTTGAGACACCGTTTTTGTAGAATTCCCAAGTGGATATTTAGAGCACTTTGAAGTCTGCTGCTAGAAAAGGAAACATCTTCATGTAAAAAGTAGATAGAATCGTTCTCAGAAAGTGCTTAGTGACGTGTGTGTTCAACTCACAGAGTTTAACGTTTCTTTTGATAGAGCGTTTCTGAAACACCCTTCTTGTAGTAGCTGCAAGTGGATATTTGGACCTATTTGAGGCCTTCTTTGGAAACGGGATTTCTTCATGTAACTCTAGTTTGAAGAATTTTCAGAAACTCCTTTGTAATGTGTGCATTCAATTCAAAGAGTGAAACCTCCCTTTTCACAGAGCAGTTTTGAAACACTGTTTTTGTAGGATTTCCAAGGGGATATTTATAGCGCATTGAGCCTACGGCAGAAAAAGAAACATCTTCCTATAAAAACTAGACAGAATAATTCTCAGAATCTGCTTTGCGATGTGTGCGTTCAACCCACAGAGTAAAACTTTTCTTTTGATAGAGCAGTTTTGAAACACTCTTTCTGTAGTATTTCCATGTGTATATTTAGAGCGCATTGAAGCCCACAGTAGAAAAGGAAATAACTTCACCTAAAACCTAGACAGAAGCAATCTCAGAAACTACTTTGTGATGTGTACATTCAACTCACAGAGTGGAACTTTCCTCTTTATAGAGCAGTGTTGAAACACTCTTTTTGTAGAAACTGCAAGTGGATATTTGGACCTCTTTGAGGCCTTCGTTGGAAACGGGATTTCTTCCTATAACCCTAGACAGAAGAATTTTCAGAAACCTCATTGTGATGTGTGCGTTCATCTCACAGAGTGGAGTCTTCCGTTTGATAGAGAAGTTTTGAAACCCTGTTCTTGTAGGATTTCCAAGTGGATATTTAGACCACTTTGAAGCCTATGATAGAAAAGGAAACATCTTCATGGAAAACATAGATAGAATCATTCTCAGAAACAACTTTGTGATGTGTGCGTTGAACTCACCGTCTTTAACCTTTCTTTTGGTAGAGAAGTTTTGAAACACTCTCTTTGTAAAGTCTACAAGTGGATATTTTGAGCCCTTGGAGGCATTCTTTGGAAAAGGGAATGTCTTCACATAAAAGGCAGACAGAAGTGTTCTCAGAAACTGCTTTGTGATGTCTGTGTTCAACTCACAGAGTTTAACATTTCCTTTGAGAGAGCGGTTTAGTAACACTCTCTTTGTAGAATTTGGAAGTGTATACTAAGAGCGCTTTGAGGCCTATGGTAGAAAAGGAAATATCTTTCCATAAAAGCTAGACAGAAGCAATCTCAGAAACTCCTTTGTGATGTCTGCATTCAACTCACCGAGTGGAACATTCCTCTTGATAGAGCAGTTTGGAAACACTCTTTCTGTAGAATCAGCTTGTTTGTATTTGGACCTCCTTGAGGCCTTCGTTGGAAACGGGTTTTCATCTTATAAACCCAGACAGAAGAATTCTCAGAGTCTTCTTTGTGATGTGTGCTTTCAACTCACCGAGTATAAAGATTTCTCTTGATAGAGCAATTTGGAAACACTCTTTTTGTAGAATTTGCAAGGGTACATTGAGAGCGCTTTCAGGCCTATGGTAGAAAAGGGAATATCTTTCCATAAAAGGTAGACAGAAGCAATCTCAGAAACTACTTTGTGATGTGTGCATTCAACTCACCGAGTGCAACATTCCTCTTGATAGAGCAGTTTGGAAACATTGTTTCTGTAGAATCTGCAAGTGGATATATGGACCGCTTTGAGGCCTTCGTTGGAAACGGGATTTCTTCCTATAAACCCAGACAGAAGAATTCTCAGAGACTTCTTTGTGATGTGTGAATTCAACTCACAGTGTGGATCCTTCCTTTTGATAGAGCAGTTTTGAAACACTGTTTTTGTAGTATTTCCAAGCGGATATTTGGAACGCCTTGAAGCGTATGGTAGAAAAGGAAATATCTTCCCATAAAACCTAGACAGAACCCATCTCAGAAACGACTTTGTGATGTCTGCATTCAACTCACAGAGTTGAACATTTCTCTTGATAGAGCAGTTTTGAAACCCTCTTTCTGAAGGATCTGCAAGTGGATATTTGGAACTCCTTTGGGTCTTCGTTGGAAACGGGATTTCTTCGTATAAATCCAGACAGAAGAATTCTCCGAAACTTCTTTGGTTGTGTGCATTCAAGTCACAGAGTGGAACCTTCCTTTGGATAGAGCAGTTTGAAACGCTGTGGTTGTAGTATTTCCAAGCGGATATTAGAGCGCCTTGAGGCCTATGGTAGAAAAGGAAATATCTTCCCATAAAACCTAGACGGAAGCAATCTCAGAAACTACTGTGTGATGGCTGCATTCCACACACACGGTGGAACATTTCTCTTGATAGAGTAGTTTTGAAACACTCTTTCTGTAGAATCTGCAAGTGGATAATTGGACCGCCTTGAGGCCTTCGTTGGAAACGGGATTTCTTCATGTTACTCTAGACAGAAGAATTCTCAAACACTGCTATGTGATGTTTGCATTCAAGTCACAGAGTGCAACATTCCTCTTGATAGAGCAGTTGGGAAACACTCCTTTTGTAGAATTTGCAATGGGATATTTGGACTTCTTTGAGGCCTTCGTTGGAAACGGGATTTCTTCGTATGAATCTAGACAGAAGAATTCTCAGAAACTTCCTTGTGATGTGTGCATTCAACTCAGCGAGTGGCACCTTCCTTTGGATACAGCAGTTTTGAAACACTGTTTTTGTACTATTTCCAAGCGGATATTTAGAGCGCCTTGAAGCCTATGCTAGAAATGGAAATATCTCCCCATAAAACCAAGACAGAAGCAATCTCAGAAACTAATGTGTGATGGCTGCATTCCACACACACGGTGGACCATTTCTCTTGATAGAGCACTTTTGAAACACTCTTTCTGTAGAATCTGCAAGTGGATAATTGGACCTCCTAGAGGCCTTCGTTGGAAACGGGATTTCTTCATCTAAACCTACAGAGAAGAATTCTCAGTAACTTCTTCGGATGTGTGCATTCGACTCACAGAATGGAACATTCCCTTTGATAGAGCAGTTTTGAGACACCGTTTTTGTAGAATTCCCAAGTGGATATTTAGAGCACTTTGAAGTCTCTGCTAGAAAAGGAAACATCTTCATGTAAAAAGTAGATAGAATCGTTCTCAGAAAGTGCTTAGTGACGTGTGCGTTCAACTCACAGAGTTTAACGTTTCTTTTGATAGAGCGTTTCTGAAACACCCTTCTTGTAGTAGCTGCAAGTGGATATTTGGACCTATTTGAGGCCTTCTTTGGAAACGGGATTTCTTCATGTAACTCTAGATTGAAGAATTTTCAGAAACTCCTTTGTGATGTGTGCATTCAATTCAAAGAGTGAAACCTCCCTTTTCACAGAGCAGTTTTGAAACACTGTTTTTGTAGGACTTCCAAGGGGATATTTATAGCGCATTGATCCTATAGCAGAAAAAGAAACATCTTCCTATAAAAACTAGACAGAATAATTCTCAGAATCTGCTTTGCGATGTGTGCGTTCAACCCACAGAGTAAAACTTTTCTTTTGATAGAGCAGTTTTGAAACACTCTTTTTGTAGTATTTGCATGTGTATATTTAGAGCGCATTGAAGCCCACAGTAGAAAAGGAAATAACTTCACCTAAAACCTAGACAGAAGCAATCTCAGAAACTACTTTGTGATGTGTACATTCAACTCACAGAGTGGAACTTTCCTCTTTATAGAGCAGTGTTGAAACACTCTTTTTGTAGAAACTGCAAGTGGATATTTGGACCTCTATGAGGCCTTCGTTGGAAACGGGATTTCTTCCTATAACCCTAGACAGAAGAATTTTCAGAAACCTCATTGTGATGTGTGCGTTCATCTCACAGGGTGGAGTCTTCCTTTTGATAGAGAAGCTTTGAAACCCTGTTCTTGTAGGATTTCCAAGTGGATATTTAGACCACTTTGAAGCCTATGATAGAAAAGGAAACATCTTCATGGAAAACATAGATAGAATCATTCTCAGAAACAACTTTGTGATGTGTGCGTTGAACTCACCGTCTTTAACCTTTCTTTTGGTAGAGAAGTTTTGAAACACTCTAAGTCTACAAGTGGATATTTTGAGCCCTTGGAGGCATTCTTTGGAAAAGGGAATGTCTTCACATAAAAGGCAGACAGAAGTGTTCTCAGAAACTGCTTTGTGATGTCTGTGTTCAACTCACAGAGTTTAACATTTCCTTTGAGAGAGCGGTTTAGTAACACTCTCTTTGTAGAATTTGGAAGTGTATACTAAGAGCGCTTTGAGGCCTATGGTAGAAAAGGAAATATCTTTCCATAAAAGCTAGACAGAAGCAATCTCAGAAACTCCTTTGTGATGTCTGCATTCAACTCACCGAGTGGAACATTCCTCTTGATAGAGCAGTTTGGAAACACTCTTTCTGTAGAATCAGCTTGTTTGTATTTGGACCTCCTTGAGGCCTTCGTTGGAAACGGGTTTTCATCTTATAAACCCAGACAGAAGAATTCTCAGAGTCTTCTTTGTGATGTGTGCTTTCAACTCACCGAGATAAAGATTTCTCTTGATAGAGCAATTTGGAAACACTCTTTTTGTAGAATTTGCAAGGGTACATTGAGAGCGCTTTCAGGCCTATGGTAGAAAAGGGAATATCTTTCCATAAAAGGTAGACAGAAGCAATCTCAGAAACTACTTTGTGATGTGTGCATTCAACTCACCGAGTGCAACATTCCTCTTGACCGAGCAGTTTGGAAACATTGTTTCTGTAGAATCTGCAAGTGGATATATGGACCGCTTTAAGGCCTTCGTTGGAAACGGGATTTCTTCCTATAAACCCAGACAGAAGAATTCTCAGAGATTTCTTTGTGATGTGTGAATTCAACTCACAGTGTGGATCCTTCCTTTTGATAGAGCAGTTTTGAAACACTGTTTTTGTAGTATTTCCAAGCGGATATTTGGAACGCCTTGAAGCGTAAGGTAGAAAAGGAAATATCTTCCCATAAAACCTAGACAGAACCCATCTCAGAAACGACTTTGTGATGTCTGCATTCAACTCACAGAGTTGAACATTTCTCTTGATAGAGCAGTTTTGAAACCCTCTTTCTGAAGGAGCTGCAAGTGGATATTTGGAACTCCTTTGGGTCTTCGTTGGAAACGGGATTTCTTCGTATAAATCCAGACAGAAGAATTCTCCGAAACTTCTTTGGTTGTGTGCATTCAAGTCACAGAGTGGAACCTTCCTTTGGATAGAGCAGTTTGAAACGCTGTGGTTGTAGTATTTCCAAGCGGATATTAGAGCGCCTTGAAGCCTATGGTAGAAAAGGAAATATCTTCCCATAAAACCTAGACGGAAGCAATCTCAGAAACTACTGTGTGATGGCTGCATTCCACACACACGGTGGAACATTTCTCTTGATAGAGCAGTTTTGAAACACTCTTTCTGTAGAATCTGCAAGTGGATAATTGGACCGCCTTGAGGCCTTCGTTGGAAACGGGATTTCTTCATGTTACTCTAGACAGAAGAATTCTCAAACACTGCTATGTGATGTTTGCATTCAAGTCACAGAGTGCAACATTCCTCTTGATAGAGCAGTTGGGAAACACTCCTTTTGTAGAATTTGCAATGGGATATTTGGACTTCTTTGAGGCCTTCGTTGGAAACGGGATTTCTTCGTATGAATCTAGACAGAAGAATTCTCAGAAACTTCCTTGTGATGTGTGCATTCAACTCAGCGAGTGGCACCTTCCTTTGGATACAGCAGTTTTGAAACACTGTTTTTGTAGTATTTCCAAGCGGATATTTAGAGCGCCTTGAAGCCTATGCTAGAAATGGAAATATCTCCCCATAAAACCAAGACAGAAGCAATCTCAGAAACTAATGTGTGATGGCTGCATTCCACACACACGGTGGACCATTTCTCTTGATAGAGCAGTTTTGAAACACTCTTTCTGTAGAATCTGCAAGTGGATAATTGGACCTCCTAGAGGCCTTCGTTGGAAACGGGATTTCTTCACCTAAACCTACAGAGAAGAATTCTCAGTAACTTCTTCGGATGTGTGCATTCGACTCACAGAATGGAACATTCCGTTTGATAGAGCAGTTTTGAGACACCGTTTTTGTAGAATTCCCAAGTGGATATTTAGAGCACTTTGAAGTCTCTGCTAGAAAAGGAAACATCTTCATGTAAAAAGTAGATAGAATCGTTCTCAGAAAGTGCTTAGTGACGTGTGTGTTCAACTCACAGAGTTTAACGTTTCTTTTGATAGAGCGTTTCTGAAACACCCTGCTTGTAGTAGCTGCAAGTGGATATTTGGACCTATTTGAGGCCTTCTTTGGAAACGGGATTTCTTCATGTAACTCTAGTTTGAAGAATTTTCAGAAACTCCTTTGTGATGTGTGCATTCAATTCAAAGAGTGAAACCTCCCTTTTCACAGAGCAGTTTTGAAACACTGTTTTTGTAGGATTTCCAAGGGGATATTTATAGCGCATTGAGCCTATGGCAGAAAAAGAAACATCTTCCTATAAAAACTAGACAGAATAATTCTCAGAATCTGCTTTGCGATGTGTGCGTTCAACTCACAGAGTAAAACTTTTCTTTTGATAGAGCAGTTTTGAAACACTCTTTTTGTAGTATTTGCATGTGTATATTTAGAGCGCATTGAAGCCCACAGTAGAAAAGGAAATAACTTCACCTAAAACCTAGACAGAAGCAATCTCAGAAACTACTTTGTGATGTGTACATTCAACTCACAGAGTGGAACTTTTCTCTTTATAGAGCAGTGTTGAAACACTCTTTTTGTAGAAACTGCAAGTGGATATTTGGACCTCTTTGAGGCCTTCGTTGGAAACGGGATTTCTTCCTATAACCCTAGACAGAAGAATTTTCAGAAACCTCATTGTGATGTGTGCGTTCATCTCACAGAGTGGAGTCTTCCGTTTGATAGAGAAGTTTTGAAACCCTGTTCTTGTAGGATTTCCAAGTGGATATTTAGACCACTTTGAAGCCTATGATAGAAAAGGAAACATCTTCATGGAAAACATAGATAGAATCATTCTCAGAAACAACTTTGTGATGTGTGCGTTGAACTCACCGTCTTTAACCTTTCTTTTGGTAGAGAAGTTTTGAAACACTCTCTTTGTAAAGTCTACAAGTGGATATTTTGAGCCCTTGGAGGCATTCTTTGGAAAAGGGAATGTCTTCACATAAAAGGCAGACAGAAGTGTTCTCAGAAACTGCTTTGTGATGTCTGTGTTCAACTCACAGAGTTTAACATTTCCTTTGAGAGAGCGGTTTAGTAACACTCTCTTTGTAGAATTTGGAAGTGTATACTAAGAGCGCTTTGAGGCCTATGGTAGAAAAGGAAATATCTTTCCATAAAAGCTAGACAGAAGCAATCTCAGAAACTCCTTTGTGATGTCTGCATTCAACTCACCGAGTGGAACATTCCTCTTGATAGAGCAGTTTGGAAACACTCTTTCTGTAGAATCAGCTTGTTTGTATTTGGACCTCCTTGAGGCCTTCGTTGGAAACGGGTTTTCATCTTATAAACCCAGACAGAAGAATTCTCAGAGTCTTCTTTGTGATGTGTGCTTTCAACTCACCGAGATAAAGATTTCTCTTGATAGAGCAATTTGGAAACACTCTTTTTGTAGAATTTGCAAGGGTACATTGAGAGCGCTTTCAGGCCTATGGTAGAAAAGGGAATATCTTTCCATAAAAGGTAGACAGAAGCAATCTCAGAAACTACTTTGTGATGTGTGCATTCAACTCACCGAGTGCAACATTCCTCTTGACCGAGCAGTTTGGAAACATTGTTTCTGTAGAATCTGCAAGTGGATATTTGGACCTCTTTGAGGCCTTCGTTGGAAACGGGATTTCTTCCTATAAACCCAGACAGAAGAATTCTCAGAGACTTCTTTGTGATGTGTGAATTCAACTCACAGTGTGGATCCTTCCTTTTGATAGAGCAGTTTTGAAACACTGTTTTTGTAGTATTTCCAAGCGGATATTTGGAACGCCTTGAAGCGTATGGTAGAAAAGGAAATATCTTCCCATAAAACCTAGACAGAACCAGTCTCAGAAACGACTTTGTGATGTCTGCATTCAACTCACAGAGTTGAACATTTCTCTTGATAGAGCAGTTTTGAAACCCTCTTTCTGAAGGATCTGCAAGTGGATATTTGGAACTCCTTTGGGTCTTCGTTGGAAACGGGATTTCTTCGTATAAATCCAGACAGAAGAATTCTCCGAAACTTCTTTGGTTGTGTGCATTCAAGTCACAGAGTGGAACCTTCCTTTGGATAGAGCAGTTTGAAACGCTGTGGTTGTAGTATTTCCAAGCGGATATTAGAGCGCCTTGAGGCCTATGGTAGAAAAGGAAATATCTTCCCATAAAACCTAGACGGAAGCAATCTCAGAAACTACTGTGTGATGGCTGCATTCCACACACACGGTGGAACATTTCTCTTGATAGAGCAGTTTTGAAACACTCTTTCTGTAGAATCTGCAAGTGGATAATTGGACCGCCTTGAGGCCTTCGTTGGAAACGGGATTTCTTCATGTTACTCTAGACAGAAGAATTCTCAAACACTGCTGTGTGATGTTTGCATGCAAGTCACAGAGTGCAACATTCCTCTTGATAGAGCAGTTGGGAAACACTCCTTTTGTAGAATTTGCAATGGGATATTTGGACTTCTTTGAGGCCTTCGTTGGAAACGGGATTTCTTCGTATGAATCTAGACAGAAGAATTCTCAGAAACTTCCTTGTGATGTGTGCATTCAACTCAGCGAGTGGCACCTTCCTTTGGATACAGCAGTTTTGAAACACTGTTTTTGTAGTATTTCCAAGCGGATATTTAGAGCGCCTTGAAGCCTATGCTAGAAATGGAAATATCTCCCCATAAAACCAAGACAGAAGCAATCTCAGAAACTAATGTGTGATGGCTGCATTCCACACACACGGTGGACCATTTCTCTTGATAGAGCAGTTTTGAAACACTCTTTCTGTAGAATCTGCAAGTGGATAATTGGACCTCCTAGAGGCCTTCGTTGGAAACGGGATTTCTTCATCTAAACCTACAGAGAAGAATTCTCAGTAACTTCTTCGGATGTGTGCATTCGACTCACAGAATGGAACATTCCGTTTGATAGAGCAGTTTTGAGACACCGTTTTTGTAGAATTCCCAAGTGGATATTTAGAGCACTTTGAAGTCTCTGCTAGAAAAGGAAACATCTTCATGTAAAAAGTAGATAGAATCGTTCTCAGAAAGTGCTTAGTGACGTGTGTGTTCAACTCACAGAGTTTAACGTTTCTTTTGATAGAGCGTTTCTGAAACACCCTGCTTGCAGTAGCTGCAAGTGGATATTTGGACCTATTTGAGGCCTTCTTTGGAAACGGGATTTCTTCATGTAACTCTAGATTGAAGAATTTTCAGAAACTCCTTTGTGATGTGTGCATTCAATTCAAAGAGTGAAACCTCCCTTTTCACAGAGCAGTTTTGAAACACTGTTTTTGTAGGATTTCCAAGGGGATATTTATAGCGCATTGATCCTACGGCAGAAAAAGAAACATCTTCCTATAAAAACTAGACAGAATAATTCTCAGAATCTGCTTTGCGATGTGTGCGTTCAACCCACAGAGTAAAACTTTTCTTTTGATAGAGCAGTTTTGAAACACTCTTTTTGTAGTATTTGCATGTGTATATTTAGAGCGCATTGAAGCCCACAGTAGAAAAGGAAATAACTTCACCTAAAACCTAGACAGAAAGCAATCTCAGAAACTACTTTGTGATGTGTACATTCAACTCACAGAGTGGAACTTTTCTCTTTATAGAGCAGTGTTGAAACACTCTTTTTGTAGAAACTGCAAGTGGATATTTGGACCTCTTTGAGGCCTTCGTTGGAAACGGGATTTCTTCCTATAACCCTAGACAGAAGAATTTTCAGAAACCTCATTGTGATGTGTGCGTTCATCTCACAGAGTGGAGTCTTCCGTTTGATAGAGAAGTTTTGAAACCCTGTTCTTGTAGGATTTCCAAGTGGATATTTAGACCACTTTGAAGCCTATGATAGAAAAGGAAACATCTTCATGGAAAACATAGATAGAATCATTCTCAGAAACAACTTTGTGATGTGTGCGTTGAACTCACCGTCTTTAACCTTTCTTTTGGTAGAGAAGTTTTGAAACACTCTCTTTGTAAAGTCTACAAGTGGATATTTTGAGCCCTTGGAGGCATTCTTTGGAAAAGGGAATGTCTTCACATAAAAGGCAGACAGAAGTGTTCTCAGAAACTGCTTTGTGATGTCTGTGTTCAACTCACAGAGTTTAACATTTCCTTTGAGAGAGCGGTTTAGTAACACTCTCTTTGTAGAATTTGGAAGTGTATACTAAGAGCGCTTTGAGGCCTATGGTAGAAAAGGAAATATCTTTCCATAAAAGCTAGACAGAAGCAATCCCAGAAACTCCTTTGTGATGTCTGCATTCAACTCACCGAGTGGAACATTCCTCTTGATAGAGCAGTTTGGAAACACTCTTTCTGTAGAATCAGCTTGTTTGTATTTGGACCTCCTTGAGGCCTTCGTTGGAAACGGGTTTTCATCTTATAAACCCAGACAGAAGAATTCTCAGAGTCTTCTTTGTGATGTGTGCTTTCAACTCACCGAGATAAAGATTTCTCTTGATAGAGCAATTTGGAAACACTCTTTTTGTAGAATTTGCAAGGGTACATTGAGAGCGCTTTCAGGCCTATGGTAGAAAAGGGAATATCTTTCCATAAAAGGTAGACAGAAGCAATCTCAGAAACTACTTTGTGATGTGTGCATTCAACTCACCGAGTGCAACATTCCTCTTGACCGAGCAGTTTGGAAACATTGTTTCTGTAGAATCTGCAAGTGGATATATGGACCTCTTTGAGGCCTTCGTTGGAAACGGGATTTCTTCCTATAAACCCAGACAGAAGAATTCTCAGAGATTTCTTTGTGATGTGTGAATTCAACTCACAGTGTGGATCCTTCCTTTTGATAGAGCAGTTTTGAAACACCGTTTTTGTAGTATTTCCAAGCGGATATTTGGAACGCCTTGAAGCGTATGGTAGAAAAGGAAATATCTTCCCATAAAACCTAGACAGAACCAATCTCAGAAACGACTTTTTGATGTCTGCATTCAACTCACAGAGTTGAACATTTCTCTTGATAGAGCAGCTTTGAAACCCTCTTTCTGAAGGATCTGCAAGTGGATATTTGGAACTCCTTTAGGTCTTCGTTGGAAACGGGATTTCTTCGTATAAATCCAGACAGAAGAATTCTCCGAAACTTCTTTGGTTGTGTGCATTCAAGTCACAGAGTGGAACCTTCCTTTGGATAGAGCAGTTTGAAACGCTCTGGTTGTAGTATTTCCAAGCGGATATTAGAGCGCCTTGAAGCCTATGGTAGAAAAGGAAATATCTTCCCATAAAACCTAGACGGAAGCAATCTCAGAAACTACTGTGTGATGGCTGCATTCCACACACACGGTGGAACATTTCTCTTGATAGAGCAGTTTTGAAACACTCTTTCTGTAGAATCTGCAAGTGGATAATTGGACCGCCTTGAGGCCTTCGTTGGAAACGGGATTTCTTCATGTTACTCTAGACAGAAGAATTCTCAAACACTGCTATGTGATGTTTGCATTCAAGTCACAGAGTGCAACATTCCTCTTGATAGAGCAGTTGGGAAACACTCCTTTTGTAGAATTTGCAATGGGATATTTGGACTTCTTTGAGGCCTTCGTTGGAAACGGGATTTCTTCGTATGAATCTAGACAGAAGAATTCTCAGAAACTTCCTTGTGATGTGTGCATTCAACTCAGCGAGTGGCACCTTCCTTTGGATACAGCAGTTTTGAAACACTGTTTTTGTAGTATTTCCAAGTGGATATTTAGAGCGCCTTGAAGCCTATGCTAGAAATGGAAATATCTCCCCATAAAACCAAGACAGAAGCAATCTCAGAAACTAATGTGTGATGGCTGCATTCCACACACACGGTGGACCATTTCTCTTGATAGAGCAGTTTTGAAACACTCTTTCTGTAGAATCTGCAAGTGGATAATTGGACCTCCTAGAGGCCTTCGTTGGAAACGGGATTTCTTCATCTAAACCTACAGAGAAGAATTCTCAGTAACTTCTTCGGGATGTGTGCATTCGACTCACAGAATGGAACATTCCGTTTGATAGAGCAGTTTTGAGACACCGTTTTTGTAGAATTCCCAAGTGGATATTTAGAGCACTTTGAAGTCTCTGCTAGAAAAGGAAACATCTTCATGTAAAAAGTAGATAGAATCGTTCTCAGAAAGTGCTTAGTGACGTGTGCGTTCAACTCACAGAGTTTAACGTTTCTTTTGATAGAGCGTTTCTGAAACACCCTTCTTGTAGTAGCTGCAAGTGGATATTTGGACCTATTTGAGGCCTTCTTTGGAAACGGGATTTCTTCATGTAACTCTAGTTTGAAGAATTTTCAGAAACTCCTTTGTGATGTGTGCATTCAATTCAAAGAGTGAAACCTCCCTTTTCACAGAGCAGTTTTGAAACACTGTTTTTGTAGGATTTCCAAGGGGATATTTATAGCGCATTGAGCCTACGGCAGAAAAAGAAACATCTTCCTATAAAAACTAGACAGAATAATTCTCAGAATCTGCTTTGCGATGTGTGCGTTCAACCCACAGAGTAAAACTTTTCTTTTGATAGAGCAGTTTTCAAACGCTCTTTTTGTAGTATTTGCATGTGTATATTTAGAGCGCATTGAAGCCCACAGTAGAAAAGGAAATAACTTCACCTAAAACCTAGACAGAAGCAATCTCAGAAACTACTTTGTGATGTGTACATTCAACTCACAGAGTGGAACTTTCCTCTTTATAGAGCAGTGTTGAAACACTCTTTTTGTAGAAACTGCAAGTGGATATTTGGACCTCTTTGAGGCCTTCGTTGGAAACGGGATTTCTTCCTATAACCCTAGACAGAAGAATTTTCAGAAACCTCATTGTGATGTGTGCGTTCATCTCACAGAGTGGAGTCTTCCGTTTGATAGAGAAGTTTTGAAACCCTGTTCTTGTAGGATTTCCAAGTGGATATTTAGACCACTTTGAAGCCTATGATAGAAAAGGAAACATCTTCATGGAAAACATAGATAGAATCATTCTCAGAAACAACTTTGTGATGTGTGCGTTGAACTCACCGTCTTTAACCTTTCTTTTGGTAGAGAAGTTTTGAAACACTCTCTTTGTAAAGTCTACAAGTGGATATTTTGAGCCCTTGGAGGCATTCTTTGGAAAAGGGAATGTCTTCACATAAAAGGCAGACAGAAGTGTTCTCAGAAACTGCTTTGTGATGTCTGTGTTCAACTCACAGAGTTTAACATTTCCTTTGAGAGAGCGGTTTAGTAACACTCTCTTTGTAGAATTTGGAAGTGTATACTAAGAGCGCTTTGAGGCCTATGGTAGAAAAGGAAATATCTTTCCATAAAAGCTAGACAGAAGCAATCTCAGAAACTCCTTTGTGATGTCTGCATTCAACTCACCGAGTGGAACATTCCTCTTGATAGAGCAGTTTGGAAACACTCTTTCTGTAGAATCAGCTTGTTTGTATTTGGACCTCCTTGAGGCCTTCGTTGGAAACGGGTTTTCATCTTATAAACCCAGACAGAAGAATTCTCAGAGTCTTCTTTGTGATGTGTGCTTTCAACTCACCGAGATAAAGATTTCTCTTGATAGAGCAATTTGGAAACACTCTTTTTGTAGAATTTGCAAGGGTACATTGAGAGCGCTTTCAGGCCTATGGTAGAAAAGGGAATATCTTTCCATAAAAGGTAGACAGAAGCAATCTCAGAAACTACTTTGTGATGTGTGCATTCAACTCACCGAGTGCAACATTCCTCTTGATAGAGCAGTTTGGAAACATTGTTTCTGTAGAATCTGCAAGTGGATATATGGACCGCTTTGAGGCCTTCGTTGGAAACGGGATTTCTTCCTATAAACCCAGACAGAAGAATTCTCAGAGACTTCTTTGTGATGTGTGAATTCAACTCACAGTGTGGATCCTTCCTTTTGATAGAGCAGTTTTGAAACACTGTTTTTGTAGTATTTCCAAGCGGATATTTGGAACGCCTTGAAGCGTATGGTAGAAAAGGAAATATCTTCCCATAAAACCTAGACAGAACCAATCTCAGAAACGACTTTGTGATGTCTGCATTCAACTCACAGAGTTGAACATTTCTCTTGATAGAGCAGTTTTGAAACCCTCTTTCTGAAGGATCTGCAAGTGGATATTTGGATCTCCTTTGGGTCTTCGTTGGAAACGGGATTTCTTCGTATAAATCGAGACAGAAGAATTCTCCGAAACTTCTTTGGTTGTGTGCATTCAAGTCACAGAGTGGAACCTTCCCTTTGGATAGAGCAGTTTGAAACGCTGTGGTTGTAGTATTTCCAAGCGGATATTAGAGCGCCTTGAGGCCTATGGTAGAAAAGGAAATATCTTCCCATAAAACCTAGACGGAAGCAATCTCAGAAACTACTGTGTGATGGCTGCATTCCACACACACGGTGGAACATTTCTCTTGATAGAGCAGTTTTGAAACACTCTTTCTGTAGAATCTGCAAGTGGATAATTGGACCGCCTTGAGGCCTTCGTTGGAAACGGGATTTCTTCATGTTACTCTAGACAGAAAGAATTCTCAAACACTGCTGTGTGATGTTTGCATGCAAGTCACAGAGTGCAACATTCCTCTTGATAGAGCAGTTGGGAAACACTCCTTTTGTAGAATTTGCAATGGGATATTTGGACTTCTTTGAGGCCTTCGTTGGAAACGGGATTTCTTCGTATGAATCTAGACAGAAGAATTCTCAGAAACTTCCTTGTGATGTGTGCATTCAACTCAGCGAATGGCACCTTTCTTTGGATACAGCAGTTTTGAAACACTGTTTTTGTAGTATTTCCAAGCGGATATTTAGAGCGCCTTGAAGCCTATGCTAGAAATGGAAATATCTCCCCATAAAACCAAGACAGAAGCAATCTCAGAAACTAATGTGTGATGGCTGCATTCCACACACACGGTGGACCATTTCTCTTGATAGAGCAGTTTTGAAACACTCTTTCTGTAGAATCTGCAAGTGGATAATTGGACCTCCTAGAGGCCTTCGTTGGAAACGGGATTTCTTCATCTAAACCTACAGAGAAGAATTCTCAGTAACTTCTTCGGATGTGTGCATTCGACTCACAGAATGGAACATTCCGTTTGATAGAGCAGTTTTGAGACACCGTTTTTGTAGAATTCCCAAGTGGATATTTAGAGCACTTTGAAGTCTCTGCTAGAAAAGGAAACATCTTCATGTAAAAAGTAGATAGAATCGTTCTCAGAAAGTGCTTAGTGACGTGTGTGTTCAACTCACAGAGTTTAACGTTTCTTTTGATAGAGCGTTTCTGAAACACCCTGCTTGTAGTAGCTGCAAGTGGATATTTGGACCTATTTGAGGCCTTCTTTGGAAACGGGATTTCTTCATGTAACTCTAGTTTGAAGAATTTTCAGAAACTCCTTTGTGATGTGTGCATTCAATTCAAAGAGTGAAACCTCCCTTTTCACAGAGCAGTTTTGAAACACTGTTTTTGTAGGATTTCCAAGGGGATATTTATAGCGCATTGAGCCTACGGCAGAAAAAGAAATATCTTCCTATAAAAACTAGACAGAATAATTCTCAGAATCTGCTTTGCGATGTGTGCGTTCAACCCACAGAGTAAAACTTTTCTTTTGATAGAGCAGTTTTGAAACACTCTTTTTGTAGTATTTGCATGTGTATATTTAGAGCGCATTGAAGCCCACAGTAGAAAAGGAAATAACTTCACCTAAAACCTAGACAGAAGCAATCTCAGAAACTACTTTGTGATGTGTACATTCAACTCACAGAGTGGAACTTTCCTCTTTATAGAGCAGTGTTGAAACACTCTTTTTGTAGAAACTGCAAGTGGATATTTGGACCTCTTTGAGGCCTTCGTTGGAAAGGGGATTTCTTCCTATAACCCTGGACAGAAGAATTTTCAGAAACCTCATTGTGATGTGTGCGTTCATCTCACAGAGTGGAGTCTTCCGTTTGATAGAGAAGTTTTGAAACCCTGTTCTTGTAGGATTTCCAAGTGGATATTTAGACCACTTTGAAGCCTATGATAGAAAAGGAAACATCTTCATGGAAAACATAGATAGAATCATTCTCAGAAACAACTTTGTGATGTGTGCGTTGAACTCACCGTCTTTAACCTTTCTTTTGGTAGAGAAGTTTTGAAACACTCTCTTTGTAAAGTCTACAAGTGGATATTTTGAGCCCTTGGAGGCATTCTTTGGAAAAGGGAATGTCTTCACATAAAAGGCAGACAGAAGTGTTCTCAGAAACTGCTTTGTGATGTCTGTGTTCAACTCACAGAGTTTAACATTTCCTTTGAGAGAGCGGTTTAGTAACACTCTCTTTGTAGAATTTGGAAGTGTATACTAAGAGCGCTTTGAGGCCTATGGTAGAAAAGGAAATATCTTTCCATAAAAGCTAGACAGAAGCAATCTCAGAAACTCCTTTGTGATGTCTGCATTCAACTCACCGAGTGGAACATTCCTCTTGATAGAGCAGTTTGGAAACACTCTTTCTGTAGAATCAGCTTGTTTGTATTTGGACCTCCTTGAGGCCTTCGTTGGAAACGGGTTTTCATCTTATAAACCCAGGCAGAAGAATTCTCAGAGTCTTCTTTGTGATGTGTGCTTTCAACTCACCGAGATAAAGATTTCTCTTGATAGAGCAATTTGGAAACACTCTTTTTGTAGAATTTGCAAGGGTACATTGAGAGCGCTTTCAGGCCTATGGTAGAAATGGTAGACAGAAGCAATCTCAGAAACTACTTTGTGATGTGTGCATTCAACTCACCGAGTGCAACATTCCTCTTGATAGAGCAGTTTGGAAACATTGTTTCTGTAGAATCTGCAAGTGGATATATGGACCGCTTTGAGGCCTTCGTTGGAAACGGGATTTCTTCCTATAAACCCAGACAGAAGAATTCTCAGAGATTTCTTTGTGATGTGTGAATTCAACTCACAGTGTGGATCCTTCCTTTTGATAGAGCAGTTTTGAAACACTGTTTTTGTAGTATTTCCAAGCGGATATTTGGAACGCCTTGAAGCGTATGGTAGAAAAGGAAATATCTTCCCATAAAACCTAGACAGAACCCATCTCAGAAACGACTTTGTGATGTCTGCATTCAACTCACAGAGTTGAACATTTCTCTTGATAGAGCAGTTTTGAAACCCTCTTTCTGAAGGATCTGCAAGTGGATATTTGGAACTCCTTTGGGTCTTCGTTGGAAACGGGATTTCTTCGTATAAATCCAGACAGAAGAATTCTCCGAAACTTCTTTGGTTGTGTGCATTCAAGTCACAGAGTGGAACCTTCCTTTGGATAGAGCAGTTTGAAACGCTGTGGTTGTAGTATTTCCAAGCGGATATTAGAGCGCCTTGAAGCCTATGGTAGAAAAGGAAATATCTTCCCATAAAACCTAGACGGAAGCAATCTCAGAAACTACTGTGTGATGGCTGCATTCCACACACACGGTGGAACATTTCTCTTGATAGAGCAGTTTTGAAACACTCTTTCTGTAGAATCTGCAAGTGGATAATTGGACCGCCTTGAGGCCTTCGTTGGAAACGGGATTTCTTCATGTTACTCTAGACAGAAGAATTCTCAAACACTGCTATGTGATGTTTGCATTCAAGTCACAGAGTGCAACATTCCTCTTGATAGAGCAGTTGGGAAACACTCCTTTTGTAGAATTTGCAATGGGATATTTGGACTTCTTTGAGGCCTTCGTTGGAAACGGGATTTCTTCGTATGAATCTAGACAGAAGAATTCTCAGAAACTTCCTTGTGATGTGTGCATTCAACTCAGCGAGTGGCACCTTCCTTTGGATACAGCAGTTTTGAAACACTGTTTTTGTAGTATTTCCAAGCGGATATTTAGAGCGCCTTGAAGCCTATGCTAGAAATGGAAATATCTCCCCATAAAACCAAGACAGAAGCAATCTCAGAAACTAATGTGTGATGGCTGCATTCCACACACACGGTGGACCATTTCTCTTGATAGAGCAGTTTTGAAACACTCTTTCTGTAGAATCTGCAAGTGGATAATTGGACCTCCTAGAGGCCTTCGTTGGAAACGGGATTTCTTCATCTAAACCTACAGAGAAGAATTCTCAGTAACTTCTTCGGATGTGTGCATTCGACTCACAGAATGGAACATTCCCTTTGGTAGAGCAGTTTTGAGACACCGTTTTTGTAGAATTCCCAAGTGGATATTTAGAGCACTTTGAAGTCTCTGCTAGAAAAGGAAACATCTTCATGTAAAAAGTAGATAGAATCGTTCTCAGAAAGTGCTTAGTGACGTGTGCGTTCAACTCACAGAGTTTAACGTTTCTTTTGATAGAGCGTTTCTGAAACACCCTTCTTGTAGTAGCTGCAAGTGGATATTTGGACCTATTTGAGGCCTTCTTTGGAAACGGGATTTCTTCATGTAACTCTAGATTGAAGAATTTTCAGAAACTCCTTTGTGATGTGTGCATTCAATTCAAAGAGTGAAACCTCCCTTTTCACAGAGCAGTTTTGAAACACTGTTTTTGTAGGATTTCCAAGGGGATATTTATAGCGCATTGAGCCTATGGCAGAAAAAGAAACATCTTCCTATAAAAACTAGACAGAATAATTCTCAGAATCTGCTTTGCGATGTGTGCGTTCAACCCACAGAGTAAAACTTTTCTTTTGATAGAGCAGTTTTGAAACACTCTTTTTGTAGTATTTGCATGTGTATATTTAGAGCGCATTGAAGCCCACAGTAGAAAAGGAAATAACTTCACCTAAAACCTAGACAGAAGCAATCTCAGAAACTACTTTGTGATGTATACATTCAACTCACAGAGTGGAACTTTCCTCTTTATAGAGCAGTGTTGAAACACTCTTTTTGTAGAAACTGCAAGTGGATATTTGGACCTCTTTGAGGCCTTCGTTGGAAACGGGATTTCTTCCTATAACCCTAGACAGAAGAATTTTCAGAAACCTCATTGTGATGTGTGCGTTCATCTCACAGAGTGGAGTCTTCCGTTTGATAGAGAAGCTTTGAAACCCTGTTCTTGTAGGATTTCCAAGTGGATATTTAGACCACTTTGAAGCCTATGATAGAAAAGGAAACATCTTCATGGAAAACATAGATAGAATCATTCTCAGAAACAACTTTGTGATGTGTGCGTTGAACTCACCGTATTTAACCTTTCTTTTGGTAGAGAAGTTTTGAAACACTCTCTTTGTAAAGTCTACAAGTGGATATTTTGAGCCCTTGGAGGCATTCTTTGGAAAAGGGAATGTCTTCACATAAAAGGCAGACAGAAGTGTTCTCAGAAACTGCTTTGTGATGTCTGTGTTCAACTCACAGAGTTTAACATTTCCTTTGAGAGAGCGGTTTAGTAACACTCTCTTTGTAGAATTTGGAAGTGTATACTAAGAGCGCTTTGAGGCCTATGGTAGAAAAGGAATTATCTTTCCATAAAAGCTAGACAGAAGCAATCTCAGAAACTCCTTTGTGATGTCTGCATTCAACTCACCGAGTGGAACATTCCTCTTGATAGAGCAGTTTGGAAACACTCTTTCTGTAGAATCAGCTTGTTTGTATTTGGACCTCCTTGAGGCCTTCGTTGGAAACGGGTTTTCATCTTATAAACCCAGACAGAAGAATTCTCAGAGTCTTCTTTGTGATGTGTGCTTTCAACTCACCGAGATAAAGATTTCTCTTGATAGAGCAATTTGGAAACACTCTTTTTGTAGAATTTGCAAGGGTACATTGAGAGCGCTTTCAGGCCTATGGTAGAAAAGGGAATATCTTTCCATAAAAGGTAGACAGAAGCAATCTCAGAAACTACTTTGTGATGTGTGCATTCAACTCACCGAGTGCAACATTCCTCTTGACCGAGCAGTTTGGAAACATTGTTTCTGTAGAATCTGCAAGTGGATATATGGACCGCTTTGAGGCCTTCGTTGGAAACGGGATTTCTTCCTATAAACCCAGACAGAAGAATTCTCAGAGATTTCTTTGTGATGTGTGAATTCAACTCACAGTGTGGATCCTTCCTTTTGATAGAGCAGTTTTGAAACACTGTTTTTGTAGTATTTCCAAGCGGATATTTGGAACACCTTGAAGCGTATGGTAGAAAAGGAAATATCTTCCCATAAAACCTAGACAGAACCCACCTCAGAAACGACTTTGTGATGTCTGCATTCAACTCACAGAGTTGAACATTTCTCTTGATAGAGCAGTTTTGAAACCCTCTTTCTGAAGGATCTGCAAGTGGATATTTGGAACTCCTTTGGGTCTTCGTTGGAAACGGGATTTCTTCGTATAAATCCAGACAGAAGAATTCTCCGAAACTTCTTTGGTTGTGTGCATTCAAGTCACAGGGTGGAACCTTCCTTTGGGTAGAGCAGTTTGAAACGCTGGGGTTGTAGTATTTCCAAGCGGATATTAGAGCGCCTTGAGGCCTATGGTAGAAAAGGAAATATCTTCCCATAAATCCTAGACGGAAGCAATCTCAGAAACTACTGTGTGATGGCTGCATTCCACACACACGGTGGAACATTTCTCTTGATAGAGCAGTTTTGAAACACTCTTTCTGTAGAATCTGCAAGTGGATAATTGGACCGCCTTGAGGCCTTCGTTGGAAACGGGATTTCTTCATGTTACTCTAGACAGAAGAATTCTCAAACACTGCTATGTGATGTTTGCATTCAAGTCACAGAGTGCAACATTCCTCTTGATAGAGCAGTTGGGAAACACTCCTTTTGTAGAATTTGCAATGGGATATTTGGACTTCTTTGAGGCCTTCGTTGGAAACGGGATTTCTTCGTATGAATCTAGACAGAAGAATTCTCAGAAACTTCCTTGTGATGTGTGCATTCAACTCAGCGAGTGGCACCTTCCTTTGGATACAGCAGTTTTGAAACACTGTTTTTGTACTATTTCCAAGCGGATATTTAGAGCGCCTTGAAGCCTATGCTAGAAATGGAAATATCTCCCCATAAAACCAAGACAGAAGCAATCTCAGAAACTAATGTGTGATGGCTGCATTCCACACACACGGTGGACCATTTCTCTTGATAGAGCAGTTTTGAAACACTCTTTCTGTAGAATCTGCAAGTGGATAATTGGACCTCCTAGAGGCCTTCGTTGGAAACGGGATTTCTTCATCTAAACCTACAGAGAAGAATTCTCAGTAACTTCTTCGGATGTGTGCATTCGACTCACAGAATGGAACATTCCCTTTGATAGAGCAGTTTTGAGACACCGTTTTTGTAGAATTCCCAAGTGGATATTTAGAGCACTTTGAAGTCTCTGCTAGAAAAGGAAACATCTTCATGTAAAAAGTAGATAGAATCGTTCTCAGAAAGTGCTTAGTGACGTGTGTGTTCAACTCACAGAGTTTATCGTTTCTTTTGATAGAGCGTTTCTGAAACACCCTTCTTGTAGTAGCTGCAAGTGGATATTTGGACCTATTTGAGGCCTTCTTTGGAAACGGGATTTCTTCATGTAACTCTAGATTGAAGAATTTTCAGAAACTCCTTTGTGATGTGTGCATTCAATTCAAAGAGTGAAACCTCCCTTTTCACAGAGCAGTTTTGAAACACTGTTTTTGTAGGATTTCCAAGGGGATATTTATAGCGCATTGATCCTATGGCAGAAAAAGAAACATCTTCCTATAAAAACTAGACAGAATAATTCTCAGAATCTGCTTTGCGATGTGTGCGTTCAACTCACAGAGTAAAACTTTTCTTTTGATAGAGCAGTTTTGAAACACTCTTTTTGTAGTATTTGCATGTGTATATTTAGAGCGCATTGAAGCCCACAGTAGAAAAGGAAATAACTTCACCTAAAACCTAGACAGAAGCAATCTCAGAAACTACTTTGTGATGTGTACATTCAACTCACAGAGTGGAACTTTCCTCTTTATAGAGCAGTGTTGAAACACTCTTTTTGTAGAAACTGCAAGTGGATATTTGGACCTCTTTGAGGCCTTCGTTGGAAACGGGATTTCTTCCTATAACCCTAGACAGAAGAATTTTCAGAAACCTCATTGTGATGTGTGCGTTCATCTCACAGAGTGGAGTCTTCCGTTTGATAGAGAAGTTTTGAAACCCTGTTCTTGTAGGATTTCCAAGTGGATATTTAGACCACTTTGAAGCCTATGATAGAAAAGGAAACATCTTCATGGAAAACATAGATAGAATCATTCTCAGAAACAACTTTGTGATGTGTACGTTGAACTCACCGTCTTTAACCTTTCTTTTGGTAGAGAAGTTTTGAAACACTCTCTTTGTAAAGTCTACAAGTGGATATTTTGAGCCCTTGGAGGCATTCTTTGGAAAAGGGAATGTCTTCACATAAAAGGCAGACAGAAGTGTTCTCAGAAACTGCTTTGTGATGTCTGTGTTCAACTCACAGAGTTTAACATTTCCTTTGAGAGAGCGGTTTAGTAACACTCTCTTTGTAGAATTTGGAAGTGTATACTAAGAGCGCTTTGAGGCCTATGGTAGAAAAGGAAATATCTTTCCATAAAAGCTAGACAGAAGCAATCTCAGAAACTCCTTTGTGATGTCTGCATTCAACTCACCGAGTGGAACATTCCTCTTGATAGAGCAGTTTGGAAACACTCTTTCTGTAGAATCAGCTTGTTTGTATTTGGACCTCCTTGAGGCCTTCGTTGGAAACGGGTTTTCATCTTATAAACCCAGACAGAAGAATTCTCAGAGTCTTCTTTGTGATGTGTGCTTTCAACTCACCGAGATAAAGATTTCTCTTGATAGAGCAATTTGGAAACACTCTTTTTGTAGAATTTGCAAGGGTACATTGAGAGCGCTTTCAGGCCTATGGTAGAAAAGGGAATATCTTTCCATAAAAGGTAGACAGAAGCAATCTCAGAAACTACTTTGTGATGTGTGCATTCAACTCACCGAGTGCAACATTCCTCTTGACCGAGCAGTTTGGAAACATTGTTTCTGTAGAATCTGCAAGTGGATATTTGGACCTCTTTGAGGCCTTCGTTGGAAACGGGATTTCTTCCTATAAACCCAGACAGAAGAATTCTCAGAGACTTCTTTGTGATGTGTGAATTCAACTCACAGTGTGGATCCTTCCTTTTGATAGAGCAGTTTTGAAACACTGTTTTTGTAGTATTTCCAAGCGGATATTTGGAACGCCTTGAAGCGTATGGTAGAAAAGGAAATATCTTCCCATAAAACCTAGACAGAACCAATCTCAGAAACGACTTTGTGATGTCTGCATTCAACTCACAGAGTTGAACATTTCTCTTGATAGAGCAGTTTTGAAACCCTCTTTCTGAAGGATCTGCAAGTGGATATTTGGAACTCCTTTGGGTCTTCGTTGGAAACGGGATTTCTTCGTATAAATCTAGACAGAAGAATTCTCCGAAACTTCTTTGGTTGTGTGCATTCAAGTCACAGCAGTGGAACCTTCCTTTGGATAGAGCAGTTTGAAACGCTGTGGTTGTAGTATTTCCAAGCGGATATTAGAGCGCCTTGAGGCCTATGGTAGAAAAGGAAATATCTTCCCATAAAACCTAGACGGAAGCAATCTCAGAAACTACTGTGTGATGGCTGCATTCCACACACACGGTGGAACATTTCTCTTGATAGAGCAGTTTTGAAACACTCTTTCTGTAGAATCTGCAAGTGGATAATTGGACCGCCTTGAGGCCTTCGTTGGAAACGGGATTTCTTCATGTTACTCTAGACAGAAGAATTCTCAAACACTGCTGTGTGATGTTTGCATGCAAGTCACAGAGTGCAACATTCCTCTTGATAGAGCAGTTGGGAAACACTCCTTTTGTAGAATTTGCAATGGGATATTTGGACTTCTTTGAGGCCTTCGTTGGAAACGGGATTTCTTCGTATGAATCTAGACAGAAGAATTCTCAGAAACTTCCTTGTGATGTGTGCATTCAACTCAGCGAGTGGCACCTTCCTTTGGATACAGCAGTTTTGAAACACTGTTTTTGTAGTATTTCCAAGCGGATATTTAGAGCGCCTTGAAGCCTATGCTAGAAATGGAAATATCTCCCCATAAAACCAAGACAGAAGCAATCTCAGAAACTAATGTGTGATGGCTGCATTCCACACACACGGTGGACCATTTCTCTTGATAGAGCAGTTTTGAAACACTCTTTCTGTAGAATCTGCAAGTGGATAATTGGACCTCCTAGAGGCCTTCGTTGGAAATAGGATTTCTTCATCTAAACCTACAGAGAAGAATTCTCAGTAACTTCTTCGGATGTGTGCATTCAACTCACAGAATGGAACATTCCGTTTGATAGAGCAGTTTTGAGACACCGTTTTTGTAGAATTCCCAAGTGGATATTTAGAGCACTTTGAAGTCTCTGCTAGAAAAGGAAACATCTTCATGTAAAAAGTAGATAGAATCGTTCTCAGAAAGTGCTTAGTGACGTGTGCGTTCAACTCACAGTAGTGTAACGTTTCTTTTGATAGAGCGTTTCTGAAACACCCTTCTTGTAGTAGCTGCAAGTGGATATTTGGACCTATTGGAGGCCTTCTTTGGAAACGGGATTTCTTCCTGTAACTCTAGATTGAAGAATTCTCAGAAACTCCTTTGTGATGTGTGCATTCAATTCAAAGAGTGAAACCTCCCTTTTCACAGAGCAGTTTGGAAACACTGTTTTTGTAGGATTTCCAAGGGGATATTTATAGCGCATTGAGCCTACGGCAGAAAAAGAAACACCTTCCTATAAAAACTAGACAGAATAATTCTCAGAATCTGCTTTGCCATGTGTGCGTTCAACTCACAGAGTAAAACTTTTCTTTTGATAGAGCAGTCTTGAAACACTCTTTTTGTAGTATTTGCATGTGTATATTTAGAGCGCATTGAAGCCCACAGTAGAAAAGGAAATAACTTCACCTAAAACCTAGACAGAAGCAATCTCAGAAACTACTTTGTGATGTGTACATTCAACTCACAGAGTGGAACTTTCCTCTTTATAGAGCAGTGTTGAAACACTCTTTTTGTAGAAACTGCAAGTGGATATGTGGACCTCTTTGAGGCCCTCGTTGGAAACGGGATTTCTTCCTATAACCCTAGACAGAAGAATTTTCAGAAACCTCATTGTGATGTGTGCGTTCATCTCACAGAGTGGAGTCTTCCGTTTGATAGAGAAGTTTTGAAACCCTGTTCTTGTAGGATTTCCAAGTGGATATTTAGACCACTTTGAAGCCTATGATAGAAAAGGAAACATCTTCATGGAAAACATAGATAGAATCATTCTCAGAAACAACTTTGTGATGTGTGCGTTGAACTCGCCGTCTTTAACCTTTCTTTTGGTAGAGAAGTTTTGAAACACTCTCTTTGTAAAGTCTACAAGTGGATATTTTGAGCCCTTGGAGGCATTCTTTGGAAAAGGGAATGTCTTCACGTAAAAGGCAGACAGAAGTGTTCTCAGAAACTGCTTTGTGATGTCTGTGTTCAACTCACAGAGTTTAACATTTCCTTTGATAGAGCAGTTTAGTAACACTCTCTTTGTAGAATTTGGAAGTGTATACTAAGAGCGCTTTGAGGCCTATGGTAGAAAAGGAAATATCTTTCCATAAAAGCTAGACACAAGCAATCTCAGAAACTCCTTTGTGATGTCTGCATTCAACTCACCGAGTGGAACATTCCTCTTGATAGAGCAGTTTGGAAACACTCTTTCTGTAGAATCAGCTTGTTTGTATTTGGACCTCCTTGAGGCCTTCGTTGGAAACGGGTTTTCATCTTATAAACCCAGACAGAAGAATTCTCAGAGTCTTCTTTGTGATGTGTGCTTTCAACTCACCGAGATAAAGATTTCTCTTGATAGAGCAATTTAGAAACACTCTTTTTGTAGAATTTGCAAGGGTACATTGAGAGCGCTTTCAGGCGTATGGTAGAAAAGGGAATATCTTTCCATAAAAGGTAGACAGAAGCAATCTCAGAAACTACTTTGTGATGTGTGCATTCAACTCACCGAGTGCAACATTCCTCTTGATAGAGCAGTTTGGAAACATTGTTTCTGTAGAATCTGCAAGTGGATATATGGACCGCTTTGAGGCCTTCGTTGGAAACGGGATTTCTTCCTATAAACCCAGACAGAAGAATTCTCAGAGATTTCTTTGTGATGTGTGAATTCAACTCACAGTGTGGATCCTTCCTTTTGATAGAGCAGTTTTGAAACACTGTTTTTGTAGTATTTCCAAGCGGATATTTGGAACGCCTTGAAGCGTATGGTAGAAAAGGAAATATCTTCCCATAAAACCTAGACAGAACCCATCTCAGAAACGACTTTGTGATGTCTGCATTCAACTCACAGAGTTGAACATTTCTCTTGATAGAGCAGTTTTGAAACCCTCTTTCTGAAGGATCTGCAAGTGGATATTTGGAACTCCTTTGGGTCTTCGTTGGAAACGGGATTTCTTCGTATAAATCCAGACAGAAGAATTCTCCGAAACTTCTTTGGTTGTGTGCATTCAAGTCACAGAGTGGAACCTTCCTTTGGATAGAGCAGTTTGAAACGCTGTGGTTGTAGTATTTCCAAGCGGATATTAGAGCGCCTTGAAGCCTATGGTAGAAAAGGAAATATCTTCCCATAAAACCTAGACGGAAGCAATCTCAGAAACTACTGTGTGATGGCTGCATTCCACACACACGGTGGAACATTTCTCTTGATAGAGCAGTTTTGAAACACTCTTTCTGTAGAATCTGCAAGTGGATAATTGGACCGCCTTGAGGCCTTCGTTGGAAACGGGATTTCTTCATGTTACTCTAGACAGAAGAATTCTCAAACACTGCTATGTGATGTTTGCATTCAAGTCACAGAGTGCAACATTCCTCTTGATAGAGCAGTTGGGAAACACTCCTTTTGTAGAATTTGCAATGGGATATTTGGACTTCTTTGAGGCCTTCGTTGGAAACGGGATTTCTTCGTATGAATCTAGACAGAAGAATTCTCAGAAACTTCCTTGTGATGTGTACATTCAACTCAGCGAGTGGCACCTTCCTTTGGATACAGCAGTTTTGAAACACTGTTTTTGTACTATTTCCAAGCGGATATTTAGAGCGCCTTGAAGCCTATGCTAGAAATGGAAATATCTCCCCATAAAACCAAGACAGAAGCAATCTCAGAAACTAATGTGTGATGGCTGCATTCCACACACACGGTGGACCATTTCTCTTGATAGAGCAGTTTTGAAACACTCTTTCTGTAGAATCTGCAAGTGGATAATTGGACCTCCTAGAGGCCTTCGTTGGAAACGGGATTTCTTCATCTAAACCTACAGAGAAGAATTCTCAGTAACTTCTTCGGATGTGTGCATTCGACTCACAGAATGGAACATTCCCTTTGATAGAGCAGTTTTGAGACACCGTTTTTGTAGAATTCCCAAGTGGATATTTAGAGCACTTTGAAGTCTCTGCTAGAAAAGGAAACATCTTCATGTAAAAAGTAGATAGAATCGTTCTCAGAAAGTGCTTAGTGACGTGTGCGTTCAACTCACAGAGTTTAACGTTTCTTTTGATAGAGCGTTTCTGAAACACCCTTCTTGTAGTAGCTGCAAGTGGATATTTGGACCTATTTGAGGCCTTCTTTGGAAACGGGATTTCTTCATGTAACTCTAGATTGAAGAATTTTCAGAAACTCCTTTGTGATGTGTGCATTCAATTCAAAGAGTGAAACCTCCCTTTTCACAGAGCAGTTTTGAAACACTGTTTTTGTAGGACTTCCAAGGGGATATTTATAGCGCATTGAGCCTATGGCAGAAAAAGAAACATCTTCCTATAAAAACTAGACAGAATAATTCTCAGAATCTGCTTTGCGATGTGTGCGTTCAACCCACAGAGTAAAACTTTTCTTTTGATAGAGCAGTTTTGAAACACTCTTTTCGTAGTATTTGCATGTGTATATTTAGAGCGCATTGAAGCCCACAGTAGAAAAGGAAATAACTTCACCTAAAACCTAGACAGAAAGCAATCTCAGAAACTACTTTGTGATGTGTACATTCAACTCACAGAGTGGAACTTTCCTCTTTATAGAGCAGTGTTGAAACACTCTTTATGTAGAAACTGCAAGTGGATATGTGGACCTCTTTGAGGCCCTCGTTGGAAACGGGATTTCTTCCTATAACCCTAGACAGAAGAATTTTCAGAAACCTCATTGTGATGTGTGCGTTCATCTCACAGAGTGGAGTCTTCCGTTTGATAGAGAAGTTTTGAAACCCTGTTCTTGTAGGATTTCCAAGTGGATATTTAGACCACTTTGAAGCCTATGATAGAAAAGGAAACATCTTCATGGAAAACATAGATAGAATCATTCTCAGAAACAACTTTGTGATGTGTGCGTTGAACTCACCGTCTTTAACCTTTCTTTTGGTAGAGAAGTTTTGAAACACTCTCTTTGTAAAGTCTACAAGTGGATATTTTGAGCCCTTGGAGGCATTCTTTGGAAAAGGGAATGTCTTCACATAAAAGCAGACAGAAGTGTTCTCAGAAACTGCTTTGTGATGTCTGTGTTCAACTCACAGAGTTTAACATTTCCTTTGAGAGAGCGGTTTAGTAACACTCTCTTTGTAGAATTTGGAAGTGTATACTAAGAGCACTTTGAGGCCTATGGTAGAAAAGGAAATATCTTTCCATAAAAGCTAGACAGAAGCAATCTCAGAAACTCCTTTGTGATGTCTGCATTCAACTCACCGAGTGGAACATTCCTCTTGATAGAGCAGTTTGGAAACACTCTTTCTGTAGAATCAGCTTGTTTGTATTTGGACCTCCTTGAGGCCTTCGTTGGAAACGGGTTTTCATCTTATAAACCCAGACAGAAGAATTCTC